>NC_000002.12:149004769-149307799 GCF_000001405.40 Homo sapiens
TGATAAGGCAACCACTGTTTTTATTCTCATGTTACCAATAAGAAAACTGAGGCACAGAAAGGTTAGATAACTTGCCCAGGGCCACCCAGGAGGAAAGTCCATGAAATGCCTCATCCGTAAGCTCAGTGACTTAAAACAAGCAAGTGTGTGGACTTGCGTCTGAAGCAGGTGTGGAGACAGGAAAAATGTGAGTCAGTTACGGTGAGATATTGTGGCTAACTTTTCATTTCAGCTTGTTGGTATTACATTGTAACATTTACATAATAAAAAAAAGAAAAAAGGAATTCACCCTGATACAACATAGCCCAGTAGGAATTTTTGTGAGGAAACCTTTGAATTTTTGTGGGTGAGGAAATGTGTGGTTCCACTGTGAGCAGATGGGCAGGCTTTGTTCTGGTTTACAATTTGTGGTCTGGGTTCTCAGGCTCTGCACCTCAAGGTGCTCCAGTAATGACACTAGGTCCAGGGGTGGGCATGGTCAGGGTGGGGGTGTCACAGGGAAGGGGGTGCACCAGCGGCGTCCATGGCAGGCTTGGGAAGTGTCGGGGGAATGATCTGGTGCCAAATGTGTCATAAATTCAGTGAATTGCTGCACTTAAGTGGCCTTTAAAAATCTCTTCCAGTCTAGAGAATTGCAGACACTGCACAACCTTCGGAAACTCTTTGTCCAGGATCTGACCACCCGAGTTAAAAAAGTGAGTTCTCTTTGTCTGAATGGGACTGAGAAGAAAATCAAAGATGGCAGGGAAGAATCATTTTCAGTTGAAATATCACTTGCTTAAGTCGGGGCTGGTTATGCTTAAAAATTAATTACTGCACACCAGAGAATGTTATTAAAAGAATGTGCTGGAGGCAAAAAATACTTGGTAACATTTTCCCATCTGATTTTTCCTTCTTGGTAAAAGGAAGTCAGAATACTTTCTCTGGCCTTCATTTCAAATGAACGCATATTTTTCTGGCCCCCACTGTGTGAGGGCAACTGCTCTTGACACAGAAACATTTAGAGCAGTCATTTCAGAAAGCATTGCCCAGAAGCCTGGAGAAGTCGGACAGAGAGAGCCTCTTATTTGTTTGTTAAAAGGCCATTAGGGGCTAGGTCAGAGTTTATAAAGCACGTCAACATCCAGTATTTTATTTGCTTTTCCCAGCAACCATGTAAGTGGTGCTTAGTGTTCCTGTTTCTGCAGATGTGGAGATAGGCTCAGATGTTAAATAACTTACCCAATATTGCACTGGTGGGAAGAGCCAGAGATAGGTCTGGAACCCAGGCCTGCGGGGTCTCTGGATCTGAGCTTCTTCCATCCTCGTGCTACAGCAGCAGTCTGGAGACACTCCATAATGGTGACTCCCCCAAACAGCTTGCAGAGGTTTAAGGAAGGAGTCTGTTTAAGAAAAGTGGGTGCATATGTGTGTAAATGTGTGTGCATATTTGAGTGTGTGTACGTGTGTGTGTGAATGTGTGTCAGTGTGAAGGAGCCAAGGGAAAGAGGTCAAATGTCTTACAAAGATAGAGTCGGGTCTGAGAGGGAGAGGGTTAATAGTGTAGATGGATGTATTAGATAGGCTTGCTAAGGAGGAGGGACACAAATTCCTAGAAGGGAGGAGTGGAGAAGTCAAGTTGGAAGGATCGGCAGGGAAATACATGCGGGTGGAAAGAAGTCACATTTGATGACTTGGGTCTTCTTGGTTTATGTGAAGGCTCAGTCCTTGGTGGGGAAGTAGGGAAGAGAATGGGAAACCCAAGGAGACTAGACATGGTTCAGGCTGCCAAGGTAGGGGATGTGCTATGGAAGAGTAGAAGGATTGCTGAGCAGTGGTGTTGGTGTTGAGTTAGAAGCATGGGCTTGGCGTGGCCCCTGACAGCATGGTTTAAGTGAGTTTCGAATCCTGGAAATGAAAATAAAGAAGGCAGAAAATGATGGGCAATTTCAAGGCCTGCATGGCAATGGCTAGGCGATTAGGTAGTAAGCACAGACCAAAACACAAATGACCATGGGGGCCTGGCCCTGGCAGGAGAGTGAAGCCAGAGCAAAGGTGATGGACAGGGAGGCTAGAGAGGGGAGGGCACCTGGCCAGAGGTTATGACATGGACTGAAAAGGTTCAGTCCGAGGAAGGAGGTGGAAGCCATGACCATACATGGGAGGCTGTGGTCCTAGGGAGGGTTAGGAGCTTGAGATCAGACTTCCAGATTTCATGATAGAAAACTCCCTAGGAAAGCCCTGCTTTTAGACCAGTGTTTTTCTGCCGGTGGTTCTCTGGCCATCAGCCTCAGCATCACCTAGGAAACTGTTTAGATATGCAAATTCTCATACCCCACCCCAGGTCCACTGAATCAGAGACTAGGGATGGGGCGTGGCAATCTAAGTCTCAACAAACCCTCCCCTGGAGAGCCCAGTGCTAAGGCTCAAATTTGGGGAGCTCAGTTTTAGACTGAAGAGCTGCAGGTTTGAGATGCTCATGTAGCCATTACCTTTGAGAAAAAGGATGATGATCTCTTCTATAATCAGACAGAGCAAACCTGCTTTTCCACCTTGGAACACTGGGATGTGTTAGGACCTGTACTTTCCAATTTATCTGTGCCACTCGGCTTGCCAGGAGTGCAGTGTTTTGCCAATTTCAAGATCTGATAAATTTCAAGAATTTACCCAGCACCCGGATGCTATGATTAATTTGAGCCTGGTTCATTAATTAATTTTATAGATTTGGAAGCTGAAGGGACAAGCAGAGGCCATTAAGACTTCCCAGTGGGACCATAGACACTTGCTTACAAGTTTGGTGACTTGTTGTCCCACCATGATGGCTGAAATCAAATTTAGGTCCTGGGTTTATGTTTTTGCAGTTGTTGTTTCTTAATGAGTTTTGGAATGCTTTCTTTTGAAAAGAAGTCTCTATTTACTACATGAAAGGCAGATGTATATTTTACTGAAGATAAATCATCTACAACTTTCAAAAGCAGATTTGAAGGAGTTTTTTTTTTTTAGCTCTCTAAAAATTAGCTCCTCAAATCGCTTTTCATACTAATAAGGGAAATTAATTGGGGGATTTCTTGAGTCTAAACTTTTAGAACCTCTATTTTCACTTTCAGAATACCCTTTGGTGGGAATGGGGATTTTTTTTTTCCATCCACATTATCCTGGGGCGGAGGGTGGGTGGGTGACAGCCTGTCCTGCTGACCCCTTGGTGTCAATGCAGAGTGTGGAGTTGGACAACGATGATGGAGGGGGCAGTGCTGCCCAGAAGCAGAAAATTTCCTTCTTGGAGAATAACCTGGAGCAGCTCACCAAAGTTCACAAGCAGGTAGGAGAGTTCTGCCCGCTCCCCTCTGATTCCCTCCTCTCTCCTGGAAAGAAGCCCCACCAGGTTTGGCCACAGTGTGCGGAGAAGGCACTGAGATTGAAGGTAAAAGAACTGTACACTATCAGAGGACATGAGGGCTGGAAAGGTCCTTACAAATCCTTTAGTTCTCAGTGACTTCCCGTATATATAAAGGACTTTCTTTTATCAAAGCCAAATATAACGCATAGGGTTTGAGCTCTCTGGGGTTGGAGAGGGAAGTGTTCAGAGGCCTGTCTTTTCATCCTGCCTCCACCCCTGACTTTGGACACCATCTAGCCTCTGTGTCTCCCATGACACCTCTGAGGTACCTCTGTGGACCTGAAAGTGGACACCACTGAGCTGGTTCAAGTCCTTTATTTTTACAGATGGGGAAACAGACTGGTGCCTTGCTTCATTGCACCGTGGGAGGACCGGGACTGGAACCAGCACCCTCTCTGCTCAGCTGCCCATTCCTAGCGATCTCAGATGCTCTCTCGGATGCCTGCGATGTGCTGGCATTTGTCTAGAGTGACAGAGAGTGATAACTGTGTCCAAACTCACCAGTGATTTCAGCAGGTCATTTGTCTTGGATACTTTCTTTTTAAATGTTGGTGTGTGCATGGCTGTTTTCCCTCTTTAGGAATTGGGATATGATGGAAACGGCCCAAGTTTTTAGACCACATGGCCGAGGAGATGTCATTTCTCTTTGACTTGTTAAGTCTTCTTCAATATTACTGATGATGGCATTTTTTCCCCAGAGAGAGGATGATAGATTCTAGATAGTTGAAGTCACTCAAACAAATTGTCGATGAGAAATACGAAAGCAGAAACTGTCAGGGAGCTTGAAATAGGGCTCTGAGATGCATTTTTAAAATTTATTTTTATTTATTTTTGTTTTTTTTAATGTTTTTTTTTTTTTTTTGAGGCAGAGTCTTGCTCTGTCGCCCAGGCTGGAGTGCAGTGGTGCGATCTCTGCTCAGTGCAACCTCTGCCTCCTGGGTTCAAGAGATTCTCCTGCCTCAGCCTCCCGAGTAGCTGGGATTACAGGTGCGCGCCACCACTCCTGGCTAATTTTTTTGTATTTTTAGTAGAGACAAGGTTTCACCATGTTGGTCAGGCTGGTCTTGAACCACTGACCTCGTGATCCGCCCACCTTGACCTCCCAAAGTGCTGGAATTACAGACGTGAGCCACTGCACCCAGCTGAAATGCATTATCTTATTCATGGATTGAACGAGCATTTATTAAAAATGTACTCTCTGCCAGGCACTAGAGCTGGTGCTAGGAGAACAAAGCAGGAGACCCAGCAGTAGCTCACTTTGGTGTAGCACTTTGTGATTTTCAAAACTCCCTCCATCCATCTGGGTCCCCTATTATGTAGTACACTTGTGTTATAGATGAGAAACTTGAGACTTGTGGTGGTCAAATGACTTACACCAAGTCAGATGGCCAGGACATAAAGAGCTGGCCCTTGAGCCCACTCCTACCTAGGGCTGGGCTGTTGCTTCTTCAATCAGCAAAAAGGCGCAGTCTCCTCCTCTTACCTTAGCCTCTGGATGTGTTGCAAAGCTGGGTCCAAACCCCATGCCAGTGTAAACAGCAGGTTCTGCATGGAAGGAAGCCCTCTGAGAGCTCAGGAACATGCTTGTTTTTCACTGAGTCCTTTCAAACCGACTTTAAGTGTTTCAGCTTTCTCATGCTAATTTAGTATTCTCATATGTGGTCGATTTTCTCACACAATCCCCCTTTCCTCTACACACACCCAAACAGAAGAGGAGGTAAATCCTGCCTCAGATGGAAAGTTTCTTGTGGTGGGAAATAGGTTTTAATTGTATCCCCACCCCACCGTTCCTTGCACCCTGTGAATCACGTGTTCAGGAACCTGGACCCCACAGTCTGAGTTTTCCTTTCCTTTCTGTGGTTGTACGGAGTGCCAAGGACAACCTAGCAGGGGCCACCTGTTCAGCAGCAGGGGCTGCTTCTGGCTGCTCTGGTTTGTGCAATGCTGCCTGCCTGGTAGTAACTCCCTTCCTTTATCCTCCTGCCCCAGCTGGTCCGGGACAACGCAGACCTGCGCTGTGAACTGCCCAAGCTGGAGAAGCGGCTGCGTGCCACGGCGGAGCGCGTCAAGGCTCTGGAGAGCGCGCTGAAGGAGGCCAAGGAGAACGCCATGCGGGACCGTAAGCGCTACCAGCAGGAGGTGGATCGTATCAAGGAGGCCGTGCGGGCCAAGAACATGGCCAGAAGGGCCCATTCAGCCCAGATCGGTACGTGCGTGCACAGTGGCGCCCGGGGTTTGAGAAGCTACTGCGGCCTCTCAGCTCAGATTTGCTAAAAGGTGAAGACAGCGCTGGCCCACTCTGGAACATCTGAAAGGCTGGGTTGGAGCCCGCAGGACGCAGCCCTCACCGCACCCTGTGCTCACCCTGTGGGAATGGGAATGTCAGGCGCCCCCGTTATCCTACTCTGAGATATTCCAGCATACATCGTGGTCTCAAAACTTCTGAGCTGGGCAGAGAGAAGCCAGCCAAGGCTGTAGGCCTAGGTCTTGGGCTATAAATGGGTACACTCTTAGAAATACTGGAATAGGAGGATATTTCTCTGCAAGGTGTGAAGGGCCCTGTGTTCTGCACCCGGTGGGAGCATGAAGGAGCCCATATGTAGCCAGAGCCCCAGGGAAAGCCTCCAAGTGCAGGTTTGGAAATACCCCTGGAAGAGCCAGGCTGGCATCCATGACAGGGTGTGGCTACAGGCTGGCACAGAACCTGGGGAGGTCTGGAGTCTCAGCCTCTTCAAGACCTGTATGGATTTGGGCATTTTGCCCATGTAGGAAATGAGGGTGTAGCCAGAGTCCTGGTTCCCAGGATAGCCATAGGGACAAAAACAATTTAGGAATATTCTCTAAACAGCTTCTTCTCCTTTTTTTTTTTTTTAAATTGAAACATCTCCAATAACATGTAATTTATTTCCCATCAGATATTGCTGTGTAGATGTATTGCAAACCAGCAGTTTCACGTTTCTAGTTTTAAATCATACCTTAGAATAGTGGTTCATTGCATGTGTAGGATTTCATACCCTTTGAGAATCTATTAAAAGCTATGGACCCTCTCCCCAGAAAACAGCATCACAGGCAGAATTCTGCATCCAATTTCAGGGGCTACACAGATATCCTTGAAAGTCATGGGGAACCTACGATCCATTTCAGATGAAACTGAAAATCTTTTTTTCTAACTTTTCTTGGCCCAAATTAGAAATGAGCTAATTGATGTTTAAGTTCTTTCTGTCCCCTAAATATTTGGATGCCTTGGATTTGCTAAGTATACTGATAGTTTTCCCATTTTCAGAGAGATCTGGTGGTTGATAAGAATTGTACTGTTGGTAAGAATTGTGACTTTTAGTTGTCACAGGTGACCTGTAGATATCAGGGTTGCTGTTAAGACTTTTCTAAATGTCTGTTCTCTCTTCTTTCTGTTGGTTGGATACAGCCAAGCCCATCCGCCCCGGACACTACCCGGCCTCATCTCCAACGGCCGTCCATGCCATTCGAGGGGGAGGAGGCAGCTCTTCAAATTCCACTCACTACCAGAAATAAATACAAAGTGAGTCCCATGTCAAGGGTGGTTTCTCTATCTGGAGGCAGAGGCTTCTTGCCTTTCCAAAGCCCCTGCCTGGCAGTGGACCTTGAGTAGAGAGGAGTTCTGCTCTACTCCAGCACACACCCTGGGGGTTCCAGGTAAACAGAGACCCAGACCTGTCCTCACTTAGTCCAGAGCCCTGGGGTCTTCTAGCTGAGGCTGTCTGGGGCCCATGGGACCTGGAGCCAGGCCCGGCCTAATCCCCTCCAGGGGTAGGGGTGGTGAGTGATTCAGCCGAGCTTTGTTTTGCCTGTGGGACTCCCCTCTTTAATTGGCATCCCAAAGGGCATTACCTGTTTGTCAACTGCTTTACCCACAGCAGACAGAAGTTGGGGGTTGCTTTAAGTCTCAGGAACAGAATATAAAGAAAGAGCCAGATAATAGAAAGTGATGTTTTTATGTTTACTATCTGAACTCAACAAGTGGGGATTTTAAGAAGATATCTAGATGAGTCCAGGATGCTTTTTTCTTTGAGATGGTGGTCTGCAAGCTTCTCTACCCACAACCCATGTGCACGACATTTCTCTCCCAGCAAAAAGAAAAGGAACGAGTGATATTCTTTCCAAAAGAGAAGAAGCAGAGAGCGAAAACTGTCATCCTGATGGAAATGGAGAAAAGAGGTTACTAGTTGGGCGGGCAGACAGATGACTAGGTGACCAGAAAACTTTGTTTAGATAAACTCTGACTTTGAACATGCAGATGGGAAGAGGTGGCTCTGAACATTGTCCTTGGACTCTAAGCCCTTGCTAGGGTAGCTGGCTCCCAAGGCAGGCAAGCATGCAAGGTGTGAAGCCTGGACCCCTCCTCATCCAGTCCTTTCTGCATCAAGGCAAGAAGGTGAGCAGGAGGGGCTGGAGCCATCACTCAGGGTCCCGGCATCGCCCAGGCATAGGCTAAAACTTCCAAGGGAAATGCTTTGGTAGTTGCCCCCACACAACTTTTACCTGTGCTGCCCCAGGCAGTGCCAACGAGCAGGCCAGGGGCTGGTCAGAGTAGTGGGAACAGGAGGGAAGGCGGAGGCAGCCCGCGGGCGGGCAGTGTGCCTGCCATCATCTGCCATCTTCTAGACAGGAAAATGGGAAATGGTCTTGGCGGTGGGCCACCCCATTCCTATCTAATCTCTGCTTCCAATCAGAAATAGAATGAAACTGGAAGTTAGAAAGTTGCTTTTGACTACATATTGTCAGTATCGAGGCTGATACCTGAAGGGAACTCTAAGATCCAGCTGGGCAGCTTAGAACAGAAAAGCCTGAAGCAGTGGTCATCGAACTTTGGTGGATGTGAGCATCCTTGAGCACCCAGAGGCCCAGGCTCCTTAGAAGAGGAAGGGCCTGGGCTTTGTTTGTCTTTTTAACCAAGTACTCCAGGTGATTCTGATATTCATCGAAGTTTGAAAACTCTCCATGGTTTATACAGGATGGCGGTTTACGTCTGTCTTATGTAAGGGAAATTTGAAGGTGGTACATCAGTAGTTAAGAATCTCCACAGTGAAAACAGAAACCTAGCCTCTTAACTAGGTTAAGCACGTGCCTGCCTCCTGAACTCAAGGCCAGCTCAAGGTCACCAAATGACTTCAGTTTCAGCCATCATGCCTACATTCCAACTTTAGCAACCAGAGAGGAAGCAGAGAAGAGGCAAAAGCAGCCGTCCTGAATGAATCTCCTTTAAGTAGCCTTCCTGAAGCCCCATGCAATGCTGATGCCTCCCTTTCCCTGGACAGCACTGAGCCACATGGCCACATCTAGCTGGAAAAGGTAGTCTTTTAGCTGGGCACATCACTACCCCAAAGAAAGGTAATGCTTTTAGAGCAAGGACAGGGAGAGTGGATGTTGAGGTGGGCAGCTGGCATACTGTGCATTATGGACCACCTAATATGCTGCAGCACTGGGCTAGATGTAATATAGGCATCACCTCATTTGATGAAAGCACACATAGAGGTGTATGTGTGTTTCCCAGCAAGGCCTTACTAAATATACTGGTCCAGGGATTCTGGGGTCCAGAGATTGTGCAGTGGGACAGTCACCTTCTTCATGGGTTCCAACAAAGGTCTGCCAGTCCCATATTTTATGTAGGCTCCAAACAACCAAATGCTGGCCATTCATCACCAGTGTAGCCTCTTCTCATACAGAAGAGTGAAAATCAGTAGGTCTGGGGAGACTTTCAAGACCTTCGGAGTGAAAGAACCACCCTCACCCATTGTGGCATTTTTTTTTAATTTTACTTTAAGTTCTGGGATACATGTGCTCAATGTCCAGGTTTGTCACATAAGTATACATGTGCCATGATGGTTTGCTGCACCCATCAACCCATCATCATCTTTTCGAGATGGAGTTTCACTCTTGTTGCCCAGGCTGGAGTGCAATGGCATGATCTTGGCTCACTGCATCCTCTGCCTCCTGGGTTCAAACGATTCTCCTGCCTCAGCCTCCCGAGTAGCTGGGATTACAGGCATGTGCCACCATGCCCAGCTAGTTTTTGTATTTTTAGTAGAGACAGGGTTTCACCATGTTGGCCAGGCTGGTCTTGAACTCCTAACTTCAAGTGATTCCCCCCACCTCAGCTTCCCAAAGTGCTGGGATTACAAGCGTGAGCTACTGCACCCAGCTGGCAATTTGTTTCTTTACTCAAAGTGTTACAAGTGGTTTTGATGGTTTTATCTGAATTCAGAGCCTCCTTGACATACCTTCTCCACACAGCTTCAGACACAGCTTCTGTAACTAGGTGCTTCTCTCACCAGGTTACAAAATAAACAGGCCCCCTCTTACAGCTCTCAGGATGGCAGTGTGGCTGAGGGGACTGGCATTGGACAAGGGACCTGGGTTCAGGTGTTAGGTCTTCCACTTCCTTCAAGTTACTTAAACTCAGGTCTGTTTCCTCATATATGAAATGGGGAAAATCTTTTATGTTGGTCATTGGCATTGACAGAAGGCTTAAATGAGGTCATGCTTCTAAGCCCATAACAATTGCTCAATAAAAATGTTAGCTGCTAGTATAGATGAGCACTGCAGAAGGTGGTAGTTGATACATGTTGGTTTATAGTGTCCTTTAATTCATATAGTTGTTACTAAATGGTTTTTAGTTCCTCTATAGCAATAAATCCTGGCGACTGGATAGGGAAGGCCTATTTCTAACTGAGTATCCTAGTTGTTGCTATGAACTGACATAAGGGCTTTTAAAGATAATATTGGCCGGGCATGGCGGGTCATGCCTGTAATCCCAGCACTTTGGGAAGCTGAGGTGGGCAGATCACTTTAGGTCAGGAGTTCAAGACCAGCCTGGCCAACATGGTGAAACATCCTTCCCTACTAAAAATAGAAAAATTAGCTGGGCGTAGACATGCACACCTGTAACCCTAGCTACTTGGGAGGTTGAAGTGGAGAATTGCTTGAACCCAGGAGGCAGAGGTTGCAGTGAGCCGAGATTGTGCCACTGCACTCCAGCCTAGGTGACAAAGTGAGAGCCTATCTAAAAAACATATATATATAATTTACTTATCTACAAGCTATGACTATTTTTAAGAAATGACTGGGCATTTGTCAGTGGAGATTAAAAAGGGGTAGTAATCAACAGATTCAGGAATTGCAATTGAAAAGTAAAGAAATGCTAAATCCTTTTTGAAAAGTAATTGAAAATATGGAATTCATTGCTTAGATGAGAGCAAAGCCTTTTTGAGACAGTCTTTCCTGACCTTTGGGATTTTCATTCTGAAGTATCTCTTCCCTGGGTAGAAATGATCTCAATTGTGTCTTCCCAGCCCTCCTGTGGAGTCAAAGCACATATTCTTACAGCTGGATATCTTTGGAATTTCCTTCTGCTTCATTTCAGGGTTCAAGAATTATAGCCATAATGAGTATTTTGGTTTATTCTCAAGGTTTCAGAGCCTATGAAGATGCCAATATACAAAAATCAAAAGAACCCAGGATAATGCTGGCTTTGATCTTATCTGGTTCAAATCCACAGGGGGCTGCCTCAGGAGGAGATGATCTTTTTCAAACCCCAGAGCTACATATGGGGCAGTGCAGTGCAACCATGTGACATTGGGCAAGTTACTTGATTTCTGTCAGCTTTAGGTTTCCTACCGGCTAAGTGGGATCAGGCATTGAGAGCCTAGCTCTGTACTTGGTTTCACAGTGAATCAGACAAGAAGGCTGTGTTCTTGTCCAGTGATATGCTTGTTAGGGGAAGATGGACAGAAAATAAGGTAACTTCAAGTAGTGGTAAGTGCTCAGAAGAAAACAAAAACAGGCTAATGGAATAGGAACACTGTTTTAGAAGAGGGGGTGACATTTAAGTTGAGAACTGAGTGATGAAAAATGCCAGGCACACAGCAACCTGGGAGAAAGTGGTTCGATGATCACTCAAAGGTAGGAATGAATGAGGGTTATTTGAGGAATGTTACCAAGGCTGATAAGGCAGTAGCTCATGGATCTGGGAGAACCCATCTTCATTAGAGTGGATGGGGAGGGAGTTGAGCCCAAGTAAATGAAGGTGTTGAAGCTGTGGGCAACTTAGATTGTAGCCTAGTGTGAGGGGCCACTGGGGCTGTGGGCGTGGAAGCAGTGGGAGCTGGTTCATGATTAGACAAGGCCACTCTGGGCTGGACCCTGAAGAAGGGGTAGGAATGGGGTAAGCACTGGGGGTTGCCTAGGGCGTCACTGTAGGTGGCCATGGGGGAGGGTCCGGTACCAGACCCAGGTGGTGGCAGCAGGGGAGAAGTGGCCTGAGTCAGTGCCTGCTTAGAGCTGATTCAGCTGTCAGGCTTACTGATGAGGGTTGAGAGCAAGAAGAGGAGGAAGGAAGGGAATCAAGGTAGTTCCTAGATTTTTGTGGGCTCTAGCAGTTAGGGAAACATTGGTCCCTTTTTAACCATGCCAGGGAAAATCGGGGGATGAGCAGGTTTTGTGGGAAAGCTTGGTTTCCATCATGTTGCTTATGTGCTGCCTCTCAGACATCCAGCTGAGCCCACCACGCAAGTGGGTGTGTGGAACAGGTGGCTGGATCCGTGGGTCTGGAGCACAGGAGAGAGGCTGAGGTGAGGCCAGGGCTGGAGAGTTGTGACTTGTAGATTGTGTTTATGGCCACAGGTCTGAAGGAGGCAACCTAGAGAAAAGGTGGGCACAGCAGAGAGGGGAGCTGAGGGGCGAGTTGGACCAGGCCCAGGCACTGGAAAATGGGAAGGCCAGAGAAAAGAGGTGGCACCAGCAGAGGGGCCTGAGGATCATGTGGGGGCACAGAGGTCAAGTGAAGACCTTGACCCTAGAAGGAAGGTGGTCAGCTCAGAGCTTGAGTAAGATGATGACAGAGACTGGGTGGTTGAAGAAGGCCAGGTGGCAGTGACCTTAGCATGGACTAGACAGACTAGGTGAGGAAATAGAGCCGGCAGCTGAACCCACTTTGGGGGTTTTATTTGAAGGAGATCAGAGAAATGGAGCGATGTGGTGGTAAGGTGGGGCTGCGTTGCTTTTCTGTTGTAAGATGGGAGATATTACAGCATAGTTGTGTGCGATGGTGATGGTATAGCTGAGCTGGGCAGAGGAGGAAGCACAGCTGTGGGTGGGCGGTAGATGGGGTGCATTGGGAGGCAAGATCCAGGTCACCTTAGAGCTTGTTTTCTCGTGCAGGCAAGAAGCCAGATGATCAGCTGAGAGAGAGGGAGGAAGCAGGGTCTCGCTCTTGAGACCAGAGACGGTGTAAAATCAACCTCTCAGGCAGTGCTGAGTCTTCTTTGCAGCCCCACACTTAATGTAGACACCTGATTAAACATCTGCCCAGCTCCCTCGTTTTGAGAGCCCTGGAGATCCACTTCCTTTCCAGGCAGTGCTTTGGCAAGCCAGGGGACTTGTTCAAATGTCTCCACCAGATGGCGCCAGTAGGGCATTGCTGAAACCTTAGATGTTTTCTGAAAGACGGAAGGCAGAATGGTCTTTTTTCTTGGTTTTCCTATATTTAGACCATTTTATCTCAAACTTGAGTAGTAAATAGAGTATTTTGAAAGGAATACAATTCTCACAGATCCCCAGAGTTGATTTAAATTATTTTATTATAATACAATTTGCACATTGTAAACAGTATACATTCCCTACTTACAGATCTTATACAACTGTCAAGTCAAAACAAATTTAGAAATTAAATCGAAATAAAACCACAAATAAAAAGTCCAAACCACCAAACTTCACATAATTTAATGAAAGAAGGGCTTTTTCTGAAAATAAAGAGCTAGGTGCAATGCGACCCCGGAGTGCGTTGCTTCTTGTAGAGTTTGGGATGCCTGTTTTTTGTGTGTCGTGGTGTGACTCAATTCTTTCACTCCTGTACTCCCAGCACTCTGAGAGGCTGAGGCAGCAGGATGGCTTGAGCTCAGGAGTTTGAGACAAGCCTGGACAACTTAGCAAGACCTTGTCTTTACTAAAAATAAAAAAATTAGCCAGGTGTGGTAGTGCATGCCTGTAGCTCCAGTGACTTGGAAGGGTGAGCTGGGAGGATCATTTCAGCTGGAGAGTTTGAGGCTGCAGTGAGCTGTGATCATGCCACCACACTCTAGCCTGGGTGACAGAGTGAGATTCTACCTCAAAAATAAATAAACAAATAAAAACAAATACATGAAGATTAGCCTAGTGCCTGGCACTGAACAAGCACTCCGTGCTCATCTGTGTTGTCCTCATCACCTGATCCTGTCTCCTCATTCTACATCCCAAAGAGGCGGGATGAGCTGTCAAGATCCCATAACTATGAGTGGTAGATCCTGGGCTAAGAGCGATGATCTTCTCTGCAACAGTTCTCAAAGTTCTTGGCCTTAGGACCTTTTCTCCTCTTAAAAAGGATCAATAGACTGGGTATGGTGGCTCACGCCTATAATCCCAGCACTTTGGGAGGCCAAGGCAGGAGGATCACTTGAGGCCAGGCGTTTGAAACCAGCCTTAGCGAGACTCTGTCTCAATAATAATAATAATAAAATAAAATAAATTAAAAATTAGCTAGGTATGGCAGCTTACGCCTGTAGTCCCAACCACTTGGGAGGCTGAGGTGGGAAATTGAGCCCAGTAATTTGAGGCTGTGGTGAGCCATGTTTGTGTCACTGCACTCTAGTCTGGGTGACAGAATGACAATCTTTCTCAAAAAAACAAACAAAAAAGGATCAATGAGTTTATATATATATATATGGGTTATATTTATTGATATGTATCATATTAGAAATTAAAGCAAAATATTTAGAATACTGCCGGGTTCATTTAAAAAATAGTAATAAGCCCATACATGTTACCACAAATGTGATTTGTAATGAAAATAACTATTTTCAAAACAAAAAATAGCCAAATGGCATTGTTTTACATTTTTGCAAATCTCTTTGATGCCTGGTTATTTAATAGATGGCAGCTGGATTCCCCCAGCTGTTTCTGCATTCTGTCTGTTGCGGTGTGCTGTTTTGGTTGAAGTATATAAAGATAATCCCCCTTTGTCACACCAGACAAGATTCTTGGCCATTGGACAGCTAAGAAAACTGTGGAATGGGGAAGTTGGGATCATAGTGCCCGTATCACAGGCTTGTCTGGGATTGAATGAGAGAATGTGAAAGAAGAGAGAAAAAAGTCTTAGAAGAATACCTGGCAAAAATTAGGCCCCCGTGCATGTTAGCTAATGTTAAAGTGGTCATGGGGACAGACCTGAAAAGACAGCTGAGGTGGGACTGCAGGGAGAGAGGACAGAAATAACTGTAGGTAGGTGCTGCTATGGCAGAGGACTTTGAAACTGGCAATCTCAACCCAAAGAAGGGAATTGTGGAGCACCCGGAGGCAAGAATTCCTGATTCCATCTACAGCACAGTAGGCTCCTCCACTTTAATACTCCTCAGCTTCATGGTTCTCAGAGTCATAAATTCAGAGCAACTAAAATTGTTCCTCCACAGCAGATTGTACCAAAGCTCCAATGAGATAAATCCACTTCTATTCAGCAGTGATAAGTAGAGTACAATTGGTAATTCTTATAATGTGGGGATTGAATTATAAAAAGGCAAAAGAAAAACTAAAACTATGTACTGTTTGGATTAAGCTTAAATCCACTGCAAGCAATTGCAAAAGCCCAAGTTGGGTGTGAAAACGGTCTCTAAATACTTCTTGCAAAACCCTTGTATAATTAACTTCCTTCATTAGCTTTCCCCACCCCTTCTAAAGAAAGGTGATTTTATTTCCTCCTAAATCTGGTCACACGTTGCCACTTTGAATTACCATCTCCAGTTTGGCAGAGTGCCAGGGGAAGTCCTAGAGCAGGTCAGTTGGTCCAGTCCCCTGCCTCTAAGTGAGTGAGTGGCTACTTGGAAGAGAGTCAACAGGACTGGGTTTTAAAGATTCTCCAGACTCCTCAGTCTCTCTGGGATTAGAACAGACAGAAATGCTTTATCTCAGGGCAAAACCATTTACCTTTAAAATTTATATCTATTTTCTCCCATGAATTTATCTAAGGATATGAAGATCCAGATAGTGGGAAGGATGGATGAGAGCATCCTGCTGGAATCCATGTTTCTTGGGCCTGCTGGAAAGACTTCTCAGCAGACAGGCCTGTAGAGATCCTTAACTGGGGATGAAGAGGAACGCTGCATCCTAGTAAAGAAAGGACCCTTCATTGGCAGAGTTCCTGTGCTTTTCCTCTCCTTTCTCACTCTCCTTG
Organism: Homo sapiens; assembly: GCF_000001405.40. Taxonomy (NCBI): domain Eukaryota; kingdom Metazoa; phylum Chordata; class Mammalia; order Primates; family Hominidae; genus Homo; species Homo sapiens. The sequence continues at coordinate 149,020,381 of NC_000002.12, forward strand.
AGGTGACTAAACTAAGCAGGTGGGGCCTCCTTTGTGGCCCCGTGTTTCTTCCAAACTATGAGCCAAAACCTGCTGAATCTTGCCCAGCGGGGATCGGGGGCTTTGACTGAGAGGCCTTCCAGGGGGAAATTGTGTCACTTTATGGTCTGCTGGAGTTATTGAGGCCGCCCCATTGCATTTGTGTCTAGTGCTTGCTGTGTCAACACGGTTTGGCTGCAAACATTGCGTCAGGCCATAATCCCACAATCCAAGGTATGTGCTGGCACCTCTCTGCCTCCAGGCACGCAGAACGGCCATCTCATCCGACCAAGGGGATCTTATCTGACCAGGGGGATAGCGTGCGTGGAGAAATGAACCTGTGAGAAAGTGAAATGGCAGTTTCAGTGGTGGCATTCAGGCAGGCACTCCTATTGGTTTTCAGCTCAGAATGCATTTTAAATAACAACTATGACCATGCTTTTAGGTTTTTCACTTCTAATTCTGGCAATAAGCCCAAAATTTCACCAGAAAGGCCATGTTCTTCCCAAAGACATCTTACTCTCTGTGACTTCTAAAAATGACAGAAATATCACCCTCTAGGGTTGTTTAAGCCCTTCTTAGTTGTGTAGCTTTGCCACTGTGGGTGATTATACCAAATGAGTTCTGTGAATATTTTTTCTTGTCAGTGAAGAGGTGGTTTTGTTTTTGTTTTTGTTTTTTTGAGACTGAGTCTCACTCTGTCACCCAGGCTGGAGTGCAGCAGCATGATCTCGGCTCACTGCAACCTCTGCTTCCCAGGTTCAAGCGATTCTCCTGTTTCAGCCTCCCAAGTAGCTGGGACTACACATACAAGCCACCATGCCGGGCTAATTTTTGTATTTTTAGTAGAGATGGGGTTTCACCATGTTGGCTGGGCTGGTTTCAAACTCCTGACCTCGAGTGATCCACCCGCGTTGGCCTCCCAAACCAAAGTGCTGGGATTATAGGCATCAGCCACTGCACTTGGCCAAGAGGTGGTATTTTTAAAAAGAATGTGTTGTTCTGTTTTTTTTTTTCTATTCAGTTTCTGTTCCGTATTTCTTCTCCCTTTTTCACCCACTTTGCTTGTATCTGCTTTAATAACCCCTTTCTAGACTGAGAATTTTTCTATTTATATGTAACTTACATCCTGCTGATTTATGCAAAATATGTGAGGTTGCTTACAATATTATAACATATAAATCAGAAGAGTGAAGAAAAAAAAGAGCATGGTAGCGGGAATCTGAGATATTACCACAGTTGAGCACCAAATGTTGATATAAGCCTTCTAGAGGCAAAACAGAAAGCATAATGCATAATGTGTCAGGTTACAGAGGGCTTTTTTTTTTTTTTTTTTTAATCAAAAGAGAAGTTGGGCTTTTCTTAGTGGCTGTTGTATTTCCAGTACCAGGTAATTCCATGTATTTCTTAAGGATAAGGCTCTACCTCCCTCTTGTCATCCCTGTCCCCATCCCCTAGAGTACCATGAGCTCTGCACAAAACCTATAGTAAGATCTCAGAGCTAGGGCCTCCAGCCGGTGACAGGAAACAGAGCCTTTCAGTGTCTTCTGAAAGTTGAGCTTACTGATGTTGGGTGCAGGCTGACAGAGGCCATTCAGGCTGGTCTAGACGTTCATCCTGGAGATGCGCCCAGCACCAGCCGAACTTCTGGTGGGAAGTGGAATGAAATGGACAGGGGTGGTCTTTTGGAGAATCTTATTATCCGATGGAGACGAAGCATACCTTTGGGAACTGGGAACCTCTTTCTACAGAGAGTCTGGGTTAGGGGCCTTGTTGCACCTGCTTGCTATCCTAAGTGCAGGCAAATGAGAAATGTTTTAATTTCCCCCTAGGAATGAGAAAATGCATTATGTTACTCTGAATATCCATAGCCTCAACAGATACCGACTTATGGAAGAGAATGTTGAGACTGTCAGGACTAAATACTTAAAGCAAAATCAGGAAATCGGAGGTTGTGCTGTTCATGTGCCACTATCCACATGTGTCTTTTGAGCTCTCAAAATGTGGCTAAGTCCAAATTGAGATGGGCTGAAAGTGTAAAATATACACCAGATTGCAAACACTATTGTGTGAAAAAAAAAATCTCAGTAGTAATATTGTAATGTAAACGATCTCAACATGTAATACCAGTTACATGTTGAAATACTATTTAGGCTATATAAAATATATTACAATTAATCTTACCTATTTCTTTTCACTTTTTAATGTAGCCACTAGAGAATTTAAAATTAAATATGTGGCTTGGCCGGGCACGGTGGCTTATACCTGTAATCCCAGCACTTTGGGAGGCCGAGGTGGGTGGATCACCTGAGGTCAGGAATTTGAGACCAGCCTGGACAACATGGTGAAACACCGTCTCTACTAAAAATACAAAAATTAGCCGGGTGTGGTGGCAAACCCTTGTAATCCCAGCTACTTGGGAGGCTAAGGCAGAAGAATCACTTGAACCCGAGAGGCAGAGGTTGCAGTGAGTCGATATCGCGCCACTGCACCCCAGCCTGGGTGACAAGAGTGAAACTCCATCTCAAAAACAAACAAACAAAAAATATGTGGCTTGTGTTATATTTGTATCTGACAGCTCTGGTCTAAACATCTAGAATTAAACAAAACTTTTTTGAGGAGTAAATTTCTACTGTGTTTTCTAATTCCTATGTTCTCTCTTTGGTTCTCTTTCAACAGATATGACTCCACGTAGCATGTCAAGGACTACATTAATCACCAATTCCTTTATTTTTCCCCCCCTACAGTTTCCATTTTTTTTTTATACTTGCTTACTCCAGCCATCTGCAGTACACCAGTTTCAGGTCTTTTGAGCTGTGTAGAGTTTCTGTGTGTACAGATGTGTGCTCGGACTTTTCTCTTTTTGAGAAATCTGAAGGAGATGGTTGCAGAAGATCCACTTACTACTGAGAACCATTACCACCGACTCGGCCTCCGGGGTGTTGGGTGGTTTCTGGGTGGTTCCTGGAGCCTCCTCTGGGCAGTGCACTGTCCCATCTGTACGCCCTAATGTGCCATTCCCTAGAGGGGAACAACCAAGTGCCGTGGAGGCAGATGATCATGGTCTGCCTCAACTGTCTGGTTTCCTGTAAAATAAACACATTGTTTTATATTTTTAGGGAACAAAAAGTGCTGCTATAGGGTTCAAAGTTTTCCTTCTGAACACTTTTCCGAAACAAATTACCCCAAAGACACATTTTGAATATCCTGGTCACATCTTTGGATCTGTAAAATATACCTTTTAGTATGGCACCTGTTAAAATGCAAAGCAAATTTCTTTGGGGCAGAAAAACAATCTGACAGTAGCAGTGTAGAATTTGTTCATTCAAATACATCTGTGTAAATGCAAAAAGTCATAAAATTCACCTCCGAGCTGCTTGCTTTTGAACCTGCAGCAACTAGTCTTAGCCGGCCCGGTTTGAACATCGTTCTTTCAGAAGTGCTGAAAATGCTGCAAAGTTGGATAAGTGGAAATGTGGCTGCCCCTCTCCTCACTACTTCCTCTCTGATCGTTCTGAAGCTTGCATTGGGAATGGCTGCTTTCTCTAACCATTTTCAGCTTGAGTGGGTATTGCTGAAGAAATCCAACATCATTCCAGCAGTTGAAAAAGGAAGCCTTCGGGAGAAAGTGCTTGTCAAAATTTTGTTCTTTGTGCTTGTGTATGAGTAAGTTGCCATGAATAAGTTATTATTTTAACCCATAATTGGCGACTGTTTATATGAATTCTTTCTTTGGCACCAAATAGGTTTCATCTTCTTAGGCACAATTAGAAAAAATCCACATAGATGGATATTTTACATTTAGTTATTGCTTTATCCAAATACATGAATCTAAAGCTGAATCAACCCTTACTTCCAGTTGTGCTTATTAAGAAGATCAATTTCCAAGTAGTAAAGTTTTCAGGGAAACTGACTGTGCTGCTATTTGTTTTGACAAATTTGGGGGTAAGTCAATGACAACCAAACCAATCTCGGTGGAAACTCCTATCCTATCATGTTGTGTGCCCAAGATGAGTGAGCTGGCACTGTGCCCTGAAGCTTTCACCACTGTAATGAAATATATGCCAGGGGAGACTTTGGGCTTTTCTCATGACTGTGTGGGTCGAAGGTAGCTCAAGTGTGTGTGTGTGTGTGTGTGTGTGTGTGTGTGTGTGTGTGTGTGTATGTGTGTAAAGTGCTAAGAACTGTGCATTGACATCCAAACATTTCTTGTACAAAATTTCCCTAGCAAAGCAAACCTGCTTTGACTTAATTTATTTGTTAAATGTTGCACTTTGTTTATGTATGTTTTGTTTTTGGTGGGGAATAAGGAGAGAGAGGACGACAAATTCTATTGAAGTATTTATTTTGTGAAGATGGCAATTTTGCATTTGTTTAAATTTTTTTCATTCTTTAATTTTGTTATCAGTGCCAGCCCAATATACCTGCTCTACCATTATTTGCGGTCTGATAAAAGGGTCCTTGTGGGGCAGGTTTTGCAAAGCTTATCAGGTAATAACATATGCCACATAACCTTGTTGATATGTTTGCTTCTGATTTGGGAAGCTAAACATTGGTGTTTGAGAGGATTGCCAATTATTAATTGTCATTACCACTACTCTCCATTACTTTTTGTTTGGAAATTGAACAAAGGTCAGTAATGGTTTTTGGCTCTTGTTAATATCCATCATAAAATAGATTGTTTTAGATTCTTTCCAGGGTGATTTTTCCCTGGGTACCCCGTTTCTACTTCTAAAGAATTGCTTGGCACTTTCATGTTTCAAAGGGAAACATTCGCTTGTAGTTCCATTTTACTTGATCTCTACAAGGGACTGACAACATTTGCTTTACTTTTATTCACAGAGAAAGTTGGCTTTGATGTCTCTTAAAGATAATTCTGCTAGTTGCTGATCAGCCAGTCAGTTCACCTAGCTTCAATCTTTATAGGACTTCTAATCTAATTTTCCTATAGTGTGACTAAAAGGGAGGCAAATTATTGGAACGGATTATTCAAATGGATCCTTAAATATTGCTATGTATAATAAGCCAGTTATTATATCAGGACCATGTTCTCTGTAGGCCACTTTCTAAAAAAGCCACATATGTGCAATTTTCAGGTTTTTAGACTATTGCTCCCTGTACTTTAAATGTAAAAACCACACTTCTGAACAACTAAGCTCATGAATATGATTTTGGTTATATGCAGCTTTTGACTAGCATGTATTGTGTCTTTTTCTCCTCTATGAATAATTTTATATTTCATGCTACTTCTTGAAAGTTTACTCTTTGATGCTCTAAGAGAACAGCCAGATGGTTTATATGAATAATCTTTATCTGCAGGATGGTGGATTGGTAAATTAGGAGAATGTTGTTTGAGATATCAAGATTTATGTCTGGGAACTAAAATATATAATGCCAAATGTGTTTTTGTCAATTACTAGAGAATTCTGTGCAAACATATCATCTCTTCAAATGCTGCACACTTTGCTTTTGTTAAACAGCAGGTAGTAGACAGAACAATAACAGTTTCGCGTTAAGACTTTTAAAGGAAATAGAATCGTGATTAAGAAATCAGAATTTATAGATATATTGGGATAAATGAAGAAATAAAAATGTTTGTCTAGAATGTAGCATCTAGTGACTTTTTAAAGCCCTAACGTTTACATAAAGAAGCTCTAGTTCTTATAGAAATAACAAAGCAAATAAAAGTTCTTAACAATCCCCTCTTTCGAAGTGCATTTTTTTAAAGCAGGGCAGGAGACATTTGGACTCTAGCTATATGACATACTGGGAAAGGCAGAGGGTGGAGGGAAGATTTCACTTCATTGTCTAGCCCAGAATCTTGAGCAAGCTAAAGAAACCATCATAATCTAAAATTGCTTCATTTAACACTAACAATTTAGACTTTTTAAACCAAGCATTGAATAATGGCTGGATAACTGCCGAAGTAAGCGCCGCTCCATGAAGTCTGCTTACTTATTTAAAAATTGTGTATCAGTTTTAAATACTGTTCATTGTGTGCAGATATAAGGGGAATAGGGCATTCTGTAGAATTATACATGTCTAGTTTGTAAAGTGTGTCCTGTGTACTGCAGATGTGTGTTCTCTGGGCTTTATGTATCTGTACAGTAGCTTTCACATTAAAAAAATTGTGGACAAACTTGTCCGGGGGGTTTGAGGGGAGAATGGTGGTTTATATCAATAACGATGCTGTACTATAGTCCATGTAACAAAAGATCTGGAAGTCACCCTCCTCTGGCCCACGGAAAATTTTGGTAATCTTCTAGGTTCTAAAATGAAGATGTATGGGTACTCTGGCAGACTGCATGTTGTATAATTTGAAAAATACTAAAAGTGGAAAATAAAATTGAATTAAACTTTGGCTGGTCTGTTTCTCCTTATTTGAGCCACCCTGAAGGTATGGTCATTGGAGATGTCAGTGCCTGTGTGAGGATGAGCCATTTTCTGGCCTCAAAAGAGTTCACTTCAAGTGAGCAGGTGCCCCAATACACAGCATAAGCAAAGTCAACCTTGACCATTTTTGCTTTTACTTTGCTTAAATATCTGCTCTAATTTTTTTTTCATTTCAGAACTAAGAAAACTTGACATTTGTCACTTCAATTCTGAAAAGATAGCAGCTGTTGTAAAAAAAAAAGTGTCTTATTAGCTTTTTTAAAAAGTAGGATTGACTGAAAGCTCAATAGAGCAGTGTATTCACTGAATATCTGAATTTCTTCTTGCCTGAGAACGGCATTAATTCTCCACCAAATGAATTGGAGCCCTGTTTGCATATGTTGAAAGATTATCAGCATCTTTTGAGGATTGGGGTGTTTATATTCCTGTTTAACCTACTGATTCATAGCGTTAATGTACAGGTCTGAGATCTCGTGAGAGGACACCGGAGCATGAATCCTTTGGGGGCTAACCAGTGCCAGGACACAGGATAATTTTTTTTTCTGCTCTCATAACAAGGAGACTTCCCTACCTTAGGACACTAGAATCGTGTGACCATGCATGACATTGTGTATGTAAAGCATCCTCATTCTTGTGCTTGGTTTGATTAATGGTGCATGAGAGCCAGACAGTAAACCTCTTTCCCTTAATTGATTAAAAATGTAAAGGATAGATGTCAAGTGAATGTGTAATTAAGGGCACTGCAAATGGTGTGCTTTTATGCTGTCTTATCCATCTTTTTCGAAATTGTTATTCTCCCAAGAACTCTGAAGAAGTTTCCAGATATCAGATTGTTAAAAGTGACTTATGTAGTAAACTTCAAACGTGGTGGTTGAATATTCAGCTGATGCCTGTGTGTTTTAGATGGGAAAGCAGTTGTCTGAAAGAACCAGATTACAAAGCAAATTTCAATATCAATGGGAAATGACCCCCACAGATCCCAGAACACAGCAGCTCTGCGATGCAGTCAGACTGCGTTGATGCCAGTGTTCTCTTGGTTCCTGCAAGACTTTCTTGAGGTTTCTTGTTTCCGCAAGCTCTGAACTGGGCTCTGGCTTTGCCTCAGAAGCACAGAGCTGGAGCATCTGTGGGAGAAAGTGGAAATGGAGCAATAATCTGCAAAGGCAATTACTGGTGATGTGTGTATTGGCAGGTTTCATTCTAGCATTTGTGACAGGTCGTGTCTTGTTATTTGTCTTGTGTACATAATACACTGAACAGAGGTAGGAGTCACCTCTTGGATGACACATTAGTTGAAAATGTGGGCTAACTTGACAAAAGGCATCCTGAGCCATGGAATTTTCACTTTCCTTTTGGCGTTTGGTGGTTCTTCGTCCAATTTGCAAAGAAAACACAAATCTCTCTGTGGGGTTAGTTGGGTTCAAAATAATTTTTAAAAATCCCATACCAACCACTGTTGGTGGTCTTTCTGCCTCCATTACCCTGGATGGCAAAGGCTGGGATTCTCCATCTGCTTTGCTTCAACAGCAGTTTGTTCTGGACTTCCAGGAGGCCCTCTTTGCCGTCGAGCACCTTTTAACCCTTCACCCTTCCCCATGCCCAGATCACAAATGATTCTCATAGTATAGCTGTTCAAGATTTATCTACAACAATATTTTATTCCTTCAGAATGTAATTAGAGAAATTGACAAACTTGTTCTGGATGAAACGAAACAGCATCAGAATCTCGTAATGCTCAGAAAGCTGCAATAAGCAGTCAGCTATTTCCAGGGCACTATTCTGGCTGTGTGCCAGACACTGTTTTAAATGCTTTACATGTATTAATCCATCTAATCTTCCTAATAACCCCGTGAGGAATGCACCATTATCTCTCCTTTACAGGTAAGGAAACAGGCGCAGAGAGGTTAAGTAGCTTGCCCAAGGTCTCACAGCCGGCAAGAGGAGGCGCCAGGATTGAAACCCACACAGTCTGGTTCTAAGGTTCATGCTCTCAACAGGTAGTAATACTGCCTCTCTGAATAGTGATTGGGATATACATATATATGTGTGTGTGTACCTCTCTCACTCACTCTCTCTCTATAGTGGTAAGCAGCAGCCAACCTCAAAAACCCTTTTGTAAAGAATTTATACAAAGCTTTATGCCTTTGCAACTTCTCTGTGCTCTCCTTTCATTGGAATCTGAGACCTCGTTGTTATTTGAATTACTTTAAGCAATCAAATGCATCTAGGAAAGAAATAATAGTGAAGGAGGATGCCTCACAGCAAAGGTGCCTGATGACACTGAACTCTACAGGAAGGCTGCGTTTCAGTAGTGCCCTTGTCAGAATCTTTTTAATACATAGCATACTTAGAAGTGTAGCCATTACTCTGTCAGTTTTCAAATTATGTGTCATAAGAATTTAACTTATCCTCCATGTGGATTTTTTTTTCTTTAAGATGCTAATTCTCTCTGTCTGCATTAAAACATGTATAACCTATATTCTTCTGCTTCTTCAGTAAAAAGCTCTCAGTACTCTCTTGCCCCACCTGAAATGGCTCTCAGGGAAGGGCTGAGGGGCACTGGATGAGTTTCCTCTCATTCTGAGGGATGGGTGAGGCCTCAGACGAGGCTGTCCCCTACCTCACCTCTGGCCCCATCATGATTAATGGGATCTCGTTTTAGAGCTTTAGGTTTTAGAAAAAAGAAACATGCCAGTCATACCACACATGCATGTGCAAGTCCAACCACAGAAGGCTGAAAACAGTGGGGTTCCCTTACGAGCTCCTCCCTTTACCTGTGCCTCTCCTGTCTGAGGGTGTTCTGATGGGCTACCGGGGAGCAAGGCTGGTGGCAGATGTGTCTAGGTGACACGATGCTGACTCCATCAGCCAGCGTCCACCTGGCTGCCTGCCTGCAGACCGCAACCTCCAGCCCAGTGTCCTTGCTGCCCTGCAGCACCTTTCTGGGACCTACATGCAACAGCAAAATACCTCTGGAGTACTGGCTGGCAGGCAGTGGTACTACTGAGTAATTCCACATGGAAAGAATGATGCATGCGGGACCTGGATCCGACTCTCAACTTCCCATCCACCGGCTGGCTGGGGGATTGTGTTCCAGTGGTTTAACTATGCAGAGTCTCAGTGAGCTCATCTCCATACCTGAATTTAGCCCACGATGCTCCATTCTTCACAGTGCCTTTCAGGGATCAGATAAGAAACTGTAGGAAGACATTTTATAACAGTGCTACTCAAATATAAGGGATTGTTATTGTCAAAAACTTCCTAGGAGAATGTATGTTCATCTTGGACCCCAGCTATTGCCTTCTACCTAGCATCACCAATACTCAGAGTAGAAGAGGAAAGAATATGCGGAGACATTGGGAATTGTCTGATTCTACCCAGTGACATCAAATCTCTTTGTAGCTGTCCATGTAGGGTTCTTTCTTTTCCCACTCTCTTGGTCAGTTGGGGCTGCTATAACAAAGTGCCATAGACTGGGAGGCTTATAAACAACACACATCTAGTTTTCACAGTTTTGGAGGCTGGAAGTCCAAGTTCAGGGTGCCAGCCAGCGTGGTCAAATTCTGGTGAAGACTTCTTCCTGGTTGTGGACTCCTGACTTCTTGCTGTGTCCACACATGGTGGAAGGGAGGGGGAAGCTCTCTGGGGTCCCTTTTATAAGGGCACTGGACTTATTCATGACTAATGACTAATAAACTCATCGTGATGACCTAATCACCCCAAAAAGCTCTACCTGCTAATATCATCACATTGGATTAGGATTCCAGCATATTAATTTTGGGGAGACACAAACATCCATTTCATTGTACCCACTTCTCCACCCTCTTTCCTCTTGGGGGAAAACCCACTCTTAGGCTATTTCATGAGTAAGAGAATGTGACATACCCTCTGAAGTATGGTGCAGGGAATAGGGTTTCAGGCTAGTTTCCACACTCTATGCGTTGTGGCTTTTCACACCAGAGGGCTCAGGTAAGTGCCCTTCACTCAGTGTCCTGGTGCTGGATCATGAATCAAGTCCATTCAGTTTCCCATACGTGGAGGCAGAAGCCCGGTAATCAAGGTTAATGCTGAGAGACGAAATCCTGGCAGAATATTTGTAGGAGCTTAACAAGTTCCCCAAAGGGAGATTAGAGATGCTCAAGGAGTCACTTAGCCGAACCAGCACACAAAAGCACATTCGGCTTCTGCCAGCATCTGGAAACAAGGTGTCTGCTTCCCTTCCATAACCCAGGTATTGGAAAGTTCGTGTCCCAGCACACACAGCAGAGGCAGGAACCCACTGTTCAGTGCAAGCTGACTCTGTCCACATGTGGGCCTGCTGCTCCTAAATACCAGATGACTATGATCAGGGCCTCTGCTTTAAAAAGTTTTGTCTCCAGACTGTCATAAACCCATGAGAACATCAAAATCCAAAGAGTTGAAGTCACATGTTCAAGACTACTTTGTTCGTTTTGACTGCAGAGCTCAGGTTCCGTCTCTTACAGTCCTCTGCTTGTCCATCTCAGTGGTACGGATTGGAAGCTGCTGTAGAACCCCGCTCCCAATCTTCCCTGTGAGTTGTTGTCAACAAATAGTGCTTTGCAAATAGCTTTCCCTTTCATATATTGAACAAATAAATTGGAGAGTTCTTAAAGAAATAAAGAGTACATCACCAGGACTTAGAAGAGAAGACTATGAGGGACATTGGGAATCATCTAGTTCCACCCAGTGAAGTCAAATGACTCACCTTGCACCATGCACACCATCAGGAGAGAGCCCAAGCCCGGCGCGCCACCCGCTTCCTCAGGGCTCACTCTGCTGCATCAACCCTCAGCAGGCAAAGACCAAAGCTAGTCACAAGAATGGCACTGGCAATGCACCTTCCTGACTCCATTAGCCCAAATATTGACATTAGTTGTGTGGAAATGTTTTGCCACAGTCATCTGTTGAGTGAGTACTGTGTGGCAGGAGCCCTGTGATCAAGAGTGAACTTCAGCAGTGTAGACTGGAGTTCCAGTGGTTCCAACTCTTTCCTTATCCACTAAGTGCCTCAAACAAGTAACCTAACCTCTCTTAGTGTCGTGCCTGGCTCACAGTGCATTCTGGAATAGCTAGTCCTTCACATGCATTCTGGAATCTCTTACAAGGAATGAGTGAGGGTGGCACTGTTATTCACCCCAAATACAGATGAAAAAACTGAGGTGTGGAGATGTTAAATGAGTTGCCCAACATCACAAAGCAAGGTAGTGGTGGAGCTGGCTCCAGAGTCCACATTCTTAACCAAGAGGCTGAGCTCTCCTGGGGTCACATGGCTGCTGAGGAGTGCAGAGGGACTGGGTTCACATCCTGCCTCACTTCCTGAGCTGAGTTTCCTCCCAGATCTAAGCTGCTTCGTATGGAAGCAGCTGAAATTTTCATGTGATGAACTGAAAAAGCCTTCTGTAAAAACGTTAGTGTTCATTCATTATTTCAATAAATATTTGAGCACCTATCTTATACCAAAGATTGTTTTCAGAGCTGGAGAGAGATGTGAATAAGACAAGACAGAGTCTTCATTTCCTTAGAGGCAAATTATAAACAAATGAACAACACTTTCTAAAATGACTTCGTATATTCAAGTGCTGTGAAAAGAATAAACCAGGGTGCTGTGATGGCAAGTAACTCCAGTCTAGTTTTGACTGGGTGGTCAGGGAAGGCCTTAGTGAGTGAGGGAGCCAGCCATGCAGAGACTGGGAGACAGTTGCAAACAGATGAACAGCAACTGCAAAGTTCCTCAGGAAGGATTGTGCTTGGTGTGTTAGTGGTAATAGAACTCTGATTTTACACAGATAACATTCTCCACACTGGCATTTCTTTCCCTCATTTACCTATCAAAAGGACAATGAGGGCCAGGTGCGGTGGCTCACGCCTATAATGACAGCACTTTGGGAGGCCAAGGTGGTAGGATCACTTGAAGTCAGGAGTTCGAGACCAGCCTGGCCAACGTGGTGAAACTTCGTCTCTACTGAAAATACAAAAAAAAATTAGTTGGATGTGGTGGCACATGCCTGTAATCCCAGCTACTCGGGAGATTGAGGCAGGAGAATCGCTTGAACCCTGGAGGCGGAGTTTGCAGTGAGCTGAGATCGCGCTGTAGCATTCCAGCCTGGGCACCAGAGTGAGACTCTTTCTCAAAAAAAAAAAAAAAAAAAAAAAGACAATGAGTATGTTTGTGTTGCTTTCAGAAGTAAGAAGCAAATTGGAATAATCAACTTCTTCTTTCCTGGAAATACAATGCCAAAGGCATTTGCGCATTTTTGTGGCCAGCAATGTTGTGAGCAGACCCACACATCTGTAGCCCGCGCTTCAGTGCCTGCTCTGAAACCCAGGTAAAAGAGGACAATTTCATCCTGGCTGATGTGTTTTAAACAGCCAAGCAAATTCACGTGGATCCACAGGCCCCAAGAGTATAAAAAATAATAGAGGGGTAAATATGGAAAAGCTGATTTGCTGCCCAAACTCAGGGTCAAGCACAGGTCTGAGCAGGCCACCTGTATCTTTTTAGAATTGTCTTCTCAGTGAAATGGAGCTGCTGCTACCTGCCACCTTGGAAAAACTGCTTGCTGGCCTCGTACGTGAGGGGTATGCCCAACTCACTTTGGGGAGGTTATTTCAACTTTTTACTACATCAGGACTCTGCGACCGGTGAACATCAAAAACCCAAAGAAACACGCACATCCTTGCCTGCCCTTGGTAAGCCTGGAGAGAATTTCACTGGTCAATAACAGATGATTCTGAATTTTGCCTGATTATTCTGGAGCTGACATTTTTGGGTGTCACATTTAACATGGACATTTTTGAAGCATAACTTTGATAACCACTCTTGCTGAGGCAGCTGCCTGCCCTGTTCTTGCTTCAGATTCAGTTCCTGCTGAGATCTGCGTGGAAAGAAGTATTTCCCACTATGGGGCTCACACAACTAAATGGCACCACTGAAATTCCCTGTCAAGTCCCCTGGTTAGTGTCTAATTAGTGTGTGGCTTTAGGAAGTGGGACAACACATTTACATTTTTGCAGGCTGTTACCTGAACGTGATCGCTGAATAGCGTCAGCTGTTCAAATAGTAATGCTGCATACAATGAGAAATGTGAGAGGGTGTGTGTGTGTATGTGTGTGTGTGTGTGTGTAGGAGGACACACCCCCGCCCGCTGGCTGGAGTGAGGTATCTGCAATCCTGTGTCAACAGGGGTCTAGGCTTCCTTAAGATTTAAGCAGCTAACACAGAGGTGGCTGCACTGTTTTTTTTTTTTTGTGGGGGTCGGGTCGGGGGTGGGAATGGAGTCTCGCTCTGTTGCCCAGGCTGGAGTGCAGTGGTGCGATCTCAACTCACTGCAACCTCTGCCTCCCGGGTTCAAGCGCTTCTCCTCCCTCAGTCTCCTGAGTAGCTGGGATTATGGGCACCCGCCACCATGCCCTGCTAATTTTTGTATTTTTAGTAGAGAAGGGTTTTTGCCATGTTGCCTAGGCTGGTCTCAAACCCCTGACCTCAAGTGATCTGCCCGTCTTGGCCTCCCAAAGTGCTGGGGTTACAGGTGTGAGCCACTGTGCCTGGCCAGCTGCACTTCTTACTCTCCTCCTAAGAGAAGCCCGATTTTGTTTTCAGAGTGCTCCTTGTGTGAACTGGGGTTGTGGGAAGGAGTGACATTTCCCTTCCTTTGTTCAGACGGGGTGAAGACTTAACTTACAGGTAAGGGAGGCCCTTGACTGACGTGGGGTGGGAACTGTTTCGAGCTGTCCTTATCTCTGGGCCTGTTTCCTGACCTGTGAGATGGGCCTGTTTCCTGACCCGTGAAATGAGAAGGTTGGGTGGGATCAGTTTCCCAGGCTTGCCTGTGGTGAGTAGCCCCCGGAGTGCTCATTCAAAAGCCACTCTGCTCTCCCGAATGAGAATGTTTAGGAGTGAACTCTGTCATGAGCAGGCATCCAAGTGATCCTCCCCTTCAAGGATGTTTGGGAATGGTGGTCTGCACAGTCTCTAACAGATCTTCCAACTCCAAAACTCCTGTCCCGGCTATGTCTGGAAGGCAGTGACTCCTAACTATTCCTGAGACCCAAATGGCTTTGCAAGTCTTACAACAGCTGTGGATGTTCTGTTTAGTAAAAACGTATACAGACACAGAACTTCAAATTCAGTTGCAGGGTCTGTGGCTTTTGATTAAGAATTCCTACTTTAAGGTTAACCCTTGAAAGAGAATGTAAGCATTCACTTGAGCCAGGCATGAAGCAGCTGCTCACTAAAGGTCAGTTATTATGCTATTTCTGTGTCTCAGCTTTTCTATGAAATTCTCATATTGTTGTCTCATTGTATAGGTGAGGACACTGAGGCATAGAGAGATTAACATGCATTGTAAGTTGTGGCTGAATTTGAACTCAAACAGTCTGATTCCAGAGCCAGTGTGAACTTAAAATCTGGGCTGCCTGATAAAGTGGTTATCAGTTTTGCCTACTTGAATTCATGGCACTTTCTGCTCCTAATATTTCTGGCCACTTCCCTATACCTCCTTATATTAGTCATAATTAAGTAAGCAGCTACTATGGTATGAGGCCACCACTTCTCCTGTTGTCCTTCCCAGTTTCTCCCCAACCTCCCCTTTTCCCTAGTTTATAAGACAGGAGAAAAGGGAGAAAGCAAAAAGTTGGAAAGAAACAGAAGTAAGATAAATAGCTAGACGACCTTGGCACCACCACCTGGCCCTGGTGGTTAAAATAATAATAATATTAACCCCTGACCAAAACTACTGGTGTTATCTGTAAATTCCAGATGTTGTATGAGAAAGCACTGTAAAACTTTTTGTTCTGTTAGCTGATGTATGTAGCCCCCAGTTACGTTCCTCACGCTTACTTGATCTATTATGACTTTTTCATGTAGACCCCTTAGAGTTGTAAGCCCTTAAAAGGGCCAGGAATTTCTTTTTCGGGGAGCTCGGCTCTTAAGACATGAGTCTGCCGATGCTCCTGGCCAAATAAAAAAAACTCTTCCTTCTTTAATCTGGTGTCTGAGGAGTTTTCTCTGCGACTCGTCCTGCTACACTACTATGTGCCAGGAATGCTACACACATTGTCTCATTGAAAAATGTCCTCAGAAAATGATATACAGTATTTTTTATTTTATTTTATTTTTTTTGAGATGGAGTTTCACTGTTGTGGTCCAGGCTGGAGTGCAATGGCAGGATCTCGGCTCACTGCAACCTCTGCCTCCTGGGTTCAAGCAATTCTCCTGCCTCAGCCTCCCAAGTAACTGGGATTACAGGTGCCCGTCACCACGCCCGGCTAGATATACATTATTAATATACATGTTGAGTCCTAAGTAAAGACAGGAAAAATTAGGAAGGTAAATATATCCTAAGGCTCAGAAGTTTTTTGGATTGTTGCTTCTTTGGATAATTTATATTTCATTATATTATCAGAGAACTAGAGATAGAGCAGAAACTGAAGATTTTCTAGTTCAAATATCATTCTCCTAGAGACCAGTAGAGAATAGCAATAAATAGTTATTTGTAAAGATTAATTAATTCATTCTAGAGTCTTATGAAGTCTATCAGTGGTTTTGTCCCTATTTCCAGCATTTTAATGTTGATCAGAAGTGGGCTGGCTCTCTTTGCACTGCTAGGCAGAGCTACTGTTCACTGAGCAGGTGCTTTGTGCTGGCGCTGTGCTCAAGCACTTTACGTGGATTATTTAACTTAGCCACACAACAGTATCAGAACTTCTTATTTCAGATACCCCTTTTAAGCAAAAAACTTCAAACAGAGATCTTGTCTGATTTCATGGCTGCACATTTTCCAAGTAGGAAAAACACACAATTGAGGAACATGCCCAAGGCTGCTCAGCAAGCACAGGAGAGAGAGTGGGGTGGGGAGGGAGAGATCACGTGCAAGCAAGCAAGCACTGGGGCAGAACCTGTACCCTCCTGATGATTCTCAGGCCTGTCTGGGTGGCATCACTTAGCAGGCTGGCCCAGCCAAGATCACACGCACAGCAGCAGGATTTTAAATCACAGGGGATCACATGCTCTACTGACTGAAACCAACACAAAAAAAGGTCTAGGTCCATTTCATGTGAGTGAGACCCAGAGGTGCTCCTTTGCTCAGCCCTACCTGCTGGTGCAAGTGGCTGTCCCAAAGTGCAGGCCCCACCACAGCTCCACCCTGGGACACCAGATTCCCTGCCACCATAGAGGGAGTAGCAACTGAGGTAGGGCACACCTAGGTGGGGCATCCCATATAACCTTTTCTAGGTTGGCCTTGCCCAGTGTGACGTAGCCAGCCAGGTAACACCAGATCTGAAATACCCATATGTGCAGAACCCACTGAAGGGGTGGGGTGTCTAGACCTTAAGAGTGTTGGGCTTGTTGTCAGTGGAGGGGTGGAGCAGTCTTCTTGGCCCTGACCTCACCTTAATAGAGATCCTCCCATTTTGGCCTTGGAGGTTTAATATATAGTCACGGAAGTGTACTGAAATAGTCATAAGAAGGAATGTTCTCCATACAACTTTAAAGTTGTACAGTGCTTTCTGCAGTGAAATGAATTTTTTCACGGAATGGATTTTTTTAACGAGTCTTGAAATTAACATGTGAGGAGCAGCATGACACATTACCTCGTGTGTGTGTGTGTGTGTGTGTGTGTGTGTGTGTGTGTGTGTGAGTGAAGGCCATTTGTTAAATGGAACACCTAAAAATACCATTGTTTTTGTTTTTGCGGTTGTCAGGGGCCTCAATAAATGCAAGCTGGCTCAGGAGATGCTTGACCTCAGAGGTCTGGAAAGACAGATTAGAAGTCTCAGCAGAGGACCAAACCCAGACCCCACTTCTGCAGAAGTTCTGTACCCAGGTTTCCCCACTGCAGGCATAACCAGCAGCCCCTCAAAGGCCCCAGACCAGCCAACTGTCTTTAGAAATGCAGACCCAGGATCAGCTTTGCTACCAGCCATGGAATCTTGGGTCAGTGGCCCATACTCTGAGCTGTGTTTCCACAGTGCAAGGCTGGCCGGACAGTGTTTTATTTCAGAGTTCTCCTGTCTGTGGCATCTTCAGAAGTTAAAGATTTGCTTGACCACTATAAGGTGCCCTGGGAGTGTAGACCTCCCACATCCCAGCTGCCTGGCTGGCAGTGGGTGGGGAGTAAGCAGTAGAGAGAGGACAGGTGGCCCGGAATCTAACAGCTTGCCTCTGGATTCTCCCTAGTAAGCTTGGAATGATGCTGGAGCAGCTCTGGGCCGAGGGGACCAGTCTAACGCTGGACGCAAAAGACTGGGCGCCACCTAGTCTGTTCATCAGGTATTAAATGCCCTGAGTTTTCAAAGCTCTGGTGATTCAGTAGTGGACGGGTAAGGTTCCTGCCTCTCCTGGGGCTTACCGTCCAGGGGTGGGGAGGACGTCACTATATGAAATTATCTTATTTATAGCTTAATGTCATTATTTAAAAAGGGGGAGGGAATCACTTGACGGGTGGGCAAGGTGGGGACGGGGTTGGATGGAATGGTCAAAAAAGGTCTTTCAGAGTTCTTCCAATCCTGAACTAACTCACCTGCACCCTTGGCCCAATCATTTTCACTCCCGAGGGTCTGCACTCCTCGTTTCTACATTGGTTTTCTAGGAAGAAAGGGGTTGGACCCTCCCCTCTTTAAGCTGGGTGGGGTCCGAATCCCGTGCTTCTTTCACTTCCTGAGCCGGGCTGGCTGGGTGGGAACAGGCTCCTTGCCGCCTCCCCAGCGCTGGCCACTACCACACTGCCGCCCGCCTGGGCCTCCTTTCAACCTCGTGGTGGAGCCCTGCGGTTTCCCAGCGGAGCCGGGCCCGGGGCTGCTCCCTCGCGGGCGAGGCTCACCTGTCCCGGCCCGGCCCCCTCCCGCGCCCCAGGTGGTTCAGGGCAGGGAGGAGCCGCGCCCCGCCCCGCGCGGTAGCAGCCAACGCCGGCCCCAGGCGGGTGCGCTGGGAGCCTGGGCCGGGAGCCGGGTGAGGGCGCCGAGAGGCTCGGTGGGCGCGGGCGGCGAGGTGAGCTGGGCCAGCGCAGCAGGCGGGGGCGGTGGTGGGTTCGGGACGGCTCACCCCGCGCCGGAGCGAGTGCGGGGCCGCGCGACTGCGGCGGGAGATGCGCTGCGCCCCTTCTGGGCGCGCTGGGGCAGCCAGGAGCTCGCGGGGCCGCGGGGCCGCGGGGCCGCGGGGCCGCGGCGCAGTGGCGGGGTCGGGGTCTGGTCGCTGCCTCGAGGCGAGCAGCTGCCAACATCTGGACGGGACGGGAGCAGGGGGCCGGGGCAAGGCTGGAGCGGTGTGGGTCTCTAATCGTCCAGAGCCCTGCGGGGCCAGTGACTTCGGCAGAGCCGAGGGGAGAGGAGATACTGGGGGTCAAACTGCTGGAGAGAGCGCGGAGCTGGGGCTGGGGTTCAAGGCCGATCGTGGGGCCAAGAGCGAGCGTGCCAGCTCCAGTGTTTCCCCCTGCAGCGCTTCACGCGCGACCAGCTTGGGTGCCGCCGCTTCCCTTGCCCCGGCTCTTTACTTTTGTTGTTGAATAACCTACCTTACACATTGGTTAGTTACCTGGGGCTTCTCAAAAGCCGGGTCTGGAGGCTGCTCTGACTCCAGGGGGCTTGGGTTGTGAGGCTTCAGGTCTGTATGCCCTGTGGCGTTTGGGGGGAGCTGGTGGGTGGAGGGGTGCTGTCCACCTCCCAAGGCCAGGGGATCAGAGAGTGGGAAAAGTCTAGAATGCTATTTAAATTCCAGTAACTAGCTGTGTGACCTTGGGCAAGTTACTGAACTGCTCTGAGCCTCAGTTCCCTTAAAGTAAAATAGGTATTATTAATATTATAATCATTACAACAGACTTAGGTTATATGATGTTCATGGAGTACATAGCATACTGCTTGATTTTTCCCCCTTTGTGTTGATGTGGTGATGTGTGTGTTGTGGGGTGGGGGCATTCTTTCCCACCCTGACTTGTTCATGGTTAGGCTTCCTCCAGGATGCCTTACTTGCTGACAGCATCACAGAGGCCAAGATTAGGGCTGCCAGTGCACGGGCCCTGCAGATGGAGGGGGTGTTGTCAGACTGCCCTCATCATTACCCATCGTATTTGTCAGAATTGTTTTCTTTGGGTTGGGTTTTGGTCACTTGAAAATTGCCTTATACTATGTAGAAATTGATTGGGTCACATAAATGAAAAGGTCGAGGGTTTCAGTTTAAAGCTATAGCTAGTTCCAGAGGCTCATACAAGGTTCCAGGGCTAGTTCTCTCTCTTGTATATCTTAGCTGTTTTTCTCTCTGTGTTTACTGGTTCTTAGTATGGACGATAAATAGGACTTGCACCTTCAGGCTTATCTGCTCCTTCAGAGAGAGAGACAGAGACAAAGAGGGAGAGAGAGAATCCCATCTTCTCTATCCGTATAGCAGTCTCTCTCTGTCTCTCTCTCTCTCTCTCTTTTTTTTTTTTTCTTTTGAGACAGACTCTCACTCTGTCACCCAGGCTGGAGTGCAGTGGTGTGATCTCGGCTCACTGCATGCAACCTCCACCTCCCAGGTCCAAGCGATTATCCTGCCTCAGCCTCCCAAGTAGCTGGAGTTACAGGCGCCGGCCACCACGTGGGACTAATTTTTGTATTTTTAGTGGAGATGAGGTTTCACCATGTTGGCCAGGCTGGTCTCGAACTCCTAACCTCAAGTGATCTGCCCGTCTTGGCCTCCCAAAGTGCTGGGATTATAGGAGTGAGCCACTGCACCCGGCCCCTTATAGCAATCTTATTGACATACTGGACCAAAACAGAACCAAGCCATCTCAGCAGACAGGGAGAGGTTTACACAACAGGAATGGGCACATGACCGACTGTGATTGATAGACTGGCCCACCTCTGCTGCAAGGCATGTCGGTAGGGGGCGCAATTCCCAATGAGAAGTCTGACAAAACAGGACATGTTCATTTTACTATCTCTGTCTTTGCTCACCAGCGCCTAAAGGTAGTCTGCAGTAGAATGTAGACAGCCTGAGGGCCGTATTCCATCAGTCAAGTCTTCATCTAATGCATGGAGGGCATCCTGTGTGTCCATCTTTTCATTCATTGTTTTTTGTTTATTCATTCATTCGACATATAATAAATGCTCAACATATGCCAGGGCCTCTGCCAAGGGCGAAAATGCTTGCTTTTGAGAAGCTCACAGTCTAGTTGGAAAGACAGATATGAGGATAACATCGTCTAGGACTCATCTGTCTGGGGACGTAGTGAAGACTCCCCAAAGAAACTGTAGTTGAGCTTTGAATTGAAAATGAGCTCCAGCCTGGGCAGCAGAGCAAGACTCCGTCTCAAAAAAAAAAAAAAAAAAAAGAAAATGAGAAGGGCTGGTCTAGGAGAAAAATTCTAGGCCATGTGGTAGGATTCCAGAGGGACACTTTTTGTTGTAATATGTTTAGGTTACTCTACTTTCTTGCTTAGAACATCTGAAGGTAGGTCGTTCGAAGTGGCCACAGCTCTTTGGTGGCTTCTAGAAAATTATCTTCTTTTTCCAGGGTGACTAGAGCTCCATCATGCCTTCACATGACAACATCCAAAGCAGAAAAAAGAAGGCCGGGGCTTGCTGCTTAATCTTTCTCTAGATAATAAAGGACAAATTTTCCCCGAAGTTCCCCGCGTCACTGGCCAAAGTGGTCTAACGCTTACCCTGAAACCAGTCATTGGCAAAGGAGAAGAGGGGCCCATGATTGTTTTGCCCAAGCTATTTTCCGGAGCTGTAGGAGGGGCTCACCTACCTGAGCATCCATGCTCCATGTCTGAACACAATCAGAATTCTGTTAGCAAGGAGGAAAGTGAGACTGCCTGTTGGGCTGTTAGGTAGGCAACAAACTGTGTCTCCCAGAGGTGGGGACAGGTGATGCAAGGTCTGGCACAGATTGGTAATCAGAAGTCCAATACCATGGGAGATGCCTAGGGTGTGGCTGAGGGGAGGAAAGGAGCTGAGGTTGGAAAAGTAAGTAAAGACAGGACTACCCTGTATTAGATTCCATGGATGTCACTAAGAAGCATAGTAAATCTTGGTCCAATTCCTCAACAAGCTTACACCTGAAACCTGGAAAAGCTTCTCTGAGTTTTCCATACTCCCAATAGTAATAGCAACAGTGGCTCACTCTATGGTGGCAATTCTCAAGGGGTGGATTGGGGTGGAGGAGTTTCAGAAGAGTTTCAAACCCTGTGTAGTTTGAAAAGCCTCACATATGATTTTGCTGGGCACCCACTGCCTACCTTCCCCGGAAACTCCCTGTCCCTCTCTTGAGAACACTTAGTTGCTCTAAATCATGACTTTGTTTCAGTATTGTTAACTGTCTTCAAACTAACAGGCTGGGACTTGGTGAAGATGCAATTAATGGTAGATCCTGGACTAGTAAACAATTCTCCTGATGCTAAGTCCAAAGAGCGATAACTTTGGTAGTTGCATTTAGTAGGAAACCAGCCTCTACCATGAACTGCTTTGAAATCATGTATCCTATTTTCATCTGAAATGTGAAGTGAGTGCTGCACTTTGTTTCTGCTTTATATGGTAGACATTGGTGGACATTGGTGCTGGACTTTTGGAATCAGATTGGGCAACCAAGGATGCCGCTTCTCATGATCCTCTATCCTCAATATCTAGTTAGCAAAGAAATTGGCAAAAAGACATGATCACTAATGCTGGAAGAAAGCAGAAGTGGAGGGCAGCATATTTTCCTGTTTTCAGCAACAATACTGCCATGGGCTGGCCAGGATCACTGGAAGAATGTGAGGGAATGAGGTAGAGAGAAATGCCTTGGGCAGTCATTTATTTCACAAATATTTATTGAGCATCTACTGTGTGCCAGACACTGTTCTAGGTGCTGGGGATTGGAGCTTACAGTCTACTAGATGGAGACATTTATTTATGTTTTGTCTAATAAGTCAGGCGGTGAGAAGTACAGAAATAAAAAATAAAATAGATCCAGACAAGAGTGCAGTCATTAGAAACAAACTGGATATAGTGCTGGAAATCATGGCTTATTCTCTCTTGTTTCCAGCAGAGCTATATGGTCTAAGCAGGTAGGGTTTTGGGCAAAAAGGACAGGTGTTCATGTGGAAAAAGACAGTTAAATGTTAAATAACTCAATTTTATAGGATTTCTTTCATGCAGAATTTCTTTGATTGTTTGTTATAACTCACATTGTTCCTAAATATGATTTATAATGACTTACAAAAACATGGTACCAGGTCATGAGAAATAAATGTAGAAACATGAGCAAAGGGAAAATAAGGGTCATTTCTTTCATCATTATGTTCCAGAATTGTTTAGTTTTGGTAGCAGGGAAAGGAAGAAATACGGTGGTTACAAATGTGGTGATTCATGCTCAGGGTTCATTATTTAAAAGAAGAGAAAATAAATTTTGATGCCTCAGGAACTTGTACTTTCTTTTGGTGTTTAAAGAATCAATTTTATTTGATAGAAAAAGTGGTCTCTTTACTAAGGACTTGTATGAAATTTATCTCCTGAATTCAAAGAAAACTAACTTCTTTTGGGTCAATATAAAGTACACCAAAAGTTAACAGATCAAAAGTCCAATTCCAAAGTTAAATAATATGCTACAGATACAAATTGATGAGAGGTTATGTTTGGACCCATTACTGCCTGGAAAAAACAGAAACGCAAATAAAATTTTAAAGTGTTGAAGTGTTTTGCAGAGGTAATTTTAACTACTTGCTTTTATTGAGTTTTCTTGTTGTTCAGTACAATAATTTGGATATAAGTCTTGTGTCAGAAATGTAATTTGTAAATTACTTCTCCCAGCGACTGCCTTGTCATTTTTATTCCCTTAACAATGTCTTCTCAGAGCAAAAGTTTTAATTTTGATAAACCAGTTTATCGATTTTTTAATACATCCAACTTTTATTGTTGTATTGAGGAATTCTCTAACTAACCAAAAAGTCTTGAACATTTCTATTTTCTTCTAGAAGTTTCATGTTTTATGTTTTACACTTAGGTCTATGATCCATTTTACTTTAATTTTTGTATAAGGGATAAAGTATGAGTCAAAGGTATTTTCTTTTTGGTATGTGGGAGTCCAAATGTTCCAGCACCATTTGTTGAAATGACTGTCCTTTCTTCCCTTGAATTGTCTTAGAGCTTTTGTCACTAATCAATTAGCTAAAATGTAAGGGTTTATTACTAGACTCTCAATTCAGTTCCATTGATCTGTATGCTTACTTCATGCCAACACTACAGTATCTTGATTATTGTGGCTTTAGAATACATTTTGGAAGCACATAGTGTAGGCCCTCCAACTTTATTCTTTTTCAAAATTGCTATGACTCTTTTAGTTCTTTTGCCTTTCCATATGAATTCTAGAATTAGTTTGTCAATATCTACAAAAAAATCCTCCTAGGATTTTGAATGGAATTGTATTAAATCTACAGATTAATTTAGGAAGAATTGACATCTTTACATTATTGAGTTTTCTAGTTCATGAGCAGGGTATAACCATCCATTTATTTAAGTCTTTGATTTCTTCCATCAGCACTCTGTAGTTTTCAGGATATAGATCTTGCACATATTTTGTTAGATTTATACTTAGGTATTTCATTTTGGGGATTGCTGTTGTTGCTGGTATATAGAAATAGAATTTATTTTTGTGTGTTGGTATTGTATTCTGTGGCCTTGCTAAAGTTACTCATCTGTTTTAGGTGGGTCCTTTGTAGATTCTTTGGAATTTTCTACATAGACAATCATATTATCTGTGAATAGAGACAGTTTTATTTTTCCTTTCTAACCTAAATGCCGTGTCTTTCTTTCCTCCCTCCCTCCTTCTCTTCCTCCAACTTATTGCACTGGCTAAGAATTGCAGTACAATGTTGAATAGCAGTGATAAGAGAGAACATCCTTACTTTGTTTCTTATCATGGAGCAGGCAGCAATAAATCTTTCACTGTTAAGTATGATGTTAGTTGAGGTTTCTTGTAGATACAATATGATGTTAAGAAATTTCCTTTGTACTCCTAGTTTATTGACAGTGTTTTTTAAAATTATGGGTGGATTTTGAATTTTATTGAATGCTTTTTTTACCATCAACTGACAGAACCATATGAGTTTTCTTAATATTTAATATGGTGAATTGCACTGATTGATTTTCAAATGTTGAACCAGACTTACATTCTCTGGATAAATTCCACTTGGTTGTAATGTATTTTTGGAGGGGACTAGGTAGATTGGTATTATTTATTCCTTCAGTGTTTGGTAGAATTCTCTAGTGAAACCATTTGGTCCTAGAGTTTTCTTTGTTGGAAGGTTTTTAACACAAATTTAATTTTATAAATAGATATAGGACTATTCAGATTATCTATTTCTTCTTGATAAGTTTTGTTAGTTTCTATCTTTCAAAGATTCAGTCCACTTCACCTAAGTTGTCAAATTCATTGATACAGAATTTTTTGTGGTGTTCTTTTATTAGCCATTTATGTCTGAATGGTCAGTAATAATACTCCCTCTTTTATTCTTGACATTATTAACTTATGTCTTCAGTCTTTTTCTTGCTCAGTCTGTCTAGAGGTTTATCAATTTTACTGATCTCTTCAAAGATCCAGATTTTGGTTTAATTTTGTCTATTATTTTTCTGTTTTCAATTTAATTGATTTCTGCTCTTATTTTATTATTGCCTTCCTTGTCTTTGCTTAGGTTTAATGTACTCTTCTATTTTTTAAGGGATAAGCTTATATTACTGATTTTTGTTTTAATAGAAGTATTTAATGCTATACATTTCCCTCTAGGCCTTGCTTTAGCTGCATTATACAATTTTGAAATGTATATTTGAATTTTCACTTAGTTTAAATATTTTAACATTTCTTTTGAGACTACTTATTGACCCGTATGTTATTTTAAAGTATATCATTTAATTTTAAGATATTTGGGGATTTTCTAGAAGTTTTTCTGTTATTGATTTCTAGTTTAAATCTTTTATTATCCTAGAATATGACTTGCATGATTTCTGTTCTTTTAGATTTGTTCATATTTGTTTTATGACCCAGAATGTGGTTTATCTTGGTGAATTTCAATGCACACTTGAAAATATGTGTATTCTGCTATTGATGGGTGGGATGTTCCAGAAATATCAATTAGGTCAAGTTGCTTGATAGGGTTGTTCAGGTCTTCTGTGTTCTTATTAATTTTCTGCTTGTTTTCTCTATAACCAAGAGAGGAATGTTAGCATTTCCAGTTACAATTGTGGATGTATCTATTTTTCTTTTTACTCATATCACTTCTTACTTCATGTATTTTGACTCTATGTTGTTAAGTGCATACACATTTAGGGTTGTGATGTCCTCTTGGAGAACATCTTGATCCCTTTCTTATTATGTGATGTCCCTCTGTATTTCTGTTAATATTCCTTTTTCTGTAGTCTGCTTTGGGTGTTAATAATACAGATACTCCAGCTTTTTTTGGATTAATGTTTGCATTGTATATCTTTTTGTGTTCTTTTACTTTTAACCTATATTTAGGTTATAAAATAACCTGTATACTTAAGGTGGCTTTCTTGTGGCAACATATACTTGAGTCTTATTTTTTCAACTAATCTGACAATATCTGTCTGTTAACTGGTATGTTAGACCATTTACACTTGCTATGCTATTGATATGGCTTAATTATAATCTACCATCTTGCTAGTTGTTTTCTATTTGTTCTATCTGTTCTTTTTTTTTCTTGTTTCTTGAGCTTTTTTTGTTGTTGTTGTTGTTTATTTTGTTTTTTGAGATGGGGTCCCGCTCTGTCACCCAGGCCAGAGTACAGTGGCGCAATCTTGGCTTACTGTACCCTCGACCTCCTGGTCTTGAGCATTTTTTTATATTTTCCTTATCTCCACTATGGACTTCTTACCTATGCCTCTTTACATTTTTTTAGTGATTGCTCTAGAGTTAATAATATGTATCTTTAATTAATTAGAGTCTACTTTCAAGTAGTATTATACTGTTTCATTTGTAGTCTTATAGCAGTATATTTACAGTACTTCTCTTTTATGTTTTGTGCTATTGTTATTATCATTTTTTAATATCAGCTATAAATAAAAGATTTTTTGCTTTAGACCAGGGGTCAACAAACTTTTTCTGTAAAAAAGCCAGAAAGTAATTATTTTAGGCTTTGAGGCCATAGATGGTCTCTGTTGCATATACTTTTATTCTTAAACAATTCTTTACAAATGTATTTCAAAAAACATTCTTAGTTCATTGGTTATGCTAAAACAGACCAGGGGCTAGGTTTGGCTTGTAGGTTATAGTTTGCTTACTCCTGCTTTAGACATTCAGTTATCTTTTATAGCAATTAAAATTAAGAGAAAAAATAATTTTGTTTGATTTTCATTTATATCATTTCCATCATTGTTTTCTTTGTGTAGATCCAAGTTTTGGTCTGGCAACGCCTGGATAACTTAATTTAACATTTGTTGTAGTGTAGGTCTCCTGGCAATGAATTCTAAGTTTTTGTTTCTCTTTGATTTCTATTTTTCCTGCATCTTTGGGAGATATTTTACTGGGTATAAAATTCTGGGTTGACAGTTTTTACGCTTGATCTTAGCTAAAAGGCTGAGAAGCAATGGGTTGACAATTTAAAAAAAAAATTCAGGACTTTAAAAATGTTGCTTCATTCTCTTCTTGTATGCCTCTGACAAGAAGTCTTCTGTAATTCCTATCTTTGTTCCTTTTCATTTGATGTTTCATTTTTCTTTTGCTGCTTTCAAGATTTTATTTTTGTCTTTGGTTTTCAGCTCTTTGAATATGATATGCCTGGGAGTGTGTGTGTGTGTGTGTACATGTATGCATGCGTGCACACTCTTGATATTTATCATACCTGATGTTCTTGAGCTCCTTGGATCTGTGATTTGGTATCTGTCATTAATTTTGGAAAATTCTCAGCAATTATTTTTTCAAATATTTCTTCTGCCTATTTTCTTTCTTTTCTCCTGAAATTTCAGTTACACCTAGGTTTGAATTTATGATACAGTCCCACAGCTCTTGGGCACTCCATTCGTTTTTTGCTTGTTTTATTCATGTTTTTTCTCTTCTTATTTAGTTTGGGTAATTTCTACTGATCTATTTTCAAGTTCAATGATTTTTTCCTTTGCTGTATCAAGTCCACTGAAGAATGCCTGTTGAAAGCATCCTTTATTTGTTACTGTCTTTAGCCTTTCAAATATTTCCATTTGATTCTTTCCTGCAGTTTTTCTCTCTGATAACATTTTCCATTTAATCTTTCAGATTGTCTACCCTTTCCACTACGGACTTTTATAATTAATTTTGGTTATTTAAAATTCTTTGTCTGATAGCTTCAGCATCTAGGTCTGGTTCTATTCATTGCAATGTCTTTTCGCAGTATGATCTTTTCTTGCTTTTCTCATGCCCTATAATTTTTTTTTGTTGATAACTAGACATCTTATATAGGACATTAGATATGGAGATAGGCTTTATGCATGGGAATGGGCACGCCGTTCTCTTTTTACCAGGCCTTTAGTGTGAAGATTGATCAATCTAGTCAGAAGATGAACTGGGTTTGAGGGTTCTCATTCCTCTGGTTATTCTCAGTGTACCCCCAGACTTCAAATTCCTCTAGTGATGCCTTGTATTTAGGGTTGGAGCTGGCTTGCCAAAGGCCTTTGCCATTCCCATCTTTTGGTCTTCCTGTGGTACTGGGCCCCAGAGTGGTCTGTCTCCATGCTCTTTCAACTCTCCCAGTGGTAGTCCATTGTTATTTGTGACCCGATGCTTGTTAGTCAGTGTCCAGGTACATCTGCCTCAAGTAGACAAGTGCTCATGTCTTGTCTCTTCCTGCAAGTGCCTCTCTAGATTTTGGGCTAGTTTGTTCTCCTTTGCCTCAGTTTTCTCATGGATTTGAGAAGGTTATGATCTTGTGCTTTACCTGGCTTTTTATTTTTTGTAAGCATGGTAATAATGTTCTTTTCAGTTCTCTACATCCTGAGCAGAAATCAAAAGCCCTGATTTCATGTTTTCAAGCTCTTTCTTTTGGTGATCTTCTTGTAAAATACTGGTGTCGTTTCCCTTCCACTTATGCTTTATCAAATATAATTTACACATTTCATATGTATAAATCAGTGGTTCTCAGCCCTTACTTGGGAAGCATGAAAAGGAAACACAGATTTTGGGCCCCAGTGTTTCAATTAATATACGTCAGGATTAGGTATGGATATCGTTTATAAGCTCCCCAGGTGAGTCTGATATTCATCTGCATTGAAAGCTCCTGGTCTAAGTATCACTTTCAACCTTGCCTTTCACAGAGGTGTTATTCCAATGTAAATGGCCAAATGAAGTCTCAGCCTGTTTATGTCCACCCTATAGAATCAGTTCTCTCCTAATGTGCCTTCAGTGGTACACAGTGCCTGTGATCTAAACTGATAGTCTCTTAGAATGGGGAGAAAACTTAAGAGTTCTTCTCATTTCACTTTCAATGACTCTCTCATCATTGAAATGTACCCTTCTCTAATCTACCAGTTTGTGTAACTCACTACCTTGCAAATTGTTTTGAAATTAGTTTGCATGACTCAGTATATGAGCATGTGTGCATGCACATGCACACACACACACACATGCTCTCATACACGTGACACTTTATGAAACAGTAGTTACTCTTACAATAAGTCTTGTACCTCTAAATCAATTACATGATGCACCAATGTGTTGCTTCTTACAGTATGAAAAACACTCGTTCAGTCCATCTTCCAGTGGACAAGCTTTGGAAGGTTTCAAAACAGGTCCCTTAGTACCTCAGAGTGCTCTTGTGTCTGGTGTAAAGCTGATTCCTCCAGCAGTGTTTCCAGCTTCTTCACTACCCTGGCCAGTTTTATGCGCTAGATACTAGAGCCGGTGCTAGGTAACATGCCCAGGATTTCAGAGCTTATGGCTTGTTTGGGGACACATGACATGCAAGGTGAGTGTCAAAAAGTTATGTTGTGAGTAAGTGCTCTTAGAGGTCACAGATGAAAGAAAGATCAAACAGGTGGTCAGGAAAGACTTGATTGGGGCCTTGAAGGTAAGCATCAGATATGTATGGAGTGTAAGGTATTTGGGGATGGGGAGGATTCAGAGGGAGGAAAAAGCTATGTTAGCAGTCTCCCAACACCTTGGCTCTCTCTAGGAGTGACTTGGATTCACAGTAGCTAAGAGAATCTGTAGGCTAGATACAAAGGGGAAATCTAATTTGAATTGTTTCTATAGCAGAGGATAGGCAAAGTACACAGAAGGTACTAGACTCAACTCCCCATATTCCCCTTGCCCCCAGGTCAGAGTCTTCAGGGGCTGTGACTCTGACAAGCGTAGTTTGTATGTTGCTCTGGACTCTATTTCTTGTCATGGTGAGTGAGGTTCAGCTTGCAAGGGGTCAGTTCAAGGCTGGTAGATTTAAGACCTGCCTTTTTGTGACTTCTGTCAAGTTTTGGAGCAATCACCGATAGTTACTGGCCTAGTTTTGTCCACCTTTTCTTCTCGGGGGCCCTTAACCAGCTGTATTACTAAGAAATGTAATTCTCAAAGTATGCTACATCTACTGCTCTTCATGATCCATTTCACCCTGGAGACAGTCTTCTGAGCATTCTTGCTCATTGTGAAACCACGTCACCATCAAAATACTGCACAGAAGCCAGATATTACATCATTGGTATCGTGTTGAAAACATCTCCTGCATTTTGGGACTATTTCACTAGGGTGAAAAACAGAAAATGAAGTACATTACCGAAAAAATAGGCACGGTGTGTTTTATTTGTCTTTTAGTAAGGTATGGGAACCACAGTTTTTAGGCAACTACAGGAAAGTTAGAACAAAGATGAGGGCTGCAAGTAACCCACTGCTGTGCCAGCACCACAGAGGTGGTATTAGTGTTACTGAGAAATGTGCATTATACATTTCTCCTAGAATTTGGAGCTGGGATTGTAGTTTGTCTCTTGGGAAGAGCCAGTAGGTCAAACAGGGGACACCTCTGTTTTATATTTCTCTTTTTGCCTTGGCACCCAGGAAGCCCGGAGCTACAGTTGTAGTGATAATTTTATTTCAAGTTATAAGTTCAAAGATTTCCTGTCTTAATATGATTTCAACTTTTTAAAAACAATAACTTTTTTCTTATTACAAAGATGATATATATTCATTATAAAAGATGTATAAAATAACATGTTCACACCCCAACCAGATATTTTCCTACCACACAGAAATAGTCACGGTTTGCATTTTAATCTTAATCATTATAATTTATTCTAAACATATATGTATATATTTATACATATACATATATATTACAAAAATGAAATCTCTTTCACATTACAACTCATGTTTAAAACATAACATTTATCAACATTTTCTATGTCATTAAATATCCCTGAACAATATTATTATTATTATTATTTTTTTTGAGATGGAGTCTCGCTCTGTTGCCCAGGCTGGAGTGCAGTGGCACGAACTTGGCTCACTGTAAGCTCCGCCTCCTGGGTTCACACCGTTCTCCTGCTCAGCTTCCCGAATAGCTGGGACTACAGGCACCTGCCACCACGCCCGGCTAATTTTTTCTATTTTTTAGTAGAGATGGGGTTTCACCACGTTAGCCAGGATGGTCTCGATCTCCTGACCTCATGATCCACCCGCCTCGGCCTCCCAAAGTGCTGGGATTACAGGCGTGAGCCACCGCGCCCGGCCAACAACATTATTTTTAATGTATTTTGTATTTAATCATGAAGGTATATCTGTTGCTATACTTTCAGCTAGAATTCAGCTTTTTGCTATTATAAACAGCTCTGTCATATACATTCTGGTAGCTGAATCTCTGAGCACACCCATGATTATTTTAATAGAATAAGTTTCTAGAAATGACATAAGTGAGTAAAGGGCTATATATTATTATTATTATTTATTTTTGAGATGGAGTCTCACTCTGTTGCCGAGACTGAAGTGCAGTGGTGCAATCTTGGCTCACTGCAACCTCCTGCTCCTGGGTTTAAGCGATTCTCCTACCTCAGCCTCCTGTGTAGCTGGGATTTCAGGCATGTGCCACCATGCCCTGCTAATTTTTGTATTATTAGTAGAGACAGGGTTTCACCATGTTGGCCAGGCTGGTCTGGAACTTCTGACCTCAAGTGATCTGCCCGCCTAATCCCAGCACTTTGGGCTATATTATTTTTAAGGCTTTGGATATATATTTCCCATGTTGTCCTCCAGAAAGCATGAACTAATTTATTTTATCACCTGGGAATTTGAGAGTGCCTTTTCTCCTAAGCCTCATACAATACTAGGATTATTATTATTATTTTGAGATGGAGTCTCGCTCTGTCACTAGGCTGGAGTACAGTGGCACAGTGTTGGCTCACTGCAACCTCCGCCTCCTGGGTTCAAGTGATTCTTCTGCCTCAGCCTCCCGAGTAGCTGGAATTACAAGCACGCCCCACCACACCCAGCTAGTTTTTGTATTTTTAGTAGAGATAGGGGTTCACCATGTTGGCCAGGATGGTCTCGATCTCCTGACCTCATGATCCGCCCGCCTCAGCATCCCAAAGTGCTGGGATTACAGGTGTGAACCATGTGCCTTTCCAGGATTATTATTTTTTAAATCTATGTTAGGAGTCAGGACTTCTGGCTATGGCCAAATGAGGAGGTCAGCAAGTTCTCTTTCCCTGAAAGCTACTATAAATCTGGACAAAATGAACAGAAGCAGCCATTTTATCACTCTGGTAATCTATCAAAGGCATGCAACAACCTGAGAAGAATTTATTCGTGGAAAATTGCTGAACTTCAGGTAAGGACACTGGGAGTCTGTGGTCTTGTCTGGGGCTACTCCCTATTCCCCACCAACCACAGCTCGGTGGGTGCAGAGGTGTTGCCTGGGCAAAGGAGATGATGAACACCAGCCCCACTGCTGTCCAGATTGAAGGGACTTGCTCAATTTGCAGCATGCCAAGTGGGTGACTATGCCTGTGAGTGCTTTTTGAGTCCCCTTCTTCCCTGTTTTAGTTTACCTTGACTCTTTAAAAAAATAAAATAACAATGTTCTTTTATTCTAAACATTTATGTTTATTATGGAAAAAGGGGAAAATAAACATAAAGAGAAGAAAACGAGAAGCCCCCATAAGCCCATTTGGTGTCCATTCTTCTCTATTGGCTTGTTTCAATGGAGGCTTCTGCCTTGATGGAAATGCTGTCTGCCACCCCATACAGTAGCCACTGTTCTTGGGAGGCTATTGAGCACTTGACATGTGGAAAGTGCAACTGAAGAGTTGAATTTTTTAATTTTGATGAATTCTAATTAATTTGTATTTAAATATTCGCATGTGTCTACCAGCTAGTGTTGGACAGAATAGTTTTATGATTTCTATAATATGGAGGTATGATAGATACCTTTCATTCGTACATACATACATACATATGGAGGTAAGATAGATACATAGTTAAAAAAAACAAAATAGGATCATACTGCACATTGTGCTTTTATATTCCTTGTCTTGCTAACAGTATATCATAAACATAATTTTAATGACCGAATTGTATTCTGTTGAATGAATGTACCATAAATAGCTTAACAAAGTCTTCATTGTACCTTTAGGATATTTCCAATATTTTGATACTATAAACAACATTGCAGAGAACGTGTTTACAGCTAAAGTTGTAACATTCCTAATTATTTACTGAGGTTAAATTCTTAAATTTGAACTATTGGGTCAAATATAATACCCATTTTCAAACCTCTCTTCCAAGAAGTTCTATCACTGAACATTTTCATCAATAGTATATGAAAGTATCTCACTGTTATTATTTAATTGAGATATAATACACGTACCATAAAATGTACCTCTTTAAAGTATACGATTCAGTGGTTTCTGATATATTTAAAAAGTTGTGCAACCATCATCACTACCTAATTCCAGGAGGGTTTTATCACTCCAAAAAGAAATCTCATACCCATTAACAATTGCTTCCTGTTCCCACCTCCCCCCATTCCCTGGCAACCACTACTCCACTTTCTGTCTTGATGGATTTGCCTTTGCCTGCTCTGGACATTTCATATAGATAGAATCCTACAATATGTGGTCTCTTGTGTCTGGTTTCTTTCACTTGGCATATGCTTTCAAGGTTTGAGGTTCATAATGGTTTCAAGGTTATAACATAAGCCAGTACTTCATTCTTTTGATGGCTGAATAATATTCCGTTGTACGAATACACCACATTTTGTTTATCCATTTATCAGTTGATGGACATTTGGGTGGTTTTCACTTTTGACTATTACAAATAATGCTTCTGTAAGCATTCATGTATAAGTGTTTGTGTGGAATGTTTTCAGTTCTCTTGCATATACAATTAGGAGTATAATTGTTGGATCATATGGTAACTGTATGTTTAACCTTTCAGAAGTTGCCAGACTGTTTCCAAAGCAGCTGTGCCATTTTACATTCCCACAAGCAATGTATGAGGGTTCCAATTTTTCCATATTCTTGCTGATGATTTTTTTGTCAATCTTTTTGCCATAGTCATTCTGGTAGGTGTGAAGTAATATTTCTTTGTGGTTTTAATTTGCATTTTCCTAATAACTAATGTTGTTGGGAATTTTTTGATATGCTTACTGGCCATTTGTATATCTTCTTTGGAGAAATATCTGTTTAAATACTTTGCCATTTTAAGATTTTTTTGTCTTTTTATTCTAGAGTTATTATCTTGTTTTTACGTATTCTGGATAGTAGACCCTTATTGGATATAAGATTTGCAAATATTTTATTGCATTCTGTAAGCTGTCTTTTCATTCTCTTAGTAGTATCTTTTGAAACATGAAACACGAAAGGTTTTAATTTTGACCAGTGCAGTGGCTCACACCTGTAACCTGAGTAAGCCGAGGTGGCAGGATCACTTGAGATTAGAAATTCAAGACCAGCTTGGGCAATGCAGCAGATTCTGTCTCTACAAAAAAGAAAAAATAAAATTAGCTGGGCATCGTGGCGTGCACCTGCAGTTCCAGCTACCCAGGTGGCTGAGGCTGGAGAATCTCTTGAGCCCAGAAGTTTGAGACTGCAGTGAGCCATGATTGCACTATGGCACTCCAGCCTGAGTGACAGAGTGATACCCTATTTAAAAAAAAAAAAAAGTTTTTAGTTTCGATGAAGTCCTATTTATCTATTTTTTTTCTTTTTTTCGCTTGTGCTTTTGGCATCACATGTAAGAAACCATTGCTTAATCCAAGGTCACATAGGTTTCTTCTAAGAATTTTATAATTTCAGCTCTTCCATGTAGATATTTGATCTATTTTTAGTCAATTCTGTATAGAGTATGAGTTAGGAGTCCACATTTATTCTGTTGCATGTGGCTTCCCAGTTGTCCCAGCACTGTTTGTTGCCAAGAGTGTTCTTTCTGCCATTGAATTGTTTTGGCAACCTTGTCAAAAGTCAACTGACCATAAATACATGGCTTTATTTCTAGATTCTCAATTCTATTCCATTGATTTGTGCATCTGTCCTTGTTGGCAGTACCACAAAATATTGATTATTGTTGCTTTGTGAGAGTTTTGAAATTGAGAAGTATAAGTCTTCCAGCTTTTTTCTTCTTGTTCGGTGTTATTTTGGCTATTCTGGGTCCCTTCCATTTCCATGGATGAGCTTGTTAATTTCTACCAAAAAGGCCAGCTGGAATTGTGCTAGAGGTTGCACTGATTTTGTAAATCAATGTGAAGAGTATTGCCATCTTAACAATGTAAGTCTTCCAGTCATGAAAACCGGATGCTTTTCCGGTTATTTAGGTCTTCTTTCATTCCTTTCAATGATGTTTTATAATTTTCTGCTTACAAGTTATGCACTTCTCTCGTTAAATTGATTCCTGCTTTATCTTTTCTGATGCAGTGTAATGACATTGTCAGTTTCATTTTGGGGTTGTTCATTGGTAGTGCATAGGAATACAGTTAATTCTTGTGTTTCGATCTTGTATCCTGAAATCTTGCTGAACTTGTCAATTAACTCTAACAGTTTGCTGGTGAATTTATTAGGGTTTTCTACATACAAGATCATGTCATCTCCAAATGGAGGTAGTATTACTTCTTTCTTCCAATCTGAATGCCTTTTATTTCTTTTCCTTGCCTAATTGCCTTTGCTAGAAAAGACAGCACATAGTGCTGAGAGCAACATCCTTGTCTTGTTCTGTCTGACATTCCTGATCAGTGAGATGGCAAGTGTGATTTATGCTGTTTTTCTATGATCACTTTTATACTCTTAAGAATCTGAGTGATAGAGCAGGAGGTACGGGCTGATTTCTCCTAGGGAATATTTCCTTTGTCCTGTGCATAGGGAGGCTTGGCATAATGGCTACTAGAAAAGAAATATTTTAATTGAAGAACATATTCATGTAACACATAGGTGCCAAGGAGTTTGACTAACATTATCCAATATGTAAGTATTCAATATTTTGAATAAAATTTAAGTACTAGCCTTCTATCCTGCCTTTCCACAATTTGGGGTGCCCACTGTATGCTTCAGGTACTGTGCTGGGATCCCAAAGATGAATGAAACACAGGCCATGTCCCCAGGGTGCTCATGGAGGGGAGACACACAGGGATTAGGAAGTTTCATATTCTGGCAAGTGGTTTCCATTAAAGAGTAACCACTGTCAGAAGGAAACAGGTGACCAATGTGGGCTTCACCATCAGGATTTTGGGGTCTCAATGTGCTGTTGGAAGATTCACTTTCTACCTTGTAGAATCAAAGAATTGTAGAACTGGAGCCTTGGAAATCTTTTTTTCCAGTAAGTCCACATTTTCCAAGAGGAGGAACTGCTTACCTTATTTAACAATTCTTGTTCTCTCTCATCAGTAACTCTTATTTCTCTGAAATGTTTTATCTTACACACATGCATGCACATACATGCATGCACACACATACATACAACATCCTCTGTAGGGAGGCAATCTGTGTACAGCCCACTCTTGGCTCCATTTGTTGTGTCTGGTTTGGGTAATCTAACACCAGCCATGCGTTCATCTTCAATATGACTCGTCTAGGATTCCTGCTTCTCCTCACCTGCGAAGACTACTCAGCATTGTCCATAGATGCTTATGACCAGGAACTGACAAGGAGGGTACGTTATCCGACTCCACATCTGAGTTACCCAAAAGCTTTGGGGGTCCTTCCTGTTCTTATTAGTTGTATGTTCAACTTTCTTTGTAAAGAGCATACCCCATCTATTTAAAATTTGTCAATTCAGAGGATTAACTAGGATGCCTGCAAAGTCAAGCCTGTGTGCTTACTGCAAAGTCATCTTTCCAGAAAAGAGTGAAAGTAAAGCAATTACATAGGTCATACCTTAAAATGATTTATGTAGTTTTTTGATAAGTCAATTCAGACTCGTATGACTCATGTATTTTCATTTTTACTTTTCTATTTAAAAAGAAACTCTTTATTCTAGTTTTATTATATATTATTTATTATTAGGATGAAAATAACATCAGGTTACTTTTTATTATTCTATTGGCAAAATGGAATGCAAAACTTATGGTCTCAGGCTACAAAAGAAAATGAATTGTCTCCACAAACCTTTCAAGTTTAATTAACTTTTAAATAAATACAAAGTTCTAGTCTCCCACCCTGACCCTGCCCTGCACTTTTTTTTTTTAATTACAGTGCCTTTTTTCTTTTGATTATATGAAAGGGTGAGATAAGGATGTAAAAATGCTTTCGGGTTCACATTGTTTACTGCATATGATACAGCAGCCAATTCAATCAGAAGGGAAATAGGAAAATAACTACTCTATTTTTGCCTTGTAAGCGGTTTGTAAAGTCCCCTCCAGTCCCTACGATTAAATGTTGGCTTCTCTCTTGCAGCTCTCTAAAAGGAAATTAAAAGTGGAGCAAACAGCATTTCAAAACCAAACACAAATACTGTGTAGGGGCGAACCCAGCAAATGGAAGAATTACAGCATTGCAGGCAGTCCTTTAATTCAGTGCTGTAAGAAATGCAACAGAAGAGGAAAGGGGGTGGAAAGGGGATCCTGAGAAAGTTGCAGGTCATCGCAAGCCTCTGATTATTTGACCGTTTCAGGGGTGAGCTGGGGTGGGGATTGGTGGTCATAGCAGAGCTTTCCCTGTGATGTGTGATGAATGCATCCGTAAGACGTATTGTTACTCAGTTACTGTTTACCATAGCCTAAGCCCTAGAGTGGCCTGGAACTTGCTAATGGGGACCGAGGCAGGGAAAGTATGGAGGTCCATTCCTAGGAAATGGGTGGCATTCAACATGTAGAAGAAAGGGCATTTCGACTGGCAGCCAGGAACCTGAGTTCTGTTCTTGGTCCTTCTGCCTTCTGACTGTGTGACCTTGGATGAGTTACCTTGGATGAGTTGCCTTGGCCCTCTGAACCATAGTTTTCATATCTGCAAAATGCAGGTTTGGACTAAATGCGTGATTTTCCAACCAAATTCCCAAGCCTCCATCAAGCCATCTCAGAGGTTGTCCTTGCACCAACAACTGGGGTTCCTGGCCCCTACACTCCAATGGGAGCAGTCTCAGTTTCCTCTCCTATATTTATGCTTTTGTAAGCTTTTGTTTGAACAAAGTGAAAACTACTAGGTGCCCTGATCTCAAAGATCTCTTCTGATTCTTACATTCAGTTGTCTATAACTCTGCATTTTGGTACAAGCTTAATGTAAAAGAGACCAAGAAGCATCCATTATTCTGGGGCTCCCCATCTTTCTCAGGTAACACAAGCAAGGAATGTGTGTTTTCAGCAACAGAAACACTGCTCATTAGTGATTATGAGGCTGTCATTGGGACAGGAATTTGTGTTTATGGAGTCTCAGCCTCTGACTCTAGAAACAGTCCATTTCACTCTTTTATTTTATTTTATTTTTGAGATGGAGTTTTGCTCTTGTCCCGCAGGCTAGAATGCAGTGATGTCATCTCAGCTCACTACAACCTCCACCTCCCAGGTTCCAGCGATTCTCCTGCCTCAGCCTCCCTAGTAGCTGGGATGGCAGGCGTCTGCCACGACGCCCAGCTAATTTTTGTATTTTTAGTAGACATGGGGTTTCAGCATGTTGGCCAGGCTGGTCTTGAACTCCTAACCTCAGGTGATCCACTTGCCCTAGCCTCCCAAAGTGCTGGGATTACAGGCATGAGCCACAGCGCCCAGCCAGTCCATTTCACTCTTCTTGGATATAGTTCCCTTTATGCTTCGTGATTGAGATCTGTCTCTTGTAAGAGGCCTGGAGATGTGAGATTTTGAGGGCAGCCACGGTCTCCATCTTGTGCCCTGTTCAGCTCTCTGTAGGTATTGCCAGGCCACGGAGCCCTGTCTCTTTGAGGGAAGCCTGAGGGCATGGCAGTAATAACCACCTGTCAGCTGCACAGGATTCTGAGTGAGGGTTGGGCCTCCCCATGAGTCACTTGCTAGCTCCTGTTAAGTAAGTCTTTTCGACCCCATATCAAGTCCCTACCTCTCTGTTCCCTGTCATGGGAATCTTTTCCTTTCACTCCTTAATAATGTACATTCCTGTGCCACACACTTTCCTCCATTTCCTTTGGAAGCACAGTACAGGGACTTTTGCGTTGCCAGGAATGAATGTTTAGGAAGTAGGCCTTCAATTCCTTCCATGGTTCCAAGCCAATATAGTGCCTTTTGTCACTTGTCCCAAGACATTCTGTTGAACACATCAGCCTTGGCAGAGGAAACCGTTACGAAAGAAGGATTCCAACTGAAGAATATATAGCTGGAGACCCAGGGGTGTTGAGCAGTTTAATTAACGTTATTAGAAATGAAGACTTGGTTATTTTAAAATGAAATTTCAAATCTCCTGTCTCCGTATCCATTTCTTCATTACGGCGTTGTTCCGTTCACCTGCCTTTTAATGTAGCCAGTTTTTACTGCATTCTCACTATGGGAGCAGGCACCCTGCTGACCCTGGGCTGAAAGATGAACAGGTCTTAGGCCATGCTCTCAAGGGGCTTTCATCCTACTCAGACAAGAGCTGAGCAGACAGCCACAGCCTGGAGTCCTTAGTGCTCTGTAGAGAACTTTCTGGAGCCTGGGAGAACACTCAGAATAAAGCAGCCTGTGCACTTGCCTGGGGACAGGAAATGGTTCCTTCAGAAGTTTTCCCTGGGCCTGTGTCCCAGAAGGTGACCTAAAGGTGGTTCAGGCAGGAGTGGCTGGTGCAAAGGTGTGAGGGAGTTGGTGGATTTGGTAAACTGTAGGCTCAGCATGGTCGGAGCAGGCCTTGAGGGAGGGGTAGGGAGGGAGAAGGAGGAGGAGGAGGGGGCAGGAGTCAGGACAGGATAATCAGGCACTGAGCTATGCAGGGCCTTGACTACTGCACTAGTTACTAGTGCTGGTCAGGTCAGATGTTATCCAGAGGGCATGGGAACCCACAGCAAATGGTTAGGCAAGGTGGGCTAGGCACTTTGCAAGGCCATTTAGCACAGAAGTTACAAGCAACAGCTCCAGGTCCAGGTGACTGGGGTTCGAATCCTGCCTTGACCACTTTCCAACTGTGGGCAAGTTACTTAACTGTCTCTGCTGCTGTATCTTTAAAATAGGGATAAAAATCCTATCTGTCTTGTAGGGTTGTTATGAGCAATAACTAAGTAAATTCACCTAAACCTCTCATAACTACAGCACATACAAAAATCTAGTTATCCCTTTTCTGGGAAGGGGACATATCATATTTTCTATGAGCAATCTCCTACACTGTGTATTAGTTAACTGGTGTAATAATACCATGTAAAAATACTGTAAAACACAGTGGCTTAAAACAACAATTATTTATTATTACTCCTGCATTTGTGAGTTTCCTGGGGTTTGGCTGAGACCTGGCTGGACATGCAGT
Source organism: Homo sapiens (assembly GCF_000001405.40). Lineage (NCBI taxonomy): Eukaryota > Metazoa > Chordata > Mammalia > Primates > Hominidae > Homo > Homo sapiens. The sequence goes on from NC_000002.12 coordinate 149,060,611, forward strand.
TTGGGACCCAAGCTGAGGGCAGTGGCATCCCAGGGCAGCTTCCCAAGGCAGTGGTACAGCTGTCAGGGGTAAGAGGAAACTTGCAATCCTCTTAAGGTCTAGGCTCCCACCCAGCAAAGCCCAGAATTATATTGCTCTCCTATAGTAGGAGGAGCTACAGAGTCACTTCCAAAAGGGTAGGAGCACAGGGAGAGGTGAAGGATCAGGGTCAACATTATGGGGCACAGGCTGCATTTAATGTCTCCTGATCTGCATCTTTGTAGCTTCCCAGAGGGAGCTTCCATGAGGGGCACTCGACACCCACCTTGGGCATGCTTGGTACCCCAAGGGTCTGGTTTCAATTAGTGACCTTCCTACAGTCATTTAGAACTTAACCTTTGGGCCTAGCAAATGTGTTCTTTCTCTTGCTTTCAGAGCCTTTGAGAGAGAAGGGAAAATATGCTAGTGTGGATTTGGATCTAGACTCTGTGGAATGAGGTGAGGATGGTGGTATCTCCAGTAATACTTAATGGAAAGCTTGGAGATGAGCAGAGGTGTTTCAGCAGGCATGCTCTGTAGCCTTTCTCAGACTTAGCAGGCTGCAGTGCATTTTTTTTTTTTTTTTGAGACAGGGTCTTGCTCTGTCCCACAGGATGGAGTGCAGTGGAGCCATCATAGCTCATTGCAGCCTTGACCTCCTGGGCTCCAGCGATCCTTGCAGTGCATTCTTGAACATGGTTTGTCATGAATGTAAATTGCTATAAGACTTAATGTTTAGATTTAGTAATAAAATATGTGTCTGTTTATATGTGTTTTTAGGTGACTCTATTCCAATATAATTGAAGGAATTGCATTTTTGGTGGATTCCTTGGGGTTTTCTTTCTTCTCCCTGGTAGCCCCCTGTGAGGCAAGCCTGACTCTCAAGTTGTCACCCTAGACAAATGCTGGGAGAAAGGACAGGGGGAGGCAGCCCAGTTAGTATTTATTGGTGTGCAACTCTACCTCTCAGTTCTCCTGGATTCCCCGGGGCTTTGGAGGATGGGGGCAGTGATGGAAGGAGTCAAATACCATTCTTTTGCCAGCATGTAAAATAATCTCCCTCCTTTTCCCTGGATTCCTTATGCTGTATGACAAACATATCCATTCTTCCCAGACAGAAAAGAGAGAAATGGGGACAGGCAAGACATTCTTATAGGGTATACTTTTCTATTTTACATTTGAGAATATAAGTACATTATAAAAGTAAGCATCAAATTTCTTATAATGATAGTTATTTATTAGGTTAAAAAGTTAAACATTATCTCTAAAATTACACCTAATAATTAAGTGTAAGATTAAATTGAGCATTTTTTCAGGGATAGGAAGGAGAAACATCGTAGAATCTTTTTTTTTTTTTTGAGATGGAGTTTCATTCTTGCTGCCCAGGCTGGAGTAAAAATGGCGCAATCCCAGCTCTGCGCCATCTCAGCTCACCACAAACTCCGCCTTCCCGGGTTCAAGCAATTCTCCTGCCTCAGCCTCCCGAGTAGCTGGGATTACAGGCATGTGCCACTACGCCAGGCTAATTTTGTATTTTTAGTAGAGACGGGGTTTCTCCATGTTGGTCAGGCTGGTATCGAACTCCCAACCTCAGGTGATCCACCTGCCTCGGCCTCCCAAAGTGCTGGGATTACAGGCGTGAGCCACCGCGCCCGGCAGAATCTTTTGGATAACAAAAACAGCACTGAAAATAACATGTAAAATATGTAGCAGTGTGATTGGCATCTAGAAGATGCTCAGTAAATTGTAGCATTGATGATGATCACGATGATGGCAGTGCTTTCTCTAGCCCATTTATCAGAGAAGGGGATTAAAAGCAGAGATTACAAAGTTGAGGACTTCATCAACTCTGTTGCTCCAGAGGAACCTCTCTCAGGCATTCCTTCCCTACATGGAAAAGCAACAGGAAAATGAACCCAGAAAAGCTTACGTTATAAAATCAAGCCAAATGTATACCTGAGAAGTGATGATTTTTTTTTTCTTAAAGTAGTTGCTTCTAAAAGGCATAATTCAAAATAACCACGACAAGAATAGACATGCAGAAATCTTAAAGGTGCAATGTTATTTTGTTGAGTAAAAAATAGGGCCAGATAATGACAAATCGTTGCTATGCAAATGAAAAGAAAGATCATCATGTCCTGTGCTTCAGGGTGTGAATTGATGGCAAAAATCTGTCTGTATTAGTCAGTAGGGGAGATGAATTCAGATGAAAGCTTTCAGTGATACATGTTCTTTTTTTTTTTTTTTTTTTTTTGGTTAAGTATCATTTGTGGCTGAAGTCCTGAAATAGTTGTCTAATGGCAGATTTTCCTGAGTGTCCCCTGTAAGCAAGGCTCGGTAAAGAAGGAGCTGCAAGGTTCACCAAGTCCCTCCTTCCCTTTCTCCCTCTCTCTCTCTCTTCCTTCCTTCCCTATTAAGCACAGCCTTTGCATTTCAGGAACTTATATCTTAATGGGAATGGCAAGATGCAGACATTAGAAACCTAACAAGTGCAAATTTATATGGTACATTTCGTGTATGTCAGGTTTGTAATATATCTGGAGGAAAAATCAGTAGAGTGAAAACGATGGTGCCAAATCTTGACCAAATTAAACAATGAGTTTTACTTCTTTACTTTTATTTTTTTCGGGCCAAGGGGTGTTATTTTCAGTTGTTTCAGGGACAGAATAACATTGCCACCCAAGAAGTAGCCCCGCCCCATAACACTATTGAATTCAAGCAGTAGTTGATGACTCAGCTACCATATACTTATATACCCTACAATTACATCGTCAAAGTCTTCCCCTAAATAGGAAGGACTGATTTTAACAGGAATTCTTAGCTGATTGATGCTCCACTGAGGTGGAAATGGCTTGATGATGATTTGATTTGTTGATAATGTCTGACTGAGATTTCTTAAAAAGCTGCCATGTATATTTGGGTTTTTACTTTGAGTTGTTTATGTCTTATATTTTAAAAGTGAATTAGGATAATTTGCCAACTACATGTAGCTAAAGTTTTCAAAATAAAGTAGTGAGAAAGGATTATTTAACACAGGGGTTGAACATAATAAAGTATCAATTTAGAACCCACTAAACATGCCATATCCCAGAAATAAATTCCAAAGGGTTGAATATTGCAAATCAAATTATAGAAAAAGTAGCCGGAAACATAATATGTATTAGGTTTGCACAGGAACAACAATTTCTGTGGCTTTAAAGCAAAAGAAGCAACTAGCAAGGAAAAAAACAAACAAGTTTGAATATTTTAATTTAAAACTTCTATATAAAAGACTGGGACAATTCACAGTAAATTTGTGACACATAAATGATTAACAATATGTTATAACTGGAATATATTGCTAACTCAAATGCAGAAGAAAAGGGCAAGGGCCATAGCAGATAGATGCGGAATTTAATAGCTACCATTTATTGAATATTTTTCCATGCCCATATAGACTTACAAAATCTGATTATACTGATTGTTTTTTATACAAAATGTTTTGTAACCAGCTTTTCTGATATAGCAGCACAGACTTTGACACTAACTAGTCTTCTAAAACATAGTTTTAGAAGTACAGCCCTATTTTGCTTATGTTTCCAATGCTGGATATTAAGGTTATGGAAAACTAACTTAGGGTGAATTTTCTAGTATCTTTTCTACTTATGAAGTCATGATTAGAGTTATGGTTATGGACACTCCCTTGAATGAATCAATGATTTACAAAGAAGCACATTCAATACCGCTTTTATCAACAGTTTTATAGGTAGCATTTGCCACTAAAACCTGTTTTAACAAAAGAGAAAATATCATTTGAGATCCCATACTTTTGACAACATGTCACCAGTTATCTTTAAAGGCCTCAGTAAAAGAGACATGTTAATTACAATTCCTGTGAGCATCTTGAGGATAGCAATGACTATAGTATTATATTAGGACACTTTGTCAAGCATGTCATTCCCTTATCTTGCTTTTATAGCAGAGGAAATAAAGGCACTAGAGACATATCTTTGAGGTCACACAACAAGTTAACAGTAGATAAACATTAGAACCGGCAGCTCCAGAATTCCCACTGCATGTAATTAGCTCACTGCAGGCAGGAAATGACAGCACTGGGAATAAATGGCAGATGTGGCGTTTGGGGACCTGGAGGCTGGTGGGAATTCTCTGTGCTCATCTGAATGGTTAATTAAGTTAGTTCCTCTCAGGGGCTGTCACTGCCTGGAACGTGGAGGCCTCTCAGCCAGGTACCTTCTTCCTTAGGGTGTAAGGAAACATGATGGTCACCTTCTGGTGCTTTGGTTGGCTGGCCTGGTACAGGAGTTTGAGTGGGGCCTCAGTAATTTCTTAGGCACTGCAGTCTATTACTGAGGTTTTATGGAGTTTCTGAGTATGATTTTTGGCATTGATTCCCAGAGGACTGCGATGTGTCTGAGGAGTGCATGGTTGGGAGTAAAAGGGCAGGGACTGCCTGAACTGTTTTGAAGTTCACCCTCCCTCCCTCTTGGGCAGCTCATGAAGTGTATGTCTGCCTTCTTTTGTCTCCTTACGAGTGATAGATACTGAATTCATGGACTACCTCCTATTCTTAGACATCCAACAAAATCATTGTAGGAAACAATGTGTGTTTGAAAACTACTGTCAAAAGACTTGCTAAGTGTATGGAGAATTCTAGGGAGGGCAGAGGCAGTCTGCCAAGTTGATCCAAAGGCTGGTCCCATCAGATGCTGTAACAAGCTCGTTAGTCCTGGAATCATGATTATCTTAATTTCATTGGCCCCCTAGTAAGGACATGACTAAGCATTTAATCACCAAGGGTTGATCAGAGAGAAATGAATCTGTGCTCCTGCTTTAGAACTCTGAAAGAAGGTGGAATCTTCAGTTCACTTTCTCTTCTGCCCAATCTAGAGTAAGCGTGGCATGCTTCCTGGGAGAGAACCCGAGCTAGACTCCAGTTACTTCCTGCTGCATCAAACCTGGTTACTCAAAGTGAGCCTGGTTGATTGGCAGCATCAGTACTACTTGAGAGCTTGTTAAAATGCAGATTATCAGGTTCTATCACCTGTGGGGGTCTTTTGTGTTGTGTGTTCCAATACAACTTATTTATTTATTTATTTTTGAGGCAAGGTCTTGCTCTGATGCCCAGGTTGAAGTGCAGTAGCACTATCTCTGCTCACTGCAATCTCCACCTCCCAGGCTCAAGCAGTCCTCTTGCCTCAGCCTCCCAAGTAGCTGGGACTACAGGGGCATGCCACTGTGTCTGGCCCTTTTTTTTTGTATTTTTCATAGAGACTAGTTTTCGCCTTGTTACTCAGGCTGGTTTGTAACTCCTGAACTCAAGAGATCTGCCCACCTTGGCTTCCCAAAGTGTCGGGATTACGAGTCTGAGCTACCGCACTCGGCCCTAATAAAATTTTATTTACAAAAATAGGCTGCTAGTTCATGGGCTGTAGTTCAGTGGCCCATGGCACAGATTGGGCAGTACCAGTTTTGGCTACCCATTTGTGTCTTGTGTCTAGAGACACTATGTTCTATTAACCATTATTTGTTTCCTTTTTTTTTTCAAATTTATTATTTTTTTAATTCTACTTTAAGTTTTAGGGTACATGTGCACAACGTACAGGTTTGTTACATATGTATACATGTGCCATGTTGGTGTGCTGCATCCATTAACTTGTCATTTACATTAGATATATCTCCTAATGCTATCCCTCCCCCGTCCCCCCACCCCACAACAGGCCCCGGTGTGTGATGTTCCCCTTCCTGTGTCCATGTGTTGTCACTGTTCAATTCCAACCTATGAGTGAGAACATGCAGTGTTTGGTTTTTTGTCCTTGGGATAGTTTGCTGAGAATGATGGTTTCCAGCTTCATCCATGTCCCTACAAAGGACATGAACTCATCATTTTTTATGGCTGCATGGTATTCCATGGTGTATATGTGCCACATTTTCTTAATCCAGTCTATCATTGTTGGACATTTAGGTTGGTTCCAATGTTATGCCATATACATAACAGTTGCTCAAAAACATTTATTAACTTCAAATTTAATAAATATTTTTGAGCAACTGTTGTGTATATGGCATAACATACTCCATGCTACCTTTGATTCCTTCTTCACCCTCCAACATTCTCCCTTCTCTTCTCTTCTCTGCACTACTTCCTCTCTTTTCTCATTTGCTCTCATCCTCTATTTATTATTCCTTGGTTTCTTTTATTTTAGATTTAGGGGGTATATGTGCAAGTTTGTTACATGGGTATACTGTATGATGCTGAGGTTTGGGGTACAATTGATCTTGTCACCCAGATAGTGAGGATAGTACCCAATAGTTAGCTTTTCAACCTTTGCACCCCTTCCTTCCACTCCCCTTTAGTAGTCCTGTGTCTATTGTAGCTATCTTTACTTCCATGAGTACCCAATGTTTAGGTCTCACTTCTAAGAGAGAATATGTGGTATTTGGTTTCCTGTTCCATGTTAATTTGCTTAGGACAATGGCTTCTAGCCACATCCATGTTCCTGCAGAGGACATGATTTCCTTATTTTTTATGGCTGCCTACTATTCCTATCACCTGTATTTCAACACACTCTGCAGGTGGTTCTTATGCCTGCTTCAGTTTGAGAAGCGCTGCTACATAATATGTAAATGGTTTATCTGGGAAAGGTGGCATGATCAGTTGTGAATGCTTTTTCCTGATCATATTTTATATTTATTCATTATGATCCTTAATAAATATTTTAATCTTTGAATGTTTTAATAATTTAAACATCTTTTAAAAAGTTGTTTTCCATTATAAATTAATTTTCCATTATAAATTAATACATGCTATGAGAGCTTCAGAAAACACAGAAAAGTGAAAAGTAAAAAGCAATTTACCCCTCTAGTATATTTATTGATAAGATTTGAAAAGTATGTATATTTTTTCCTATCTTTTCTGTGTATAATTTTTTAAAACTTTGTTTTTTTTTTCTGATTGTAGGCATTATATATTATCCTCATAGGGCTATAAAGTGATACTATATAGTCTTTGCTTTTTTCCTTTGGTTTAAGGGAATGCTCTTAGATAATCTTTGTCTTAAAAGAAAATTTTTTCTCTAATTTTTATTTAAATTTTATATAATTTAGGAAGATTCCTGGTATAATCATTAATGTCTCAAATAGTTATTTTACAGTCCAAATGGAGAATTTATTATCTTCTTAGTGCAACAGAAAAATTTAATTTACTACTCACTGGTAGCATGTATTCTGTATTATATGTGAATCTTCTTTGACCAAAACTTTCTAGAGGGTAGAAAAGCTTTTGCTTTGGAAGAATGCGTGACCACCCTCCTCTCAAACTGGCCTGATAGGAGGGGAGAGGGAGGGAATGATCTCAACAGAAAGTCCTGTTTTTCTAAGGTGAGTGGGGAACACCTCACCACTGTGAAGATGGAGGTTTTTGTTTTTCGGGCTTCTTTATTGAGACTGGAAAAGTCTTTGCCCAAATCTCTGCTTTTTTAGGCAGTTTGAGAAGAAATCAGCATGTAATTTTTAACCTTTGTAGAATAACTGGCTTCTGTGTTTGAGGTAGGGCAGGAGAAGTCTGGCCATGATTTTTCCTGTAGCCACTTTACCATGCTTTGTTTTGGAATACATCATTGCCCTCAATAATGCAGAATGTATTATGTTAAATGAAAAACTTGGTGCATTTCTTATGTCCACGAGTTAGACTCTTTCTCCAAGTCTAGTTGTTCCAAGAGTAATTGATACAACTTACCATTGAGAGGAACACAGTTCAGAAACTAAAGTAGCAAACAAGTATTTCTGAATTTTCAAGCTTCATTTGCATCTTTCAGAGAACATTAGTAACACTTTCTTTTTGAGTTAATATTTTATTGTCACGCAGATGGCAGTTGGGTATATAGTCTCCATACTTTATACTTTTTATAAATAAAAAATTACAAATTTTAAATAGCCAATGGTTGGTTATGTTTTCAGAAAACATGATTAGACTAATTCATTAGTGGTGGCTTCAAGATTTTCCTTATTATTATAGCTCCAGAAAATTCACCTACCTTTTGTCCCTTCTTAAAAAACTAGGTTGGCATGCATTTGACTTCACACTCTGAAGCAACATCCTGACAGTCATCCACATCTACTTCAAGGGATATCATGTTAGAATACTTTTCAGAGAGGGAATGAAACAAAGGCTCGATCATTTTGCAAGGCCCACATCATGTGCCTGAGAAGTCAACTACTCCAGGTTTATCGCCTGCAGCCTCCAAGGCTTCCTGAAAAGCAAACTTCTGCTCAATTTGCTTCACCATTTTGGCTGATGGGGTCTTCTAAGAAACATTTCTAAAAATTATCTCGTCCGTCTCTTGTTCCACACTGTTCCAGATCACTTCTTAAAACTCATTTTTACTTCCCTGTCCATACCTTTCTGAAGTTTCAACTGCTTTCCCCCAACCCCCACCCCGAAGTTCTTTATTATGTAGACTTTTTTTTTTTTTTCAGTTTTGGTATAACTTGCAATCAAGGAGAGCCAGAAAAGTGACTCAGCCACAGGAATTTGTCCATTTTGTGGGTGGGCTGGTGGGGGTGGCCTTGGGAGAACTTGATGGAGGCAGAATTATGACTAGTCATTAATAATCATAACTTTTTTTTACATTTTTAGTTTTTCTTATCATTACACAAAATATCCATGTAACATAATAACTAGTTTTTGTTACACAGGACATGCCTTGTAGTTGTGCTTTTTGCCTTGGCGACATAGACTGTGTATACCTAAGAACAGCAGAGTGACTGCGGTGGAATTGTTTATGAATGTTTCGTAATGGAAAACTGTTTCTGTGATAAATGAAACTGGGTTGGTTAGGATTGAATAGAATTGGAAGATAGCAGATCTTAAGGTACCACCCCAAACCCTGCTGTGTCACAGATTTTGGCTGATAGCATCTTATTTATGTTGAGAAGCTGGTTGGGCAGGAAGGATGTGTGGTCTGGATACTGCATGAGCCAGCTTGGCATTTAAATTTGCCAAAGACTTTGAAGCATTGCCACATTAAAAAAAAGTCCCTGTGGTAAATTTCAACATTCCTGTCTCCTATAACTCTGCATGTTATTATTTTTAGCCAGCATGACATCTTTCCACAGCATCACCGAGTGCCCAGTTGTCCATAGTGCTGAGCAGTGTCCACTACTCAGTGTGAGGCCTGGTTCCAGTCCTGCAGAAGCTTACACTCAAAGCCATGAACAGTTTTCTTTTTATTAATAGAAGCTTAAGAGCTTTCCCCAGACAAATATGTTGGCTAGCTGTACAACTTTTTTTTTTTTTTTAATTGCAGAGATGGGTGGTGTGTGTGTGTGTACGTGTGTGTGTATGTGAATCATTTTCTTGAAATACATAAATTCTTAGAAAAATAATGGCTGGAGAGTTGTGAGTAAATGAAAATTTGGTAAACAGGTGGCTTTTCTGTGATGAATAAAAATGCATATGTTTTGGAAGCAAGGCACTATAGGTTCTTGCTCCCTGCTTCTCTTGGGGCGTATTCCTTCCATGTCTCCCAGTGAGCACCAGGCTTCACCACACTGGCCTCCTTAATGTTCCCTAACACGCCAGCCATGCTCTGCCACAGGACGTTGGCATTTCAATTTTCTCCCCCTGCAAGACTCTTCCCCGCTAACCTAGAAGGCTGGCTTTCTCACTTTCTTCAAATAGTGGCTTCTCCCTGAGGATGTTTTTGGTTACCCATCTACAAGTTTATTCCTTCTGCTGGGGCTTTGGGATTTCATATTCTGCTTCTTAATTTTTCTTCTCTTTAGCGCTTATTAATATCTAACACACTATAAAATTTTAACCTCTTTATTTTATTGATCTCCTTCCCCCCTCATATAACCTTCCTAAGACTATGGTAATTGTATTTTCGATGGTATTCCCAGTGCCTGGAAGAGTGCCTGGATCATCATAAGTGCTCAATAAATAATGGCTGAATGGAAGGAGGGAAGGAAGAAAGGTTGTGAATGACTCTTGTTGGCTTCTAGTCATCATAACTGACCTTCTCCATAATTAGACAACCCATTGTAAGCTAGCAATCAGCTTATTCACTGTATAGAACAGCCTGTGATTTTTGAGGTCAATTTTGAGGTGTTCTGGCAGGCTTCTTGGTTGGTAATCATAGGAAGTAAACTCTCATTAGTATCTGGTGTATAGAGGCATGTTCTGTGAAACCAGTAAACACCTCTCTCTCTACATGATTCTACTATTTCATACATTTCCAAGAAGTCAACAGGTAGTAACAGATGCAGCCTGATTGATTTCTGGAAGGGAAATGACAGAGCATATTCGCCGTGGGATAGGTAAATGGAATCCTTGGCACTGAGATTCCATTATCTTTTGTCTACCGATAAAAGGTGTATGATTTACTTATCATTTAGTTCCACACCCGGCATTAGTAGGACTGATAGGTGAGGGGCTAGGAGGAGAGGGACTCCTGCGTGGCTTTGTAAATAGCGATAAAGCAGTGGGAATGTAAAACGCGGCTTGGCAGGGTCTGCCTGGGATTTTGCTGAGTCCATAGCAATACTTAATTAACTGTGCAAACATTCTATTCAAGATAAGACTATAACAGTTGCCTTGGGGAAAATTCTTTTAGTCAATATTTGTTTGATCTTTTGTATAGTATTTTGGCTTTGCTGTTCATGCTATAGCAAAGCTCCTGTTACAAATGCCGTTTTCAGGGATTTGCTGTATTTGCATACCAGGTCAGTCCTGGGAGAGGTAAAGGATGGGAATCACTGTTTAAATAGAGGTTCCAAGGGCTTTCAAACAAATCTTTGAAAGTTGAAATACTTTGTATCAATCGGTTGTCAAATAATTATTAAAAACCTGGATTAAGTACTCTGGGAAATCTCAAAATCTAGGATAAGATCTTTGCCTTCAGTTTGCTTATACTCTAGCTATAGAAATAGGACTCGAATCAGTAGATATAATAGAAGATGCATACACTAAATAATAACAATGGCTGTGATTTCCTAGACACTTAACAAGGACTGAGCACTGTCCTAGTACTTTTCTAAGCATGAATTAACTCATTTAAATCCCCTAGTAGTCCAACGAGGCAGGCGCTTTTGGTTAGTGTGAAGTTTTGTACAGAATAAACAATGTCATTTGGAGAAAGAGAAGACCAGGGAATCAAAGAGCCACGAAGGAAAACTTCAAGGACAAGGTCTCTCAGTCCAGATTTTAAAGATTGGGAGGCAAATGGCTTGCAATGGGAAGAAGAAAAAGGGCATAATGGCATTGGTTGTTTTGCTGGTAACATTCCTTTTCTCTCTTGAAAGTTGTTTTACCCCCCTTTTTTTTTGAGACAGAGTCTTGCTTTGTCACCCAAGCTGGACTACAGTGGCGCAATCTCATTTCACTACAACCTCTGCCTCCCAGGTTCACATGAGTCTCCTGCCTCAGCCTCCTGAGTAGTTGGGATTACAGGCACACACCACTACACCTGGCTAATTTTTGTATTTTTGGTAGAGACAGAGTTTTGCCATGTTGGCCGGGCTGGTCTTGAACTCCTGATCTCAAGTGATCTGCCCTCCTCAGTCTCCCTATGTTTTACCATTTCTTGACTTTCAGCACATGTGCCTCTGGTGAAGAGGATAATAAACAAACACATAAGTAAACATACAGGATGTCAATGTAATAAATGCTATGAAGGATAACACAGGAATGGGAGAATGCTAGGGTGGTTATTTTATTTTAGTTTAGTTTCTTGACTTTCAGCACATGTGCCTCTGGTGAAGAGGATAATAAACAAACACGTAAGTAAACATACAGGATGTCAATGTAATAAATGCTATGAAGGATAACACAGGAAAGGGAGAATGCTAGGGTGGTTATTTTTATTTTATTTTATTTTATTTTATTTTATTTTATTTTATTTTATTTTATTTCATTTTATTTTATTTTTTTGAGACACAGTTTCACTCTGTTGCCCAGGCTGGAGTGCAGTGGCATGATTTCAGCTCACTGCAGCCTCTGCCTCCAAGGTTTAAGCGATTCTTGTGCCTCAGCCTCCCCGGTAGCTGGGATTACAGGTGAGTGCCACCATGCCTGGCTAATTTTTGTGTTTTTAGTAGAGATGGGGTTTCACCATGTTGGCCAGGCTGGTCTCGAACTCCTGACCTCAAGTGATCTGCCCAGCTTGGTCTCCCAAAGGGCTAGGATTACAGGTTTGAGGCACCATGCCTGGCCTGGATTTGCAATTTTAAATAGGGTGGTCAGGAAAGCCTGAGACATTTGAGTGAAGATGGAAGGAGGAGAGAGAAAATGCTTTGAAGGTACTTATGGGGAGAGATTTCTAGGCAGAGGGAACAGCAAGTGCAAAGGCCCTGGGATGGGAACTTAACCTCATTTATTAAAGGAACACCAAGGAGGCCAGAATGGCTGGAGAATAGTGAGCAGGGGGAATGGTAAGAGGTGATGTCTTCATGGGTAATGCATGCCCAGTCACTGCTGGGTTTAATGATGATGATAATGGTGAGGTAGGCAGAGCTGTTTAGAGTTTTTTGAGTAGAATGGCAGGCTGGCAGCTGTCACTGCTTTCTGCAACCCTGTGCAGTTGTAGCTTCTCTTGCTTTTCACTAGCAGGCCCAGCCCAGTATATCTCTTGGTCTCTGACCCATTGCTGATGTGGGCAGAGGCACCCTGACAGCTTCACACCCATTAGCTGGCAGGTAGAAAACCAGCTGAAGCCCTGAGTGAGAGAAGGCATGTGCCCTGAATGACACCCTTGTTTCCACCCTCATGGTGTTTTCTTGGTCCGTGTTTCTGAGTTTCTTCTTTGATTTCCTGCTGTTACTGATATGCCAGCTGGGTCCTGGGATCTGCCTTGTTCTTGCTGTCTTCCTGTCCAAGCCCACTGCCGTGATGCTGGGAAGCAATGTTGGTTCTGGTCTGTGTCCTGCAGCTGTTTGGGGCTCTGTGCTGAGTAGAGCATTAGGAAGATCCGTTGTGCTGCTGAGGCCCCCTTTTCTTCCACTCGGTGCTTTTGCTTATCCTCCTACCACTGCTGTGTCTCCTTGGATGACAGACTTGGGGACCCAAGTGGGCATGGGTGCCTGCACTTCTATAGGTACCTGCTGGACCATCGCCAAAACTCTGCAGGCAGGGTGATGCACTCAGATTCTCTCCAGCCTGGATTTGCCTGTCTCTGATCCTTTCCCTTTAGCCCATGTTGCTGATCCTCTGAGTTACAAGCAGAAGCTCAATGAGAGAGGGAGAGGACAGCAACCTCGGGTGAGGGCGTGGAGACCCAGACCAGGGTGACGGCTGTACGAAAGGAGAAGGAGGACAGAAGTGATGGGTCTGGGGAAGGAAGCCTCAACAGACCGTGCTCCATTGGCTTATGGAGACTCAATAGAAAATCAGAGCCCATACAAGCATCTAAGGATCAATATTAATCCAGAAGTTGCAAATGCAACGAGTGCTTTCAGAGGATCTTATAGCCAAGACATGGCCAAGTTACGTAAAGAAGGTGTCTGCTGTGGAGCCCTGTGAATGTCCAGCTGGGGTGGGTCAATGTGGGTTCAGGTCAGAGGCTCAAGTGAATGTTTACTCAAAGGGTCGACCACAGGGCCACTTTTGTGATGGCACACGTGCACACACATGCATACACGCATGCATGCACACACACACACACACACACGCACATGTGCTCTCTCACTTATTCTCTCCTTTTGTTTTTGATTTTAGTTGCAGTTACTTCTAGATAGATCTAAAACATCAACTTTAATGCCATTAATAGGAATAATTATAGCACATATCAGCCTGATTCTCCAACCTACAGAGCAGAGGTTGAGTTAGTGATAGGATGATAGGTGATAGGAAGTTCTCTGAGGTTTTCTCCCTGCTTCCAGCAACACGAACCTGACTTCTAAGGGCACGCACAAAGGCTTTTGGCAATCAACTGTGAATCAAGGTGTGCTGATGGGCCCTTCCAGCCTCAGAGAAGAGTAATTGGGGTGAAAAAATGTTATTATAATAAAACTATAATATTGCTGTGATTCTAGAAGGTAGCTAAATGAAGGGAGGTTCCCTCTTTGAAGAAAAATGTGAACTAAGTGGTTTCTCTGGGCCTACCACTTACTTTCCTGGGAAAAGGATTAATTTGAGTTAACATTTATTGAGCTTCCAGAATATCCTATGAAATGCTTTAAAAGTTTAAAATACAATTTTTTTTCTGAATCGGTAATTGACTCATATGCTTCAACATTTAAAGGCAACAAAAGAATGTACAGTGAGAATCCCCCACCCCATTTTTCCTCCTCCAGGCAGCTAGTTTTTTTCTGCAAGGCAACCCATATTAGCAGTGTCATATATATTTTGTTAATATACAATATAGTGTGCTCAGTCAGTGTTAATAATCTTAAAGAAAACAAAATGCCTTTTCTCTTTTTAAGGACTTCGTATTTCATAAAACATGGTGAGCCAATCAGTCATATGGAGCTGTATTTTAGAAACTTTTATTATAAATCCAGTGAGTATATAATTCCTAGATGCTCCATTAACTTTATGCTTTTGATTTTTAAATTCAGAAATCTTCCTTCTCCTCTATTTCCCTCCCATTTTATAAACTGTTCTCAAATCTTTGGCACTCACTGTTGCTTCCTTATGGGGCAGTGCCAGCGCTGATTGGATAAGTAGTAAACAAATATTATAGTAATAGAAAAATGTAGACACAGACAATCAAGTGTAGATTGACTGTTTCTATTTAGATGGGTCTATATGTTTATGGCTGTGGTTTGACGTGGTGTTTTGCAGTGTGTATATTTTACTGAACACATTTCTGGCCAATTTAGACTTAATGTGTATGTTTGCATTAAATCTGTTCATGTGATGAAGTTAAATAGTTCATAAGATACTGAGACAAACAGCAACCAACAAATCATGCTTTTAAACTCTTTAAAAGTTGTCAAACTTCTCTTGGAGAAAAGAAAAAAGAAAACTCATTTATTTTTTGTAAGTGAAGGAATAGAGGGCAGAAGTTAGAAGAACCTATAACTAATGTGCATAGTTTGACTATGACCTGGGTTTGACTCCAGGTTTGTGGAAAATCTTAACAAAAAGAAAAGTATAAAGTTGGTCATATGACAATCCTAGTTTTGTTTTTCTGTGGTAGATGCCTAATAAATGCTTCTGATCACTAAATGTCATATATTCTGAAAAGTAGGTAAGATAAACAGATATGTAATCCATATAATTTTAAAAACAATGTTAGCAGAATACTTTTCTGCTTGTGTTCGGCAGTGTTGGTGGATGAGTAAAAACATGCCGAGACAAAAGCAAAGACAAAAAGCCTCAGAAACTATGGCCAGTGCTACGGCTGATGAGGCAGGAGGCTGACGGAGTTTGAGGCCAATCTAGGAGAGAGGGAGGATCCAGAGGAGCGGGAGAATGGGTTTTGAGTTTAGGAACGTGAACTGTCAGGATTTAACACTGGAGTAATCCAGAGGCGCGGGAGAATGGGTTTTGAATATCGGAAAGTGAAACGTCAGGATTTAACACTGGAGTAACTTAATAGCTACCAGAGTAGCACTAGAGTAACTTACTAGCTTTCCTGCAGCCTGGGGAGGTGAGGGCTTTCTCTCCTGGCATGCCTTATATAGCAGCCTGGACAGACTAGATTAACTTTGCAAATATGATCCCTTTGTATTTGGAAACCTTATTTTTATACATTTTGATTTTCTTCTTAAAGAGAATGCAGCATATAATAAGAAGTGATAACTATAGTTTAAAATAATTTACCCAGGACTCTGAGAGAACAGCTCTTGGAAGTGTTAGTTTTCAGCCTAACTCTAGAAATCTATTTCCAAGGGAATGGTTGACACACAGAAAAAGATTTGTCATAAGATGTTCTGTAATTCATAATAAAGAAAAACTGAAAGTGAGTTATTTGTCTAACAAGAAGGGAATGGATAAGGAAATGGTAGTACTATGTCCATTTTATCAGTAAAATAATATTTAGGGTATGTTTTCAGTTAGGTATGAGGCACAGTAAAATTCTGTGAAAAAAAGACAAGAAGAGAATGTTAATGCTGGTTGTGTATATGTGATGAAATTTTAAAAAAACTGTTCTGGATCTAATATATGGGCTATAATGTGGATATATTACCTTAAAAGGTAGAGGGAAAAAATCATCACTAAAAAAGACCAAGAGTTGAAAGTGGATGGAAAACTTGGTTGCCTTCATTCAGTGGAGGTTGTTATGAATGTTTTAAACCTCAGCTGTTCAGGCATTTTTGTAAATTCCTTGGCTGTGTAGTGCCAAGGTTAAGATGTGCTGGGGTTAGAGTTGGTTCTGTGGGGAGGAGGAGGAAACTCTTAGTAGGGAGAAGTGAAAACATTCCTAACCCAGTAGGTGCAGGGTTTGTAGCCCCGCAGCCCCACATGCACTCCTGGTATTTGTAATTTGCAGTGATGACAAACTGTGCCTCTGGCCATAGCCGAACTGCTGTCTGTTAGAATGCATGGCCATGGACGACTTGGTGACCAGTGGCCTGTAAAATGCCACAGAACGCCCTGGCAGCTAATTTTTAATTCCCAGGAAGTTGCTTGCAACTTTGCAAAGATAAGGCAAAAGATCAGACTGGGGACATGCCCAGAGCACAGGCAGCCCCCAGTCAGGTCTTTGTAGAAAGCTCTGGAGAGCAGTGAAACTTACTCGCTTTCCTGCAGCCTGGGGAAGTGAGTGCTTTGTTTTCTGGCATACCTTAAATAACTGCCTGGACATGATTGATTAACTCTGCAAATATGATCCCTTTGCATTTGAAAACCTTATTTTTATACATTTTGATTTTTGTTTTTCTTAAAGACAATGTGGCATGTAATAAGTGATAACTATAACTATGGTTTAATTTCTTTTTGTAATTTCCACAGGACTCTGCTGGAGCAGGACTTCAGAGTGTTTGTTTTCAGCCTGCTTTTAAAGTGATTTGAAGAGAGTGGCTTTGAAGGTTTCCATCCTTACTTTTTCATGTATAGTATCTTGTTCTTTAAAATTAGTGAGCTGGGCACATCCACATAAACACATACAGTTATAATTGCCCCAATTTTAAGCTCACTTTTGCCACAGTGAAAACTCAACACCATTAGCACAGTGAGCCAGCTCTGATTCTCTGAAGTGCTGGGCATCTTTTTAATGGACAAATTGCAAATTTACTAATGTAAAAACTGAAGTTAATCACACTGGCATCTATTCTTCCAATTTGTCATTTGGCTGAAAGTGATCTGATGTCATTCAGAAAGAAAGTGAGTTGGAATGGCATCAAGTCCTGATGGTGTAGCTTTGGGCTGAAGCTGAGTTTTCCTCCATGAAGCAACTGCTGCTGTTTCCTGGAGGGCAGACTTTGTTAACGTGTCTGTGTCTGAATTGCTCAGAATCTTAGGATTCACTTGAGGAATGTGACAGTCAACACTGTTAATTCACCTGGTAGGCTGAGGATGTCAGGTCACAGTGCCACACTGTCAGGCCAGGGGTCACAGTGCCACATTGTCAGCCCAGGGGAGGGTTCCTGAATGACTGAGGGAATCCCATTTGTAGCAGCAGAAGAAACGCCGCCATCACCTTGCACCCTTGCCTCCCTTGAGAAGGCACCATGACCTCTGCACAGAGGCCTGAACATTTCCTGCTATAATGGGGTCTTTATTTGTGTTTGCTTTTGCTTCCCTTCCCATTCATGAAATGTTCTGTACATATAACATCTGAGTATTTTGGAGAGCATAATCTCTTCCTGTAAACCAGTGGCTTAAAACCTGGGGTTGCCAGCCAGTATAATGAATACAGTCTCTGAAGTTACCTGGTCCTTTGGGGGTTAAATCAGTGACCTTGGTTTTCTCAAGCTATAACTTTGTCTCCTTCCATGGTTGCCACATAACACAAGGGGAAACACTCTTCCAATACAGTGTACCTAAGAGGAACTCATTTCAAAGATAGCTATGGAGGTCTGTCTCGTTTTAAAATTTGAAAGAACAAATAGAAATTTCTAAGATTATTGTCACTGAATTTTCACTTTTATGAGACTGACTTTCTCCCTACTGTGCTTATGAGGCACCTAATTTCTACCTTAAAAGACCAACCTATACAGCCAGCATGGTGGCTCATGCCTGTAGTCCCAGCAGCTTCAGAAGCTGAGATGGGAGGATTGCTCAAGCCCTGGAGTTCGAGAGCAGCCTGAGCAACATAGCAAGACCCCCATCTCTAAAACATTTATAAAAATTAGCAGGGTGTGGTAGCTTGTGTCTGTAGTCCCATCTACTCGGGAGGCTGAGGCAGAGGATCACTTGAGCCCAGGGGTTTGAGGATGCAGTGAGCTATGATCATGCCACTGCACTCCAGCCTGGGGCAACAGAGTGAGATCCTGTCTTTTTTTTTTTTTTAAATGCTTATTTAAAATGCCATTACTTACTTAGTAAAATGCCATTTCTATTCAAATTAAAAAAAAAAAAAAGACCAGCAAATATTACCATGGTGTGAATTACCTCTGAAGTCTAGTTTGTGAGCTCAACTCTAAGCTCTGTGAGGGCGGGGCTGGTGTCTGTTTTGTTCTCCAAGGGTCTAACTTTGGACTGGTATCCAGCTTATGGCAGGTACTTAGTTAATGTCTCTCAAATGAGAGCATTTCTGTTTCATAAAATGTAACTCTAGCTGTACTGTTCTGGCTAATACTAAATCGAATCTAGATGTTACTATGTTTAATGTAATTTGGACTTCTGCCATACCTGATCCATAATAACCAGAGATCAATTCATAAAATCCTAACATAAAATCTAACATTGATCACTTTTAGAGGTTCCTTTTTATTTTCTGTGGCTGCATTTGAAATGGACACTGTCGTGCAAGGTTTTTGCTGGACTGCTGTTTTTGGAAGACAGTGTAGATTAATTCTATATTAAAGTTCAGAAGTGATTCCGAACTACCAGCCACCCTTGAAGTCTCATTACTTATTAAAATGCCATTTCTATTCGTATTCTCTTTTTTTTCTTGCCTCATTTTCAGTAACTACATTCTTTTTAGCAGATTCAGGCGTTTGAAGAATAATTCATTCTCGCAGTGGGAATTACAAGTCTATGGGGGAAGGTGTGCTGGTGTTGGCTTAGATTTCTAGGGTTAGAAGGCATCTTCCGGGATGTGCTTTAGCCCCCAGAGTTCCCTTTAGACAGGAGCATCTTAAACCAACCCACCCAGAGGGGTTAGCAGACCTCCGGAAAAGGGGATTTTGTCATTTCTTTCATTCTCGCAACCTTTTGTAACAAAATTTATCTCATTCCTGAATTCTAAACTGGGTGGCTTTGTGATCTAAGGCAATCTGCTTTATTTATCTGCACTTCTTTCCCGATTTCTGAGATAAGGATAGCACCGCTTTGTTTACCAACATTGCCAAAGGGGACTATGTAAGTATATTTTTGTTAAGAGTTGCCATAACAGAGTAACAAACTGGTGGCTTAAGCAACAGAAATTTATCATCTCACTGTTCTGGATGCTAGACTGAAATCAAGGTGATGGCAAGGCTGGGCTCGCTTGAAGGCACTAAGGAAGGAACTGTTCCAGGCCTCTCTCCTGGCTTCTGGTACTTCCTATGCTTGTGGCCGCATAACTTTATAACTTGTGGTGTTCTCCCTGTGTGTGTGTCTGTGTCTGAATTTACCCTTCTGTGAGGCCACCAGTCGTGTTGGATCAGTGCCCATCCTACTCCAGTATGACCTCATTTAACTAATTACATCTGCAATGGACCTGTTTCCAAATTCTGATGAGGTACTGAGGGTTACAACTATAACATGTACATTTTGTGGGGGGAGCACAATTTAATCTATAACAGTAGGCAAGAAGGTCACATAGAATTGGGAGGTCTGATGTAGCAGGCTGTTCTATTTCTCTCAAGTTCTCTATTCTTTCTCACTTTTAAGAATCCAGTATATTAGCTGGGGGTGGTGGCTCACGCCTGTAATCCCAGCACTTTGGGAGGCCAAGGTGGGCGGATCACCTGAGGTCAGGAGTTTGAGACCAGCCTGGACAACATGGTGAAACCCCGACTCTACTAAAAGTACAAAAATCAGCCAGGTGTGGTGGCGTGCACCTGTAGTACCAGCTACTAGGGAGACTGAGACAGGAGAATGGCTTGAACCTGGGAGGTGGAGGTTGCAGTGAGCCAAGATCGTGCCACTGCACTCCAGCCTGGGTAACAGAGCAAGACTCTATCTCAAAAAAAAAAAAAAAAAAAAAAAAAACCACACAAAAAAATTCAGTATATTAGGCAATGCCAACCTAGGACACAGATTTGTTGTCTGACTGGGATCCTGTTTATAAAGAGTAGATGGGAGTTAACTTATATGAAGTCAGTTTAAGTCATGATGTCCTTGCATAGGACGTTTGTAACCTCTAGGTCCTTTCCTGAATTTAGTTGCTACTGTGGAAAGGTGACTGGATCTGGGCCTGGTGCTGTAAACAGATGCAGACAGTTGGCTCTGTCAGAGGACTGCTGGGCCTTGTTTGTTTACTGACTTCTTGAGATCTCAGATAGAAGACATAATAGAAGATCAAAGGCCTTTGTAATTACTTCCCCTAGTAATTGTTGCTAATGCCTGCAGGGTTATTTGTAAGGCTGTGGCAGGGGCTGTGTCTAATTTCACTTTACATACAGACTAGATGTTGGTTCCCAATTGCCTTGAGCTCTTCACTTTCTTTAAGTTGATGATTTTAGGTAATACCACCATTTCTGAGGTTGTTTCAGAAACAGAAGTCAGAGTTCTCTTGGTGTAGGGATATTAAATTGTTTTCATATTTTGAATTAAACTTTTATTGAAGTATAGATCTGGAAATTTAATCTAGATATTACTGATATTTAATGTAAAGCTCGTTGGCTGAGCCTGCTTGGGTACAGCCAAAATTCAGGCCTCCCTTACAACCCCATTGCCTGTAGGAAACAAGGAACTCAGTGTGTGGAACAGCTTTCTGTGTATAGATAGAGGCATACAGTTTAATGAGTTCTCACACAGAACGTATCTGGATCAAGAAACAGAACCTGACCAGCAAGCCTCTCTGTCATGCCCTTCCTGATCCCTACACCCTCCTCACTATTCTGAAGTCTATCAGCATCAAGTTTTTTTGTTTGATTTGGATTTTATGTACACATTTTAAAACACATTTAATTTTTTTTAGCTAAAAAATTAAATAAATATCATATAGCCCTAGAGTATGTACTTTTTAGTGTCTGACTTCTTTAGGTCAACATTATATGAGGCTTCACCCATGTTGTTGCCTATAGTGAGAGTTCATTTATCCCAATGGTTGTATGGTATTCCAGTGAAGACTTCCTGTTTGAGTAATGCAAAATCCTGTCTTCTATGTAGGTATTGTGTAGTGAAGTACTGGAGTCACTTTCCACATGGTTTCCCACACTTCTTTTTTACACATGTTCATGTTGCTGCTCTCACAGATTCAAATGCCTAACTTCCTCGATGTTTGCAGGTTTCCCCACCCCACTTTATTCTCTCCCCATGGGATATTTGAAGCTTATTTTCTCCCCCTTAATATCTGTCTGCTGTAACTCTGAGCAGGGAAACATCTGGTTAAGTCTTTTGAACTTTCTGACATTAATGTGAAAAGAGAGATATGAGCACTGGCAAAATGGCCGATTAGGGAGGCCCTGGGAGGAACAGCTGGATTAGGTCATAGATCTTCACCTCTCCTGCTTTCACTGCCATGATAGACAAAACCTACGTCAGGAAGCAAGCTGTGATTTTGACTGTGATATATTCTTTCTCATGATAAATGATTATAGATGCCTAGACATGCAAGAATTTGAAAGGGGCTTGCATTAATGGTTTTTAGGAGAGAAATAGAGAAGTTCTTCCCACCCCCAGTACCAATTCCTGCTTTTTCTAGCAAAGATGACTTAGCATTCTGAATGTAAATTTTATTGCAATTTTTTTTGCCTTTGCCGACAGTGTTTTCCATTCAGTACTTGATAGTATTACTTAGTGATACTATGGTAAAGATTAACCCCATCTGGAAATCCATGAATTACGGTAAATGTGAGGCACTTAGAATGGTGTCTGGCATGTAATGAGTACTGAAGAACTGTGGTTGGCACTGTTATTATTTGAAATCATTTGGGGCTCCTCTTGTGGCAGTGGAGGGCCCAGGCTGGGTGGACTTCCATTGTGTGGTTAATAATCACGATGTAGTAAGGCAGCTGGAAAAGCTTGTCAGCGGAACCTGACTGGGTACAGCCATAATTCAGGCCTCCCTTTCTACCCCATTGCCTGTAGGAAATAAGGAATTCAGGGTGTGGAACAGCTTTCTCACTGACTCCCTGGCTGCACCTGGGTGTGCCTCTGGACAGGAAACCTGATGCCAGCATGGAGAGCAGATGCTCCTGCTGTCAGATAATGAAGCCAACGCAAAAATCCACGTCTCCAGGCTAAAGTCTGGAGAGGCTGAATAAAGTACCCTTGAATGGGAATAAAATGTCACAGGGGGGCATACCTGCAGAGCAGTTTCTAAAAAAGGAAAGCGCTTCATGCATACCATGGCCGTGTGCTGCAGCAGCATACAGTTAGCATTTTGCTGTGTCTGCTCTTCTGTCTCGCTCTCTAAGTTTCAGACATCATAGCATTTCACCCCTAAATACTTGAGATGCATCGCCTGAGGACATTCTCCCTACATTACCATAATGCAATATTGTACCTAAGAAAGTTTACAATGATTCTGTTTCACACTTATCTAATAATATCTAGCACATTTTCGAATTTCCCTGCTTATTTGAAAACATCTTATAGCTTTTTTCCAACACTGGGATAAAATCAAGATTCATGCATTGCATTTGGTTATTCTTCTTTAAGCAGTAACAGTCTCTACACCTTCTTTTTGAACTTTTTGAAGAGTCTAGCCTAGCTGTTTTAAAGAACGCCCCACATTATGGGTTTCTTGATGGTTTCTTTGCATGTCATTTACTTGTTTCTCTATCCTTTGTATTTCCTGTAAACTGGAAGCTAGGTTTACAGGCGTGAGTAGATTCAGGTTAAACATTTTTTGCCAAAGCTACTTCATAGGTGATGCTGTGAAGTTCGTATGGCACGATGTGCTGCTGTCTCAATATTACTGATGTTGAGCTGATGACTAGTGGATCTTTCCGCTGTAGAAGTACACTTTAGGCCGGGTGCAGTGGCTCATGTCTGTAATCTCAGCAGTTTGGGAGGCCAAGGAGGGTGGATCACAAGGTCAGCAGTTCGAGACCATCCTGGCTAACACGGTGAAACCCTGTGTCTACTAAAATAAAAAAACAAAAAACAACAAAGAACAAAAACAAAACAAACAAAAAAAAACCGGGCGTAGTGGCATGCGCCTGTAGTCCCAGCTGAGGCAGGAGAATCACTTGAACCAGGAGGCAGAGGTTGCAGTGAGCCAAGATTGCACTGCTGCACTCCTGCCTGGGCGACAGAGCGAGACTCCATCTCAAAAATAAAATAAAATAAAATAAAACACTTTTAATTGCAGTTAGTAATAGTTTGTGGGGTGATATTTTGCAAAGTGCAAATATGCTGTTTCCCAACAACTTTCCAACCCTGTTTTTAAGTTTCCTTTGAGTCAATTAGCCTGTATTAGCTACTCCACTAGAGTTGCAAAATTAAGATTTTGTAATTCTTTCACTCCTTCTACCTTGAGTTACTGGCATTCCTCTGTAAAGAAGAGTTTTCCTCACTCATCCTTTTTCTGAGTATCACTATGGAGTCATGATTTTTATTTATTTAATATTTATGACAGTTACAGGCATTATTATTTTTGACACTCTACTTGTCCTTCAAATTGAGCCCCTGTGACAAACAGTGCCTTGTTTTCTGGCACCATCACATGTCCTGGGCTCATCTTACACATTTCCATCCCAGGCCTGAAATCAGTTGTTACTCCAAGAATCCCTGGGTATATTTTGTGGAGAATGCATTAAGAAACCCAGATGTAGATGCCAGGTAGGCTTGTTGCTAGCAGGAGTCATTATAGGTTTGTTCAATGGACAGAGGTAGGAAATATATTTTTAAAAAACATGAGTTCATTCATATTTTAAAATCTAAGATTTTACGAGGAATGTTCAGATTAATAAGGACATTCTGTTGACCTGTGGTGTTATGTGAGCTGTTCCTTCTGCATCTTTTCCCCTCTTAGTCCACCTTTCCCATAGACTCTTAGCCTTGTCTGCCCTTGAGTTTCTTCTGTGATTCATTTTGTCTCAAAGTTAGTTGTGGAATTCTTGGTTCTCAAAGTCAGCCTAACTGTGATTTAGTGTTAGTGACTGGGAAAGAGTAGCCACAGACAGACAAGGATACCAACTCCAGAAGAAGTACAGACTAGATCTCAAGGATATGGGAGGCAACAACAGCAAAAACAACAAAAATTGCTTACCAGTTAGTATGTGCCAGCCAGCATCTCACGCTCTCTGAGCTGTTCGTGCATTGATCCTCTTGGCCACCCTCTGACACAGGTGCTGATGTGTCATACTCCCCATACCGATGAGAAAGCTGAGCCACCGTGAGGTTGTCCATTGCCCAGTTACACATCTCAGACTTGCCAGAGCTGGGCTTGCAAACAGGCCATCTGTGTTTGCAGTCCATGGGCCTAACCCCACATGTTCGTGCCCTTCAGTATCCCCAGAGAGCATGCCTTTGTGTGGCCTGCTGTTCATCTCTTTATGTGCCAGGTCCATCTGCTACCTGTCCTTTTCACCCTGCGTTGGTGGCAATGCCCTTGCAGTAGGAACCCAAACCCAAAACTCCAAAGAAATGAAGGGAAGACTTTGGCCCCCTGCCGAGTGGGAAGGGGTGGCTTAATAGAATTGTTTATTTTTTTCCAGTTTTGACTTTTCTTTGGGGTTTCTTTTGCCTTTGAGGAAGTTGAGTTAGGTAATTGACAAGTTCTGCTTGCATAAGAGTTGAGTCCTTTAAAGTAGTTTCTTAACTGTTGGCAACAAGCTTAAAGACTGGAATGTCCCAGCAATGGGCTGTGGATGTGGAGAGTTAGTTCTCTTTAAGAATCAACATTCTTTGAGCCAGTTATAACATTGTAGAATTTAAGAAAGAATTTGGTGATGAATAAATATTGCTAAAGTGAAGAGGAGACTGAAGAATTCTTCTAGTAACTTGTATGTTAAGGTAACTTTTCTTAATAAGTTTTTGTGTGATTTGAAGCGTTATCCTTTCTCCAACTTTTCTATCACTAATATGGAAGAAGAATGATCACAGACTAGTAGGAGAGGATGGGAAGGCGCCCTTTGCTCAGAAGGCTGATCAGTGAGGACTGGGATTACCTGCAAGAAGAAGTTAGGCTATCAATGCCTCAATTACTAAAGGCAACAGGAGAAAGGTGCATTAAAAACAACTCCATCAAAATCCAGAGCATTGCCAGGCGGAAGGCTCAGCCTTTTCAATGCATGGATGCACTTTTGATGAAGTGTTTTGACCAGGATGGAATACAGCCCATTTTCTTCTTCCAAAATCAAAGGTTTCTAGAATGTACTCCCCCACTGCTGTACACATAAACACTTCCCCAATGTGCATTCATGCCAGTGTAAAACAGCCTATCAACATTTGCATACATTTCATAATAATAAAATCAAAGGAGGCTACATCTAGAAAAAAGAAAGCAGCCATCCATTCTTCCCCTGATCAGAAAGGCAAGGAGAAGAGTGGGCTGGTCTTTGGACTTGTGGATATTGGGTCTCGTTTCATAGCAGCCTTCACCTCCCCAGTCCTCATCCTGCTCTTCCAGACTGAAGAAGGGAGAAGGAGCTGCAGGAAGTTGAGCAGCCGTGGTCCCATGAGCTTCAAAGTATCACAAAGAGATAATTTTAAATCTGGTGCTACTCTCTCCTTCCTTTTGCTGAGTCTTACTCCAGGGTGTCAACTTTGAGCAAGGCTGGCCTCCCATCAGAGCCAGGACAAAGGGTAAGGGGTGATACGCTGTCCTAGGGAAGGTATTGGAAGAACAAAGACAGCTTCCCTTTTTTCTATGGGGAGGTGTATTAGTTTGCTAGAGCTGCCATGGCAAAATATCACAGACCCAGTGCCCTAAACAATAAAAATTTATTTTTTCACAATTCTGAGGCTGGGAGTCCAAGATTAAGGTGATGGCAGGGTCGGTTTCCTCTGAGGGCTGTGAGGGAGGGATCTCTTCCAGGCCTCTCTCCCAGGCTTCCACATGGCTGTCTTTTCTCTGTGTCTTCACATCAACTTCTCTCTGAAACCATCTGTGTCCAAATTTTCTTTTTGTTAAATAAGGATATCCGCCATCTTGCATTAAAGCCTACTCTAATGAGTTTGTTTTAATGTAATTACCCGTTAAAGACCCTATCTCCTCTTAATGAAGTAAGAAGGTATTTTTTTTTTTAAAAAAACCCTATCTCCAAATACAGTTATATTCTGAGGCACTTGGGTATTAGGACTTCAACATGTGAATTTTGGGGGCATACAATCAGCTCATAACAGGAGCTAAAGAAACATATCCTATTCTTTGTTTCAAATATTAAAAATCATGAATACACTTGTAACGTTACACTGTTAAAAGCAAGTTTCCTAAACAGTGCTCTGGTGTGCCACTTTCCCTTCTCCCTTCCCCTGAAGAAAAGTATCAGAAATAAGAAGAGCAATCGTAAAGTTAAGGAGTCATCTATAATAATTGAGTTTAGTGAGAAAAAAATACCTCATGCTCTCCTTTTCTTCTGCAATTTTTTAGATTTTTACGTATGTAAAGGAAGCAGTCATTAAATATTCTTTAATAGTTGTAATATGGTTGAGTTTGACGGCTCATGCCTGTAATCCCAGTGCTTTGGGAGGCTGAGGCAGGAGGATTGCTTGAACCTAGAAGTTCAAGGCTGCAGTGAGCTGTAATTATGTCGCCGCACTCTAGCCTGGGCAACAGAGTGTGACTGTCTAAAAAAAAAAATTATTCTTCTCCAACAGGCAGATTGTGTATTTGTTGTGCAAATTCTACCATATCTGAGGCACTTTGCCAGAATTTTGCCCACCTACTAACAGGTACTCACAGTTACTTGGTGCAGCTAGCAGAATCGGGACCTGGTGCACCAAGGAAATTCTATAGCCTCTCAGCCTAGCCCACCTGCATCAGAATCAAATGCAATGCTCTAAAATATGTTCATCCCTGGGCCCTATGCCGTGCATCTACTGAATCAGAGCCTATGTAAACAGAGTCCAGGAATTTGCATTTTCAACATGTGCCTCAGGAGTTTTTAGGCAAATGAAATTTGAAAATTACTGCTTTATTGGCAGGGTTTATAATTCTGGGCCACCACTAGGGGGTAACGCTCATCTCACATCTCTCTTTGCAGGTAAAGAATTTAGTGCTCTGGTTTCTGGTCCCTTTCAACTCCCATCCACATTCGGCCTTCATAAACACAGGATTCGTATCTCCTTGCTCCCTCCCCTCCAGTAACCCCCTCCTGTTGCTCCCCCCACCCAACTTTATGTCCCCTACTGTCCACTGTTGGAATTGTTATGTTCTCTGTGGGTGTCAAGTATGTCCCAAGCTTCTTCTCTGTGATGGTGAGTGGCTTCT
The DNA here is from genome assembly GCF_000001405.40 of Homo sapiens. NCBI lineage: Eukaryota > Metazoa > Chordata > Mammalia > Primates > Hominidae > Homo > Homo sapiens. The sequence goes on from NC_000002.12 coordinate 149,088,204, forward strand.
AGAACCTTCTAAGACATCTAGAAAACAGACTAACCTATAACTCTCTCAGAGGTTTTCTTTGAACTGTTTAGGATTTAGGGATGTTTTCTTAATTGCTTGTGATCTGTGTTTTCAGTGTAGGCTAGGGTACAACAATCCAGAATATAGTTAGGCTGGCAGGGGGAGGAAAACCCAAACAGATACCTTCATATCATACATGTTCTTTTGTCCAAGTGTTTTGATTTTCTAGTTTCAAAATTTAGTTATGGGAACGTGTGGCTGTCTTCTTAATTTGGTTGCTTCTTTCTTCTTTGGACCAAGGATTACCTGGAAAGTGCTGCTCTCCAGGAGCAAGTCCCAGCCACACTGTCTTTTCTCCTGCCTCTTGCTGGTGATGCCCATTCCACTTTTAATGGTGTAGGTACACAATAATTTCTGCACAGCTCTACCACATGACAGCCCTCCTAAAAGTTTATCACAAAGGAATTCTAAGCACATACAATAACATTCAATGAAATTTAAATGCAATAATAAGAGATTTAGTGGTAGGACCATTGTGCAATGACTAAACAAAACGTTGTGGCATTGACAACTTAGAGGATTTTTGCAGTAGTATTTAACTTTGTTAGGGCCAAGAGACACAGGAGAAATAAAGTTTGTGAAATTCTCCTGTTAAAGGTTTCATAAAATACACAATTTGAGCCTTTGAGAAGAAAAGGGGAGACAGTACTCCCCTTTTAGTGGGGGCTAAAAGCACAGTTTTTGGAATGAAGACTGGACAGAGCTACCACATACTTCCTTTTGAAGAGTTCTCAAACACTCAGTTTCCTCTTCCTCAAAATGATGATAATATTAGTACCCAATGTAATGAGGATGAAAAGATAGAATACATGTAAAGTGTGTAGTATAGTGCCTAGTGTACTATAGATGAATTTGTGTGCAAGTTCAGACTTCTGTGAATGTTATTTTTCAATATTGAAAGAGTCATTTGACATGTGGTGGAACATGAAAGAGTGTTTCAAACATGGATGAACATTCCAGGAAATTAGTTCATCTTCTGTTGTATAGAAATCTATGGTGAGTCAAAGTTGGGGTTGACTAACCTATTTGATTTCACATTAGAAGGGGCCAGTTGGCATGCTGGGTTAAGGATGGGGAGGCTGCTTCTGGATGCAGTGGGAAGTGCTGGGATTAGCTGGGTCTGCAGGTTCTGGAGGGATGATTGGTAACATACATTCCATGCATTTGCCAGCCCTCTACTCTATCTCATAGCTAAGCTCTTTAATCTAGTAATGTTTTCTTCCATTCCTTTTTATGCTTAATATGGACAAAAGAATCTGTAAAATAGTTAAAATACTCAAATCTGATGTTAACATATTTTCAGGGATGATCAATTCATACTCTGTGTATTTATTGTTTGAAAATATTATGCTTCAATGGATATGGTAGAAAATTTAAGGAAAGCATTCATTTTAAATAAATAGAGGAAGTAAATTTCTGACAGCTTCTTTTGTCTATTAACAATTCCTGGTTTTCTGTGTACTGGTTGGTTTTAATTGTTGCTGTGCAGTCTTGTTCATCCTGTAGCTGTAAGGCATTTTAAAGTATTTATTTCAAAATATTTCAATGGTTCAATAAAAAAGCATTAACAAAGTAAATCTATTTAAAAATCAAAACTGCTTAATTGTGCAGAGGCTGGGTGGGTGAGTGTTTGGAACATTGTTATTGCAGCCAAATGTTTATTTTTCACAGCTGTGGTACAAATCTTGGCCCTCTGTGCTCAGATCTTACCTCACGTTCTTCCTCTATTAAATGCATCTAAGAGTGTGTGATGGGGATGGAGACAACCTATTCTGGGAACCCAAAATCTATGGCTCTGCATTGATTTCTGTATTGGAAGGGTCAGTAAATTTTGTATTTCTCTCTGTGTGTCTTTCCATTACTTTACTGCAGTGAGGATTTTGTGTCATCACGAGATGTTGAATTAATGATAGCAGGTGATATCCTTAAGAAAGACTTTGTATTTCAGAAATATGTGAATTCATCTTTTGAAGGGCATAAATCCAGCTTAACCATGAACATAATATAGACTTACATACAATTATATTCCCTTTTTGGCAAGTGGACTGATTTTCCAAGAATGGTTCCGATATAATTTTCAACTGAACAGAGGGTCATGGTGACTTACATGGCAGAATGAAATCAATGTGCACTTAAATAATACAATTGAATCAGCTTTTCTGGATCACTCCATTCCATTTTAGAATTCTTTTCTTTGGGCTCAGGAGAGAGAGGTCAGAGGTATTCATAGAATGTTAGGGAATGATCTTTATTAATATTGTCAATACTCTTAGCCTGTTCCTCCAGGATTGTTCATGTTAAACCAGACTTACCAAAGTTCTGTTTATAAGAATTACATAAATGGAGATATATAATATCTTTTAGTTATTTTGAATGAATGCCACTTTTCTTAAAAAAAAACCTCAGACTCCTAGGGGTGATAACTCAGGCAGAGGACCCAAAGATATTGGTTACATTAAGCAAATAGAAGGGTCTTAAATCTTTAAAAACTTGATATAAGAGCAATAAGCATTTGTCTTTATTCACTTAATTATTTAACAGATTTCTACTAAGTGACAGGCATTGATCATTTTGAAATCACAAGGGTATAAAACCACAGCATTTGGCAATGTTGTTCGTTAAGCATAGAAAGAGCTACAACAGTGATTCACATGCACACTTTTCCCATGAGTTTTGTGTGGTTACTTTTTTTTGAATTTGTTCTGGTCCATTCAAATTATTCTGAAAATACGTGAGTGCCCTGCATTAAAAACAATGTTCAAAGTGTGATTATACACAGACTAAAGTAGGTCTCACTTCTTGATGTCTTATGTCTATTAAGATAGAATGCAGTAGCATTAGCTTTGGGGGAACTCTTGATTTACACTGAACTTTGCAATAAAATGAAACCTTATCAGATATATTTTCATGTGTATAATTCTGTTTATTCTATTTTGTTGCTGCCTCTGTGAAATCGGGGTTTTGGATCTAAGTAAAGGACCTAAATGAAATGAAGGACTTTACTTTTGTCTTTATTTTAATATATATAAATTTATGTGTAAAGATTACATAAAATAAAAAGGTTATGTATAAAGATTGAAAGAGATTATATATAAAGATTATTTATATAGAATACATATATATTTATATATATAAAGAGTGAAGATTTGGACCATTATTCTAGCCTATTGAGAGCCTTCAGATCTTGCTCTGGAATACCACATTTATTTTACTCTCTTAGTGTCAGGTCTTTGGTATTTTTTAATAACCATGCCAACAAAGTCCTCATTCATATTTCTGAGTAGGACAAATCCAAGGACAAAGTAATGAACAATACCTCTCACTACTTCCCTTGGGTTTATATTCATCATGATTGGCATTCTTTTTTTTTTTAAGTAGGTACAAATCTGCAAATCTACCTAAGTATACTACAGTCCAGTTTATATTCTTCTTGTCATCAACTTATTTATCCATCATTCCACCCATAAACCAATCAACATTTATGAGATGTCTCCTGTGAATCACATACTGTGCCACTTTTTGAAATAAAATGTAGAGAAGTTACAGGCCTTTGTAGAAGAGAAAGTGGCATAAAAGGATAATTTTAAGATATGTGACAAATTTAAGCCAGTTTTGAGGACTACTGCTATAGATATAATTTATTTAAGATGGAGGTTTTCTGGCAAGGTGGGATGTGATTCTATGGGAATCTGGGCTGCTGGTGATAGTTCTTGTGAACAACTGTGTTGTCCAGATTGGGCTGCGGGTGGAAGGGTGGGTGGGGAGTGTGGGAAGGAAGGAGAGGAAGAGAGAGGGAGAGAGTACAAGCCTAATAGACTGGGAGAAATGTAGCTATCAGAGGAGTAGAGGTCTTAATATGTGTCAGGGCGGAGAGTGAGAAAGCTGGAAAGATAGGAAATGGGGATTGGTGGTTGTGATTGTGGTGATGGGGGGGGAATTTTAGATGTCAAAGATGAAGACAGGGTTTAATGTGTGGATAGGGGAGACGATGGAAGAGCTGGAGGGGAAGTGGAAGTCTCAGCATTGAGGATGTAGAATAATTATTATGCAGGGGTGCTGAGTAGGCTCTGTGAATGTGGTGAGAGTTGCCTTAGACTTGGGATGTCATGAAGACCACAGGCCAGGTATCAGTGAGTATGTGGAAGTGACTAGGCGATCTTTATAAAACAAGACAGGCGTAAAATCTGGAAGTAGCCCAAGGAGTAACATATTCACATCTGAGACAGAGATTGTGAGTTGACTTTCCATATCTGCTCTTCCTTAAAAATATAAGCATAATTTTTAGCTGAGCACATGGCCACCCAGAGCAAGACTACATTTCTCAGACCACCTTGCAACTAGTGTGACCATGTGACTAAATTCTGTCTAATAGAGTATAAGTGGATGTGGCACATGCACCTGACACAAAGCCTCCTTAAAGAGAGAAAAAACAAGCCCTTTGTCTTCTTGCTAACTTCAATATGTTTATGCTCTCTTGTAAAGTGACAGCCTTCTTGTACCATGAGGCAGAGGGCCCTGCTCAGGATGGTGGACCAGTAAGATAACAGTAACCTGGGTTCCTCCTGAGTTTGTGAAGCCCACCTCAAGGTATTTTTTATTTTTATGTGTGAGAGAAATACATTGTCTTATCTTCTAAAGCCATTGCTATCTTGGGGATTCTGTCACTCACAGACAGACTAATCCACATGTCTTGGATTGGGAGGAGGGAATAGTTGGCATCAGCAGGGGAATAGGCAATATCTCTAACAGGCAGTCAGATTTCAGTTTAAGTCAGAAGTTGGAAACAGTATTCTGAGAAGAGCTATAGATGCTTAAGGGCTGTTTGACCTGGAACAAGGCTGTCAGAAGGTACAGTGGAAAGGTTTGGAGGGCAGGGAGCAGAGGAAGACAGTTGCCAGGGAGAACAAGGATGAGGAAGAGCGTTTGGGAATGCATAGGTAGGAATTTACATTTTTGGCAACGATCAAAGGAGTGGGGATGTGTCGCATTGGTGGTGGAGGCTAGTCTCCAAGATTCAAGCAGATGTTTGATGTAGTTTGTATTGGTCCAGATGCATATGTGGAGGAAAGGCCTGTTGGTGCTGGAGCCAGGGCAGGAATAGGCCCTGGTCTAAAGGGACCCCACAATAAACTGTCAGATGTCCTGCAAGTATTTCCATTAATAAGACTGGGCACAGTATTCGAAAAGGAAGTAAGAGTAGTCTACTGTCCATCATTCTGAGACAATCCATGGTGGTTTCTGATGATTTTTACGTTTCTCTAAGTGCCCATGGGCCATCTCTTTAAACATCAAATTCAGGAATTTTCCTTTGGATTTGAGATTTTGAGCTGTACTTGTTCACTATCTGGACAGAACTGGGTCTCTTTATTACCTATTTCTACATATATGTTCCAGCATCACATTGTCTTCATTACCTGTGATCGTTAGAAACAATTTGTGGTTTTCTGTTCCCCCTAGAATTTTCTTCTGCATTTCTTGCATATATTCAGAATCTGCATTTTATTTTGCTTATTCAGCTCTTATCTTTGAATAATCTGATTTTTTTTCCAATTTATGATGGTTACTTTAAATTATTTTCTCACATTTACTCCCAGCTCTTCTACCAGTTTGGTGATGCATTCGCTTCTTCATCTGTAATTCTTATTAACACTTTGAAACTCCTTTACATCAATTTTGTCTTTATAATTATAATGGAACAAGAGTTTTCTTGACTTTTCTTTTTTGGTTCCTGATGTATTCCAATAGAATATGACTTTGATATTATGGAATGGATAGAAAGTGGTGGAACAAGAAATGGATAAATAAGCATAGTATAATAAATGAGAAGAGTTTCTCCAGCAAAGAAGAAAATAATTATCTACTTAATTTTTGGTACTGGTTTAATTATTTTTGGTCCCTATGTATGAATGAATAGACATAATAAATAGTTTATAGAGTAAAACTTTTGTTTCCTTTCTAAATGCTTAAGAAAGGATTCGACTATCGGCATGCAATTTTACTAAATAAATGTGAGTGAATGACATAGGAATGATTGAACTCTGGAAAAAATTTGAAAAATTGAACAAAGCCTTGTAACTTAGTTTCTGGAATGCCAGGGACATGATATAATCTTGGGGAAAACATTGTGTGCATAAAGATCATAATTAGATTTGCTAAACCAAGTATCTAAAGGATTGGCTGAAAAATCCTCCTGAACCCCAGGCTGGTGGAAATGAACAGGTCGTCGGGAGACTGCTGCCCTGTGGTTAACCACTTAGGGATTAGGTTCTGGATGTGGTGCCTGTTAGAGCAGTAGAGTAATTATGCATTTCCTGTAAGACTGGGATTCTTGAGAGCATTCATTAGCTCTTAGACAGATTCTTCTCTGTGAAGAAGAATAAACAAAAATAGATTTTACTTTAAAAATATTTAAAACTAAATAGTTATAGAAAATATGAACCTAAGCACCATTAGCATTCCCAAATTTCATTTCTCATCCTTGTCAATAGATAGATCTGACTTGTTACTCAAAATCCCTGCCATATTGTGGCTGCTTTGTATGCTTGGCATTGCTTTGCTTCTTATCAAAGGAATTTTAAGGAGGATGAGGCATGTATGAAATAGCAACTCCAACAGTTGCTATCAAAACAATAAGAAATTATTGTTGTATCATTATTCTGGCTTGTCATGGAATTTTTAATGTTTAAGAATTTTGATTTTACAAGCTTATGGCATGGAAACCATAGTTAATATATTAAAATAAAGGTGGCCGGGAGTGGTGGCTCACGCCTGTAATCAATCCCAGCACTTTGGGAGGTCGAGGTGGGTGGATCACCTGAGGTCAGGAGTTCGTAACCAGCCTGGCCAACATGGTGAAACCTCGTCTCTACTAAAAATATAAAAATTAGCCGGGGATGGTGGCAGGTGCCTGTAATCTCAGCTACTCAGGAGGCTGAGGCGAGAGAATCGCTTGAACCCGGGAGGCAGAGGTTGCAGTGAGCTGAGATTGCGTCATTGCACTCCAGCCTGAGAAACAAGAGCAAAACTCCATATTTAAATAAAAAAATAAAATAAAATAAAGGCAAAAGTTGGAAGGACTTTTTTAAAAGGGTAGTATGCAGTCCATCCATTGTGATACTGTGCTCTCAGATAAATACAGTTGAAGACGTTTAATTCTCACAGTGAAAATTAGTAAGAGTGTAGCTGTTTTTTTCCCCCACATGGGAGTTTGGTTAAGCATAGGAATACTTAGAAATTTGTATGCACTTAGATCAAACAATAAAAATTATTTACTCTTAGCTAATCTAGTTAATTATTGCTTTATGTTTGGTGCTGAAGCTGTTGGATTCTTTGGGGCTGGAGACAGGGAGTGAGAACAAAACCATGAACTAGGCCATGTGAGAGAGCACAGGATGGAGCAAGAGATCTCAAGTAAGTGAAAGGGAGAGGGTGCAGGTGTGATGCAAGGGGGTGAGAGAGTGAGCCAGGGAGGGTGTTGGAAGGAGGGAGAGAGAGAAAGAGGCAGGAGACAGAAAGTGGGAGACAGGAGACAGAGAAAGAGATGGGAGACAGAGGGAGATAGGAGACAAGAGAGACAGGAGACAGATAGACAGAGAGACCATAGGCAGACAGACAGAGAGATGGGAGACAGAGACACACAGAGAAAGATGCACACACAGACAGAGAGAGGGACAGAGAGAGAAAGAGACACATTCAGAGAAGAACAGTGAGAGAGAAAGAGAGACAGGAGACACAGACACACACAGAAAGACCCATGTAGAGAGACAGAGGGAGGCACGGAGAGAGACAGAGACACACACAGAGATACACAGAAAGAGACAGTGATGAGAGAGACACTACCAGAAGACAGAGAAGAGAGAATGGCTCACAGAGAGAGACAAACAGGAAAAGAGAGACAAAGATAGATAAAGAGATACAGAAAGAGACACGGAGAGACTGAGACACAGAGAGAAAAAGAGAGAGAGACACACACAGAGAAATAGAGAAGGTACAAAACAAGCATTAGAACCAGTCGGGAGGGACAGGGAGAGAGAGAAAAATGGGCAGTAGGATGTCAGGTCTGAGGAGGTCATGTGTTTGTGATGGCGTGAGGTAACTGCTTGAATTCCCTCTTTGTGAGTTATCACCGCACAAATGTAAGTTTGTTGAATGTTAGTTATTGAATAGAAAATCATTTGAGAGACAAGTAGCAAATATACCCTATGGGTTAAATTTCTTTAGTTTCCACTTAGTCCATGTTTTCAGATCCTGAATTGGGTCCTGAGCCACATTAATCATTACTTAATATTAATATGGAAATGAGTTTACTCTGTTGTAAGTCCCAGTTTCAATCAGTAAGTAATTATGAAAAGCAGTCTTAAAGATGCTGTGAAAGGGTGTTGCTTTTCAGGCAATAATTAAACCTCTGAATATCCCTGGGTGGTTGATTTTTTTTCTCTTCTTAGTTGTCTTTTTCCTAAGCTTACTTTCTGCAGGTGGGAAAAGATAAGTTGCTGACTGAGGGATTCATTAGTTGCGGGTAGGTAAAGGTCTCATCAAGAGCAGAAGGGAACAAACAAAATGTTTTAGAGCTCAAGATGAAGAAAAAGAAAGATCAGCTGCTTTTTCCTGGCCCAACGGAAATAATTTTTTAAAAGTGTGAATAGAACCTTTAAAACTCCAGTTGTTTTTATAGGAATATTTTTGAGCCACTTCTCAAAATGTGGAGCTAAATCTCCATTCTCAATGGGAGGCATCCAAACATGCTTGCCTATTTCAGTTTCTGGCCAATAGTAAACATGTGCTCAAAAATAGTAACATTATTATTATGCATAAAACGCCCTAGGAGCTGTGCATTATTAGAGAAGTGGATCCTGAAAGACCTGTAGGCACGCTGCTCCCATGGCACCATGTGCCACTGTCTTCTGCGCCTGCCCTGCACCGCCACCCCTGCGAAGAGAACCTCTCCTACTGGAAGTGCAGGGCAAAGCCACTTTGAAAGTCCTTAAAGTATGAGGCCTTCAAGAACAAGATGCAGACAATGGGAACGTTCTTCAACTTTTTAACTGCTTAAATTGCAGTCTTCCCAACAGGATGCTAGGGAGGAACATCCTTTTGTGTACACCATACCTGGAAACACATTGTGGAGGGAAGTAGGGTTGCCAGATAAATGCCAGGACACCCAATTAAACCCGAATTACAGTAAATAGCAACTAAAAAATTATTTATTGTTTTCCTGAAATTCAGATTTGACTGAGCATCCTGTATTTTTATTTGCTGAACTAGCAACTCAGGGAGAGTCACCTCCGTTGGGGGCTGCTGGGCCCTAACAGTCTCAGCCAGGTAGGAGTTAAATGTGCCATCCCTAGCCTGTAACACGTTCCTCTGGTCTAGGATCCTTGTACTCTCTTTTGGAAGATAGAGTAGATGTAATCAGGCATAATTATAAAAGAAAGAAAGCAGAGTTTTTGGATTCGATATTATCAGAGATTTATACGAAGTTACAGAGTAGGCAATAAAAAAATCTTAAATACATTCAATTGCTTTAGCAGCTTTGGGAAAAGTCAATGGCTGTTGATCCATCAGTTGGAAATATGAATGTGCTTGAATCTAAACATCAACAGATTTTTTTGGGGTATTTTTGTCATTCCATCATGTACTCAAATGATTTTTAATGCATAGACATATAGTGTATTTAGTGAGGAAATAGAAGGTAATATAATAGAAAAATAATCATTGAGTGAAATACTACACTTTTTTATTACTTTGGACAGTATCTTTTAAAGATCTTGCAAATAAAAATTGTGAATAATTACTTACTTGTTATAACTTTGTCTTTTGTTCACTTTTTGAGGTGGAAAATCCTACGAGATAATAGACCCAGCTCTCATGTGCTCCCTGAATGATTTCAGCACACCTTTTTGAGCAAGTGCCTATGTTTATACATTCTGAGTTCAATTTTGAATCTCTAAGACTTAAATTTTCTTAAGTTTCTCTAACTTTTACATTCTTAGACTGAATCTGATCCATGTTGTTGAAATCTGCTTTCTCCACGTGAGTTATATAGGATATGACCAAGGAGATTTTAAAAAATGGCTTTGGGCCGAGTGTGGTAGCTCATGCCTGTAATCCCAGCACTTTGGGAGGCTGAAGAGGGTGGGTAAACTGAGGTCAGGAGTTCAAGACCAGCCTGGGAAACATGGTGAAACCCTGTCTCTACTAAAAATACGAAAAAATTAGCTGGGTGTGGTGGCAGGCGCCTGTAATCCCAGCTACTCTGGAGGCTGAGGCAGGAGAATCGCTTGAACCTGGGAGGTGGAGGTTGCAGTGAGCTGAGATCGTGCCATTGAACTCCAGCCTGGGTGACAAGAGTGAAACTCTGTCTCAAAAAAAAAAAAAAAAAAAAAAGAAAAAAATGGCTTTGGTTTCTTGTATTGCTTCTGTAAGTTAAGCTTATCTATTGCATGAGTACATTGGAACTTTGTTTTATGTATCTACTTACGTATATATACATGTGCTTTTTCTTTTTTTTTTTTTTTATCACACTGCCTTGCAGTGGAAAGTTTAAGACAAATGCATGATGACGGGACTTTGATGCACTGCCACATCCTGCACTTTTACAAGGCTCCCAAATGCCTTTCCCACATATTGAACTGTCACAGTAATGATCAGTGGCTTAGAATGCTTCCTGAATTCCTGACCAGCTGCCAAAACAATTGCTTAAGTAAATGTTTCCTGATGTCCAATGACCATTAACACCCTCCATATATAACTGTTGATGAACTGAACTTTTGAAGGTCTACTGCCCATTCTTAGTGAAATCTGCAAAATAAACAAGCTTTGCTGGTGTGGCCCATTGGACTAGGGAGGATAGGTAAATCTCTTCAGAGAGGGACACAGGCACTTGTCTTAAATCTGTTTCTTCACAGACCAGAGTAGGTCTCTGAACTGCCAGATAAATGCCAGGTCACCCAGTTAAACCCGAATTACAGTAAATAACAACTAAAAAAATTATATGTTGTTTATAATTCAGATTTTACTGAGCATCCTATATTTTTATTTGCTAAACTAGCAACTCAGAGAGAGTCACCTCCACTGGGGACTGCCAGACCCTTACAGTCTCAGCTGGGCAGTAGTTAAATGTGTCATCCCCAGGCTGTGACAAGTTCCTTGGGCCTAGGATCCTTGTACCTAGGATCCTTGGTCCCCTCGTACCTAGGATCCTTGGTCCCCTCATGGTAGGGTCACAGCAGGGCCAGCAGGAGGCAATCCGTGTTCTGAGATCCTCATGCCTGGAACCCAGTGGAACTCTAAGACTGTCAAATACCACATTCTCTGTATAATGAAGTGAGTCCCAATAACCAGGAGGTAGCTAGGTCTGTCTTCGGCCTCCAAGAGTTCTCAAAAACCTTGTCCATGGCACCAGGGCAATGCCTGGTCTAGGGTCAAATGCCTTCTTTTCTAGTGGGCTGAAATTCATGCATACAAGTTTTAAACCCAGAGAGACCTTTAAAACCCTGTTTGTCCCAGAACTGAAAATAGAACTAGCACTTAAGGTGAGACTATTGTCTATGATATTGACTATGATGAGAGTTAGACCATTCGTAAGCTTGTTGACATAGCAGTGTGATATTTAAAAACTAGGCAGCCAGGGGCTTTGGTTAGGAAGTGTTTTCTGTGGTCACACAGGCCTCACAGAGCTGTTCTGGGCAGCCTGAGGGGTCTCATCATTGTTTCAGTGATGCTGTTCTGAATGAGCAGTTTGTCCTCATCATGTTCAGTTTCATGTTTTTGTTCTAAAGAGAACATTTATACCAACTTATTTCCTCTTAGGAAAAGATTGATTTTTGATGCTGGCCAGGGGCAGCTGGGGAGAGATGGGCTGTGGTAGAGTACATGATGGTCTAAACTGGGTCATCCTGTATTTTCAAGTTATCATCGAACATAGCCCCTTGTCTTTTGGTCCCAGGTGTAACCCCAGAATCCTTCTTAACTCAGTGTTCAAAGCAGTCACTCCTCATCACTTGGCATTGGCTCATGAACTGATGCCGGTTTGACACTTTTGGTTTGGGAGGATTATTTTTTCTCCTTCCTTCTTTCAAAATTAGTATTCAAAAGCAGCCCCTTTTGGATCTTCTAAAAGCATAAGTTAGGTTGGTATCCTTTGGCTTTGACAAAAAAAAAAAAAAAAAAAAAAAAAGCCCGGGCTGGAGTCAGAAGGGTCCATTTGTCTCTGGGTATGGGGCATTGTTTTAGTAGGGATTGGCACAGAGGACCTTTGCTTTTATCCTCTGGATCCCCTTGCCCTGTCACCAATGGGTATGGGTCCTAAGACTGAGTAGAGGACCTTTTAGATTTACCTTCAAAGAGGGTTAACTAGTCAATGCTCCTGTGCTTGGACAAGGTTAGTTCCTTCTCATCAATCCCTTCAACTCCCACTGGTCTTTATGAACCAAGTCTGTCTTATTTATGTGGACTTGTTAAGTTGGTGGCTTTATGTAAGCTATTGTAAAAGGCTAAACAAATTCACCTTTGAACTTATGTTTTAGAATCCTCTTTTAAAAATTATCATGCAGGCTGAGCTGTGAGTGACCTAGAATTCAAAGTGTAAGAAGCAAAACAAATTTTTAAAAATCTGCTTCCTGTCTGTGCTAATATAACCCAGCCCCTCCTGCCGTCAGCTGTCTGTGGCATTTTTAATCCACCTCTTGTTGCTGGAACCAACCCTTGTCAATGTTCTAATCTTGCAGGTCAGAGCTGTGTCTTCAGACAGTCAGAATGCGTTTACTTAAACAATAGACCCTCTTGTTGTCAGTTCTGCTGCTTTCAATAATTTACCTTGACTCGATGTTCACCAGTGTGTGCCTTCGGCAAAAGAGGCATACCTCCAAATTCAGCTGATTACTCAGCTATTCAATATCAGCGCGACTGAAGGGAACCTAGCCATCTCCATGAAGGGGTGCTTCTCCGCCAGAGCCAGTCTCCAATGTAGCAGGTGACAAGGCGAGCAGGAATGAGCCCAAACCAGGGAACATCTGGAACCCTCAAGGGAACTGCGAATGCTTCGTTTTTCTCCAGTAGAATCCCCTTCTGCATCCCTGTATTGAGCAACTGCACTCACCAAAGGCAGAAAATAGAAAGGAATTGGGGTGGGACATCACAGCCCTAAAAAGCCCTAAAAGACACTGAATTATGAATTTATAGTAACTAGTGAAAATGCTGCGGCTTAAGTAATGCTTGGCAAACCATCATGTATAGTTGTGTCTATTGATCACTGCCCAAGGGCACCAGCCAAGAGCTGAAGGGGGGCCAAGATCCACCTCATGTGCTGTCTGGCAGAAGGCTATGTTGGCCTGGAGCAAGGGAGGCCCTTTCAAATACTCCCACAGGCACCGTCCTCTCTCCAAACCTTGAACACAGCAGGGCTCATCTGCCCAGAGTGGGCACTTTTTTCATTTGGACAAAGGTGCCATATGGGCTAGTGGGGCCCTGATGCTTACAACCAGGTCCTCAGAGTAGGTCAGACTTTTATGTGAACTCTGAATGCATCTTGGCCTCAAGGCTCAGAAAGACAGGCTCTCAATGAGATATCAGAGGCAGGAACTCTGATGGCTTGAGATGATTTCAGGTGGTGCCCACTCAGCACATGTAACCAGTTACTCTCTTTTTAAAACTCTTTCAGTCCCATTCATTAGTTAAGAAGAAAGTAAAGTACCCCTTTGTTAAAAAGGGATATCAGCAAGCGGTAGAGATACCTTAATTAGACATACCAGCCACAAAGAGAGAGCTGCACGTAGACCCAGAGGCTTCTGGGAAATTCCATAGGCATTTACTCACAGCTTTAATGTTCATTGTATTTCTTTTTAGAATTACCTTCTCCCTTTACCAAGGGCTACTGGCTTCCTATTTAAAGAAGTAAAGGCACATTGAAAAGATAAATTAATATATAAAATGAATGAATCACTTTAAAAAAGTAGTTCATAAATAATAATGATGGGCCACCTTCATTGTTTTAATCAAATCCAAGTTACTACTGGCACAGCTGAATTTAGGAAACAGTGAGTTAGTATAAAGAGACACAGTGAGACGGAACTATTGAGAGTGAGGAAGAGAGGCCTCCACAGTAATACAGGATTCTGACAACTTCTGCTAAGAAGCAAATAAAAGGGAACATTTGTACTGTTGTTGGAGGGATTTGGGGTTCAGATGCACAAATATGCCTGTGTGTCTGTTGTTTGTATGCTTGTTCCATAAGCAAAAGCTGAGGAATCAATTGGGGGATTTTGAATTCCTGAGGGTGGGACCAGAAGATGTAGGAGGGAGGGCAGCTATTTGGAAGTCAAGTGATTGGCCCCATATTTTTTCTGCAAGGAAGAGTTTGTTTTTTTGTTTTTGTTTTTTGTTTTGAGACAGAGTCTCTTTCTGTCACCCAGGCTGGAATGTAGTGGTACGATCTCAGCTCACTGCAACCTCCACCTCCTGGGTTGAAGCGATTCTCCTGTCTCAGCCTCCCAAGTCACTGGGATTAAAGGTGCCCGCCACCATACCTGGCTTATTTTTGTATTTGTTTTGTAGAGACAGGGTTTTGCCATGTTGGCCAGGCTGGTCTCAAACTCCTGACCTCAAGTTATCCACCCGCCTTGGCCTCCAAAACCCACCATGCCCAGCCAAGGAAGAAATTTCCAGAAAGGGAACACATCTATTAATACTTGACTCAGGGTCCTTTTATATGTCCCTCTGTGTCCGTGTCCTTCACTGTCTCTCAGTCTTCCCACACATGAATATACTTCTATGTACACATACACCACCCAGTCCACCTGTGGTTCAAATCTGCTGTCTCCCTTGAACTGTTTCCTGCAGAAGTCATGCTGTATCATGACAGGCATGACAAAGGGAACTCAAGGCATTGTTTTCAGTCCTCTTTAGATGAAATAACACATTCAGCAGTTGGCACAAACATGGTGGAGATGAGTGCAGTGACAGCGTTGCATGGTATCTAGTGGCAACGTTAACTTATGTTTACATGAAGAAGAAAAGTGTCCTCTGATATAATCTCAGAAAACTGCTGCCACAGGCTTTTGAAACAATTAGTTTAGACTATTTCACAGAACATTAAGCTTAACAATGTCAGTCTGTTCCTAAATGCTGTTCAAGAAAATTTTTGCAATGAGGCCAAAATTTAGGTTGGCAAAGGGCACCGTCAAATAGGCAATCTCATCTGATTATTTATAAACAGCTTTTTTGAGATACAATTGACCTACAATAAACTGTACATATTTAAAGTGTACAGTTTGCTAAGTTTGGACATATGTAGTATAGATCTGTGAAATTATCACCTCAATCAAGATAATGAACACATTCATCACCCCCAAATGTTTTCTCTTGCCCCTTGGAAATCTCTACCTCCCACCCATCTCTGCCTGCCCTGTTGCCCAGGCAGGGAAGTACTTTCTGCCAGTATAATTTGCATTTTGTCTGGCTTCTTTCACTCAGCATCATTTTTGTGATGTTCATACACGTTGTGCATATCTTTTTTTTTTTTTTTTTTTTTTTGAGACGGAATCTTTCTCTCTTGCCCAGGCTGGAGTGCAGTGGCATGATCTCAGATCACCGCAACTTCTGGCTCCCGGGTGCAAGCAATTCTCCTGCCTCAGCCTCCTAAGTAGCTGGTATTACAGGCTCATGCTGCCACACCCAGCTAATTTTTTATATTTTTGTTAGAGATGGGGTTTCACCATGTTGGTCAGGCTGGTCTCAAACTCCTGACCTCAAGTAATCTGTCCACTTCGGCCTCCCAAATTGCTGGGATTACAGGTGTGAGCCACCGCACCTGGCCATGTATATCATTATTTTTACTGCTGAATAACTATCCATTGTATCGTTATGCCCACAATCTGTTTATCCATTTGCCTGTTGATGGACATTTGGGTTGGCTTTAGTTTTGAGCTATTACAAAGAAAGCTTGTATGAACATTTGTGTACAGATCTTTGTATGGATATATGTTTTCTTTTCTGTTGGGTAAACAGCTAGGAGTGCAATGGCTGGAACATTTGGTAGTTGTGTAGACAGTGTTTTTCAAACACTGATATGATTTCATGTTCCCATAAGCAATGTATGAGAGTTCTAGTTACTCTGCATCCTCACCAACACCCAGTATGTTAGCTATTTTATCTTGTGGGTTTAAGAGATAAAATGGCTAACATACCGTGTGTTGGTAAGGTTGCATCTCCCAACTGAGTAATGATGTTAATCATTCTTTATGTGTTATTCATCATTTATATACCATTTCCTTTGGTGAGGTGTCTGCCCATTTAAAAATTTGGATTGTTTTCTCATTATTTGTTTTGAGCATTCTTATATATTCTGTATGCAAATTCTCTATCAGATAGATACTTTGCAAATCTTTTATTATAATCTGTGGCTTGTCTTTTTATTCTCTTAACAATGTCTTTCAAAGAAGTGAATAATTAAATATTGATGAAATTTATCAAAATTTTTACTGGATCTTGCTTTTAGTGTTATATGTAAGAAATCTTTGCCTAACCCAAAGTCATAAAGATTTTCTCCTATATTTTCTTCCAGAAGTTTTATAATTTCAGGTTTTACTTTTGTGTCTATGATCCATATTCACTTATTGTTTTTCTTAGTTGGAATTTAATTAAGAAAGTTTAAAATTTATAATTGACACATAATTATGCATATTTATGGGGTACGATGTGATGTTTCAATGCATGTATATATAGTGTAAAGATCAAATTGGGATAATTATCATATCCATAACTTTAAACAATTATCATTCCTCTGAATGGTTCAACTTTTTGTGAATATACATCCAATTGCTCCAGCACCATTGCTGAAAAGTCTATCCTTTTCTCCATTGAATGGCCATTGCACATTTGTCAAGAATCAGTCATTTGTATATTTGTTAATATATGTCTATTTCTTGACCCTATTCTGTTCCATGGACCCATGTGCCACCCTTGTCTTGATTACTGCAGCTATGTGATAAGTCTTAAAATCAAGTGGTTGATTTGGCTATTCTGGGTCCTTTTGCATTTTGATATGGATTTTGGAATAAGAATCAGCCTGTTGCTTTCTACAAAATAAAAAGCTCACTGGGATTTTGATTGTATGGTGTATATAATGATTAAGGGAGAATTGCAATTTTAATATAATAATATGTGTCTTCCAATCCATGAACAATGCAGTAACTCAGCATTTATTTAAGTTTTCTTTACGTTGTTTCAGCAATGTTGTGTAGTGAATAATTCTTTCACATTATTGTCAGATTTACCCCTCAATGTTTCCATTTTCTGTGGTATTTATAAATAATAATGGCTGAAAATTTTTTTAATTCCTGATTGTTGCTGGTATGTAGAAATACAGTTGATTTTTGTGTATTTATCTTACTGCATCCTACAGACTGACTAAAGTCATTTAGTAGTACTAGTAGCTTTTTTGATGCTTCCATCAGATTTTCTACATAGATTATTATGGCATGCTCCAATAAAGATAGTTTTACTTCTGTCTGGATGGCTTTTGTTTCTTTGTCTTGACTTATTGCACTGGCTAGATCCTCCTGTGCAATACTGAACAGAATGGTGAGAGCAGACATCTTTGTTTCTCCTCATAAGGGAAAGCATTCAATCTTTCACTATTAAATAGTATATTAACTGTAGGTTTTTCATAGATACTGTACTCTATCAGGTCCAAAAATCCCATTCTATTTGTAGTTTGCTGAGAGTTTTTATTGGGAATGGATATTGAATTTTGCCAAATTATTTTCCTGTGTCTCTTGAGATAATCATATGGTTTTTCTTTTTAAGTTTGTTAATATGGTAAATTACACTGACTTTTTTTCATGAATTTTAAACCAACCTTGCATTCCTGTAGTAAAACCTATGTGTTCATGATATATTGTTTTATGTATTGTTAGATTCAATTTGCAAAAATTTGTTTTGAATTTTTGCATCTATGTTCATGAGGAATATTGGTTTGCAATTTTCTTTTATTATAATGTATATTTCTGCTTTTGGTATTAGAGTAGTGCTGATTTCATGGAATAAGTATTTCTCCATTTTAATTTTCTGGAAGTTTATATACAGTTGGTATTATTTCTTCCTTACATTTGGTAGAATTTGCCAGTGAAGACATCTTGGTCTGGTGTTTTCTTCATGGGAAGATTTTTAACTACAAATACAATTGCTCTAATAGATGTAGGGCTATTCAAAGGTTGCCAGTTTTTCTTGAGTAAGCTTTGGTAGATTGTACCTTTTAAGTATTTTTATATTTAATCTATGTTTTTGAAATTACTGGTATAAAGTTGTTTATAATATTCCCTTACTGCATTTCTAATATCTGTAGAATATGTTATGTTGTCAACTGTTTCCTTCCTCCTTTTTGATATTGATAATTTGTGTTTTTTTCCTTATTTTCCTAATCAATCTGTATGGAAGGTTATGAAATGATTGATCTCAAAGAACCATCTTTTGGTTTTGTTTATTTTCTCTATTGTTTTTCTGCTTTCTATTTTATTTATTTCTGCTTTGTCCTTTTTAATTTCGTTTCTTCTGCCTATTTTGGGGGCTAATTCCTCCCCTCTTTTTTTTACTCTCTTAAAGTAGAAGCTGAGGTAATTGATTTGAGAACTTTTTTTTCAATACCAATACAGCAGTCCCCCCTTATCTGCAGGGGATGTGCTCCAAGGCCCCCAGTGGATTCTTGAAACCATGGATAGTGCGGAACCCTATATACACTATGTTTTTCATTATACATACGCACCTATGATAAAGTTTAAGTTATAATTAGGCACAATAAGAGATTAACAACAATAACTAATAATAGAACAATTATAAGAATATACTATAATTAAAGTTATGTAAATGTGGTCTTTCTTAAAATATCTTATTGTGCTGTACTCACCCTTTTTCTTCTTGTGATGATGTGAGGTGATAAAATGCCTATATGATGAGATACCACAGTAATCAATCAGATAACTGAGAAGGATACTAAGTGACTAATGGACAGGTAGTATACACAGTGTGGATATGTGGGACAAAGCGATGTTTTACCTTCCTGGTGGGATGAAGCTGGACCGTGTGATATTTCATCACTCTACTCAGAACAGCATGCCATTGAAAACTTATGAATTGTTTACTCCTGGAATTTTTCATTTAATATTTTTAGATCACAGTTGACCACGAGTAACTGAAACTACAGAAAGTGAACCTGAGGATAAGGGGGGACTACTGCATAGATATTTAGTACTGTAAAATTATTCCCAAGTGCTGCGTTAGCAATATCCCACAAACTCTGATATGACATGTTTTGATTTCTATTTAATTCAGAACAATTTTAAATTTTATTTTAAACTTCCTCTTTGATGCCTGGTTTATGTAGATGTGTTGCTTCATTTCCAAATATTTGGGGGTTTCCTAGCTGTCTTTCTGTAACTGATTTCTGGTTTAACTCTATTATATTCAAAGAACATATTTTCTATGACTTGAATGTTTTAAATCTATTTACCTGTGTTTTGGCAGAAAATATATTCCATCTTGGTAACTGTCCACTTGTGTGTAAAAATAATGTGTATTCTGCTTTGAAAGGGTGGAGGGATCTATAACTGCCAGTTAAATCAAGTTAGTTGATAGTATATCCTTACTAATTGTTTTTCTACTTGTTCTATCAATTATTGAAAGAGGGGTATTTACATTTCAATTATAATGGTAGATTTATTTATTTCCATCCCCTTTGATATGGTTTGGCTGTGTCCCCACCCACATCTCACCTTGAATTCCCATGTGTTGTGAGAGGGACCCTGTGGGAGGTAATTGAATCATGGGGGCAAGTCTTTCCTGTGCTGTTCTCTTGATAGTAAGTCTCACAAGATCTGATGGTTTAATAAAGAAGAGTTCCCTTGCACAAGCTCTGTCTGTTTGCCTGCTGCCATCTATGTAAGACATGACTTGCTCCTCCTTGCCTTCCACCATGATTGTAAGGCTCCCCCAGCCACGTGGAACTGTAAGTCCATTAAACCTCTTTCTTTTGTACATTGTCCAGTCTCAGGTATGTCTTAATCAGCAGCATGAAAACAGACTAATACACCCTTGCAGTTCAATGAGTTTTTGTTTCACATATTTCAAAGCTCTGTTTTTAGGTTCATAAATGTTTAGGATTGTTATATCCTCTTTATCTTTATGAAATGGCTATTTTCATCCCTGAAATTCTTTGTTGCCCTCAAATATATACTGCCTAATGTTCATGTTGTCACTCCAGTTTGTTTGTTGACTAGTGACAGAATTGTGAATCTTTTACCTTCATTCTATTTTTAACCTGTTTATGTTTACGTTTAAAGTGTGTTTCCTATAGGCAGCATATGATTGGATCTTTCTTTTTTAGTTAGCTGACAACTTTTGACTTTCAGCACAGGTGTTAGAACACATATTGAATGTTATTTTTGATGTGTTTAAGTTTTTCATCTTGCTATTTATTTTATAATCACCCCCTTTTGTTCTTTGTTCCCCTTTCCTTATTTTTCTGGCTTCTTTTGGATTGAGTTTTTAAAAAATAATTCCATTTTAGCTTGTTTATTGGCTGATTAGTTATGCCTGTTTGTTTTATTTTAATGGTTGCTTTAGAGTTTATAGCATACATCTTTAACTTACCATTGTCTACCTTAAAGTGATATTATTTCACTTCACTTAGAGTATAAATTCCTTCTCCCTGCCCCTAGCCTTTATACTATTTTTTGTCATCATATATTTTACTTGTACATATGTAAGGGTCCCCACAATACATTCTTGTTTTTGTTTAAACAGTCAGATATTTATTAAAAAGAGTTAAATAATAAGAAAAAATATTACGCATTTATCTATGTGGTTACAATTTCTGGTACTTTTCATTCCTTTATGTAGATTCATATGTCCACTTGGTGTCAGTTTATTTTAAATTGAAAGACTTCCTTTGATAGTTCTTGTGGTGCAGAACTTAAAGCTTTTGTATCATACGTCTGAAAGTCTTCATTTCACTTAGGTTTTTGAAATACACGTTAGGTTGATAGTTTTTCTTTTTTCTTTCAGCACTTTAAAGATGTTGTTCTGCCATCTTCTTGCTTGCATTGTTTCTGATAAGAAATCTGTTGTCCTCCTGATCTTTGTTCCTCTGTGCACAATTTGCCCTTTTCTCTGGCTACTTTTTAATTCTTTTTTTAATCACTGGCTTTGAGCAGTTTTATTATTGTGTGCCTTGCTGTAGTTTTATTCATGTTTCTTGTGCACAAGGTTCATTTACTGTCTCAAATCTGTAAGTTTATAATATTCATCAAATTGGAAACATTTTAACTTATGTATCTTCAAATATTTTTTCTGTTCCCCGTTCTCAGTTCTTAAGATAATTCCAATTACATGTAGTATTTTAGGCTGCTTAAAGTTGTCCTTCAGTTCACTTATGTTCCCTTTATTTATTTATGTATTTATTATTTATTTTTTTGAGATGAAGTCTGGCTTTGTCACCCAGGCTGTAGTGCAGTGTCATGATCTCGGCTAACTGCAAACTCCGCCTCCCAGGTTCAAGCGATTATCCTTCCTCAGCCTCCTGAGTAGCTGGGATTACAGCTGCATGCCACCATGCCCAGCTAATTTTTGTATTTTAATAGAGATGGGGTTTCACCATATTGGTCAGGCTGGTCTCGAACTCCTGACCTCAAGTTATACACCCATCTCGGCCTCCCAAAGTGCTGGGATTACAGGCATGAGCCACCGTACCCGGCCACGTTCTTTTCTTTTAAAAAGATTCTTTTCCTTCTCTGTTTTATTTTGGATGGTTTCTATGACTATATTGTGAAGTCATCTCATCTTTTGTTCTGCAATATCTAATTACCCATTAATCCCATCCAATGTATTTTTTAACTTAGACATTGCAGGGTTTTTTAATTTGCAAATGTTTGATTTGGGGCTGTACTTTTTCATATATATTTCTACTTAACTTTTCAAAATATAGGGAGTACAGTTATAATAGTTTCAATGCCTTTGTCTGATAATTCTAACATCTGTATCTGTTCTGGGTGGTTTTGATTCATTTTCTCTTTTCATTATGGTTGCATTTTTCTGCTTCTTATCATGCCTACTAATCTTTGCTTGGATGCCAGATATTGTGAATTTTACTTTGTTGGGTGCTGTATATTTTTGCATTCCTGTAAATATTCTTGAACCTTGTTTTAGGATGCAGTTAAATTTCTTGGAAATCTTGACATTCTTTTAATGTTTGCTAGGCAGGATCATAGCAGCATTTAGTCTAGGGCTTAGTACTCCCCAATATTGAGGGAAGTCCTTTCTGAGTACCGTATCATAAGACCTATGAGTTATGAGGTTTTTCAATCTGACTACTGAAAATGACAACCTTACTTATTATGTAATTCCATTTTAATGTAAAAATATACATAGATTAGAGATGTGTTTCGTTTATTCAATGACTGTTTTTTGAATATGGACAATGTGAAAGATATCAAATATAGAATAGCAAATAAAGCAAAATCTTTCCTCTCAAAGAGTTTATATTCTATGTCTGGAGACAGACAATAGTTCTGTATCAGGTAGTAATATGTACTTTGAAGAAAAATAAGGCAGAGTAAAAGGAGAGAACAATGGGGAGTGGAATAGGATGCAGTACTCTATATGTGTCTGGGAAGAACTCTCGAAAAGGTGATATTGAAGCAGAGACTAGAATAAAGTGAAGTAGTGTGGCTGGTAGCTATCTGGTGGAAGGACACTACAGGTAAATGACGAAGTGCTGAGGTAGAATAATAGGAGGAGAGCATGGTCTTAGCATTTGTGAGGATGGGCAAGGAGGCTAGTGTGTTGGGGTGTACTGAGAAAGTAAGGGAGAGAATAGTAGGAGGTGAGGTCAGAGGGACCCCCAGGAGGATGGGGGATCACGTAAGGTTTTGCTGAAGGTGGTAAGAACTGTAGATTTTATTAAAAGGGGGATGGAAACCATTTAGTGGTTTTGAGAAAAGTAATGGCATGACCTGACTTACCTTTTTAAAGGGTATCTTTTTTGCTTTGTGGAGAATTGACTATAGGTAAAGGGTAGAGCAGGGAGACCAAGTTGGAAGTTACTATAGTCTTCCAGGCCTAAGGAGTTGGTAGTGGTGAAGGTGATGAAAAATCAGTCTGATTTGGGATATATTTAGAAGTTAGAGCTAGCAGCATTTGCTGATGAATTAGATGGTGGGATGGGGGTGGGGAGAGAGAGCTTAAGAGTGATTTCAAGGTTTTATTATTGTTGTGTGTCTCTTCATCTGACATTTACTGGGATGGAGAAGATTGGGAGTGGAGAATTAGAAGTTCAGTTTTGACATGGTGAGTTTGAGATTTTCTATAAAGTGTTAAGGAGGCAGTTGGACACACACATCTGAAGTTCAGGGGAAAAGTCTAGCCTAGAGACATAAATTTGAGTGTCATCAGCATATAGAAGGCATTTAAAGGTTAGGTCTGGATGAGACCACATAGAAAGTAAGTATAGATAGAGAATGAGAGATGACTAAAGATTGGGGTTGTCCAACATTTAAAAGTCAGGAAGATGAGGAAGAGCCATTAAAGGAGACCAAGAAGAAATGGCCAAACAGGCACGATGAGATCCAAGACAGTGATATCCTAGGAGCCAAGAGAAGAAAGTGTTTCAAGAAAGAGGATGTGATATACTATGTCAATTGCTGCTCAAAGTTGAGGAAAATAAGGTCTTAGAACTAACTTTGGGATTTGACAATGTGGAAGACATTGGGACCTTGACAAGGGCAGTCCGGTTGAAGTGGTAAGAATGAAAGTCTGATTGGAGTGGATTCAAGAGAGAATGGAGGAGAGGAAGTGGCAACAGTGAGCATAAGCAGCTGTTGAAGTTGTGTTGTAAAGGGGAACACAAAAATGGGTTGTAAGGAGATGCATGTCTGACAGACTTAGGTGTCTTAGAGGAGATATGAAAAAAAGTTCCCTGTAGTTACCTCTGAAAGACAGATTGAGTGGACCTTGGTATGGAGAGGATAGAGGAAAATTGTACTTTGCCCTTTATAACTTTATATGCTGTTTGATTTTTTTTCCCAATCAAGTTGCAGTACTCTTGTTCAGATGCAATCCTCACAAGGTTTAATATGTGAAAATACATACAAAGATAGAATATGGTATACATAGTACGTTTAGGTTAAACAAACAAAAAGCTATGCAGAGAAAAGACAGGAAGAAACTCATAAAGCCTTAAAAATAATATTATATGGTAGAAATAGAATGAGTTTTGGAATCTGGAAGTACTTGGGACTAAAATCTGGCTCGCATATACATCCCTTAATGTCTCTCACCCTTGGTTTCCTTTTTTGTAATATGTATATAAAAATACTACCATCATTAATGGTTAGTATGAGGTTTAAGTGGAATGACTTAAATGTTAAGTGCCTGAAAATTAGTAGGTTCTTGGGTCATTATATTATTCCTTCAAACTTTTTGTCTCTTTTAAAAGGGACAAAAATATTCATACATTACTAGTGTAATTAATTATTGAAAACGAACTGGGACAACTGTTGCTGAAATGTTAGCAGTGTTTGGTTCTAGGTGATGGGAATATAACTGATGGTTATTTTCCATTCAGTATAGTTTCTGTGTTTGTAGAAACAATAAGCCAAAATAAACAAAGAGTTCCTTTAAATAGAAACACCAGGTGATATGTATTTTTTCTGCCCAGTTTACTGACTTGTTGAACAGGAGAAGAAGGCAGATAGAAGGTATGGTAGGAGAGGAATGAAAGTTTACATGGTACCTACCATCGGCAAAATCAGGTGGAGAAAATGGAATGCATCAGAAAAATAAATTAATGAAAATGTGTTTTTATTTATAGATATCCTTTAAGGTTTCATCTGCTCCCTAAGTTGTACCTCAGCATGGACCTTTAGATTTGTAAGGAGGTTGGCTTGTAAAGTCTTAGTTTTTCTATTGTCTTTGTGTCATTATTTATAGAGTTCCCTTTCACTTTCAGAGGTGTCCTAGTTTGGAGGTTGAAGTATGTGATCCCCCTACTTAAAGGATGTGGAATGCTTAAAAGTTTTCAAAGGACTCAATAATGCTCTTGGATGGTTTTGCTCAAAGACTTGTGTTTTATGATGGGGAAAAGGATGGAAGGATATCAAGATCAACTTTCAGATGTAAAATTCTGAGATGAAGTCAAGAAAGATAAATAGCATTTGAGATGGGAAGAGACTCTACTGCAAAGTTTTCTGTCCTGGCTAAGTGGGCAGTATAACGTTGGGCTCTTCATATATACCAGGGGGAACAATATTAAGTGAAATACATTGCAATCTGTAAGGCACTATGCAAATGTAAGGTGCTTTCATGTGTATATGCTGTTCCATTTGAGTCTCACTATAGTCTCTAGTGGGTTTTAAAAAAATAGATCTAGAAATTGCTAGTAATTGATCAATCTGGGAATAAAACCCAGATTTCATGCTGTTTTAATTGGAACACTCATCTGGAACCTTCTCCACACTCTCTGGGCAGGGCTTTTTCTGACTACCACAAAAACTGAGTTCAGTTGGCTTCCTGGAGTGAACTGCATGGTTACTTTTCAGGAGATGAAATTATCTTCACTACATTAAGTGCCTTTGCTATGTAAGGTATTGACAAGATGGTGTAGAGTTTTGGACTGAAAACGCTTGTCCATTTCTAAGATGGAATATTAGGTGGTTGACAACTGTTAGATTTGGGTATGTGCCATTTATCTTGACATTGGACATTCCATTCCTTCCTCTTTCCCTCTGAAAGCTCAATAAAGCAAAGGGAAGGGAATCTGTGGACAGAACTTCAAGGACTTGACCTGATACTAGTTGAGGCTCTTGTTTGGTACTTTACTCACATACCAGCCTCTAAATTAAGGATTCAAGTATGGAATTTAAGAATTGAAAAAAAATAAGAGCTTATAGCTAATCACTCTTTCAACTCTTTTTCTGAGTGCACAACCTTTGGAGAAAAGTCTTATCATTATAAGTAATGCTTTTATCTCAATGCCAAGTGGTATTTCATTTTGACCTAGGAATCTAGGATATACATTTCTTTTGGAAAAGTGTTAGCATTTTGTGCTGCTGAATTAAATCACTCATGATAAAGGAAACCCCCAGTGCAGTTCTTCCCTGCTACCCTAAAACCATATCAAGACCCCACATATCTGAGAGAAGGAAATTGTACCTTAAGGCTTAACACAGAAGTCATGAAGACTGGTTTCCATTAGAGCTGGGCTGTCAGCAGCCTCCAAATTAAAACTGTTGGAAATGTTGAAATTTGAAGTTCAGTGTTAACATGAAGGGGGTTCACACACTACTGTTCTAAGGGCTAATCTTTAGTGATAGATGCAGAGACAGGAGATTCAAGTGTTCTTAGGAAAACCCAAGCGTTCTTCCATCCTAAGCCTTTCTGGCTTTCATTTTAACGTCAACCAGTCATTGCCAAGACTATGTCTGAAAGGACTAATTCTAGCTATTTCAAAGGGTCTTCTTTGTCTAATGTTCTTAGAAAATCATGTAATATTCTATTATGTGATATTTTAGATATACCATAATGACTACAGATATCAGTGATCCTCATTTTCCCCCTAGTTAATGTCAACATGGACTTGTGGAAAGAAAGCTCATAAAGCTGGAAGGCAATCCTCACTATAGTGATTTAAATTATTATTATTATTTTGAGATGGAGTCTCGCTCTGTTGCCCAGGCTGGAGTGCAGTGGCATGGTCTCGGCTCACTGCAGCCTCTGCCTCCAGGTTCAATTGATTCTCCTGCCTCAGCCTCCCAAGCGTCTGGGATTACAGGCGCTCGCCACTACATCCAGCTAATTTTTGTCTTTTTAGTAGAGATGGGGTTTCACCATGTTGGCCAGGCTGGTCTTGAACTCCTGACCTCAAGTGATCCTCTCGCCTCGGCCTCCCAAAGTGCTGGGATTACAGGTGTGAGCCACCATGCCCAGCCTACAGTGATTTAAATAAATATTACCACTAATTAGATAAGTTGTTTAAACTTTTGATGCTTCAATTGCCACATCTGTAAATGGAAATTCTAAGCAGTTTTCTATCTACCTTATTGGAATGTTTTCATGGTCAAATGGATAATTAGATGTCAGATCCTTTGAAAAACTAGAATCCTGATTATAGTAGAAACTTAGAATGCTCACCCATGTCTGGTTTATCTTAATGGGAAGATTCCTCTTCCTGATTCCCCTTGCAATTGAACAGGTCTTATGATTCTTGCTGGCCATCGAGTTGTGCTTGAACATGAGCCACTTTTGAGCCAGATCACTTAATTGCTTATGTGAGACCTGTTAGGACTCTCTTCCTCTGCTGTGGTGATTGTGGAAATGTTTAGAGTTGGGAATGTTTCACAGTTTAGAACTATCTGGAAGCTAAGATAACACATGGAAGATATTTATCCAGAAGAGGTGACTAGACCCACCGTAGGCTTTGAGGAAGCAAGAAATAGACCAATATATCAGTCTCCTCTTATCCATGGTTTCACTTTCCAAGGTTTCGATTACCTACGGTCAGCCTCAGTCTGAAAATATTAAATGGAAAATTCCAGAAATAAACAATTTATAAATGTTAAATTGTAGGCAGTTCTGAATAGTGTGACACAACCTCTCACTGTCACGAGTCATTTCTTTGTTCAGCTTTTGTACATGCTTTATATGCGACCTGCCTGTAGGCATCTTGGTTATCAGATCTACTGAGACCGTATTGCAGTGCTTGTGTTCAAGTTAACAGTAGCCTAACATTATGTCACAAAGCCTATGTCATTTACCTCATTCCATCTCATCATGTAGGCATTTTATCATCTCACATCATCACAAGAAAGTTGAGTATAGTACAATAAGATATTTTGAGAGAGCCCATATTCACATAACTTTTATTACAGTGTATTGTTATACTTGTTCTATTTAATTATTGCTTTAAATATTTTATTGTGCCTAATTTCTAAATTAAACTTTATCATAGGTATGTATCTATAGGACAAAACATAGTATATGTAGGGTTTGGTACTATCTGCAGTTCCAGGCATCCAGTGAGCATCTTGGAATGTCTCTGACAAAGAGAGGGGAGATCTACTGTACTGTGTCAGATCACTGAGATTGAGGGGTTGTTATGGCAGCAGAACCTAGCTTAACCATACTGCTGTAGGTATAAAGAATTCTTAAAATTGTTAATTGTGATTATTAGTGAGATATCTCCTAACCCTCTGCTAATATTTACTACTAATTTGCTGTTGTGCCATTTTCTGACACCTATTCGATTTGAATCTGACCACTTTGACCCTTTTCTCATCCCCCCACACCCAAGAATCTCTCGTGTCCTGGAAGTAACCTGAAGGAAGGAACTGTATTAGCAGTTATGACATGTTGGCAGTTACAACATAAAAGGATGGAAGCTAAATTCAAGAAGTACTGTGCCTGACATATAATGGGCACTCAGCAAACATTTGTTGACAATAGGAAGAGAAATTGGATGAGATGTGGCTGCTACCAGTGATTTCATGTGGCAAAATCTAATAAATGTTTAGTTCTCATCTTCCTTGACCTTGTAAACAGGGTTTGGAGCTTTTCACCACTCTCTCTTTCTCAAAACTCTTTGATCCTTGGCTTCCTGGACATCAGAAGCTTCTAGTTTCCCCCCTATCCTAGTAGCCACTGCTTGGTCTCCTTTGCAGAATCCCCGTCTTCCTAATATCTAAATACTCTAGTGCCCTAGAGCTCAGTCTTTGGGCCCCTTCTTGTTTATTTGAATCTCTCAGTCTTGTCTGCTGTTTTATTATTGAGTGATTTCCTTTTATTGATTTATACATTCTCTTTTTTATGGAGAGTAGTAACCCTCAGTCTATCCTACATTGCTGATAATTTTCCTCATTTGTTATTAGATTTTTACTTTATAGTTTTTAATATACTACATATTTACTATATTTATAGTTTTTCATAGACAATGTACATTTTTATATAATCATATATGTCATTCATCTTTTTTTTTTTTTGAGACTTTTTGAGTCTCCCTCTGTCGCTCAGGCAAGAGTGAAGTGGTTTGATCTTGGCTCACTGATATCTCTGCCTCCCGGGTTCAAGTGATTCTCGTGCCTCAGCCCCCTGAGTAGCTGGGGCTACAGGCGAGCACCACCATGCCTAGCTAATTTTTATATTTTTAGTAGAGATGGGGTTTCGCCATGTTAGTCAGGCTGGTCTCAAACTCTGGATCTCAAGTGATCAGTCCACCTTAGCCTCCCAAAGTGCTGGGTTAAGGCTTTTGGAATTAGTGTGGCATTTTGGGGATTTGTCAATGTGTGAAGTGGTTATGCTTAATATATGTACCTGGTCTGTATATTAAGGCCACTTTCCTTTGTATAGCAGGACCTTGTTGCTCATCTGTCATTTTTGTCCATGTTCTTTGGGTTATGTAGCTATATGGTGAGGGGTCAAGTTGTTCCAATTTAGTCTTGCCAAATTATCCTTGTTATTATAATAATCATCTATTGCTATGTAACAAAGTACTCCAAAATTTAGTGTTGTAAAGCACCAATAATCATTTATTATCTTTCATGGTTTCTCTGAATTCAGGAATTCAGAAGTGGCTTGGCTGGGCAGTTCTGGATTAGGGTCTCTCACCAGGTTGTAGTCACGTCTAGGCTAGGGCTGTGGTCATCTGAAGGCTGGAGGATTTATTTCTAAGCTGGCAGTTGGTGTTAGCAAATTGGTCCTTCTCCATGTGGATCTCTTTGAGTGTCCTCATGATGTGGTGCTTGGCTTTCCCCAGAGCAAGTAATCCAAGAGACCAAGACAGAAACTCCAATGTCTTTTATGACAGCCTCAAAGTTCCAGTCATCATTTCCACCTCATTCTATTGGCTGCATAAGAGACTAGCCAGGCTTCAGTGTGTGTGCTGGGGCTGGGGCGGCTACATAGCTGTGACTACCAGGGGGTGCAGTCTCTGGGGACCACCACTACCGAGGCTGGGTACCATGGTAACCAAAGAGCACTTTTTATTTGAGATGTTTTCTTGGGTTTGATATATACTTTTAAACTGAGAATACAGGAATGCCAACTGATAAATACTGGATTTTTACAAAGCACAGTTAACTTTACATTCTGTTAAGCAGAAAGAAAATGCATGAGTTTTTGCAGACTATTTGCTCGAGTAAGGCTCTCAGGGCAGAGGACACTTGAGATTGCCTTGATGCAGTTCCTTCTGGTACACTTTTTGGGGCTAATATTGTTCTTGATTTTCTGCATCCTCCATCTGTCTCTGAATCCAAATATTTTGAAGAAAACAAATCAGAGGGAGGCAAGAAAATGTTCAAGACAGAGTAGAAATAGCTGCTAATAACAGCAATAACTACTTTATTTCTTGAGTGCTTGCTATGTGCCAGATATGTCTCAGACCTTTTACATAAGTGATATGTTACTTAGCTCTTCCACTGACCCCATTTTAACTATGACAAAACTGATTCTCGGAGTAATTTATTCAAGATCATGTAGTGAATGGTTGGGCTGAAATTTGAACCCAGGTCTGTCTGTTTCTAAAGGCTGTGGTTAATCTACTGCCTCTCACTGTATCCCATTAATATAAACACACAAACACAATGTTTGGGCATCAGAAAGTTGAAAAGCGGTAGAGTTGTGTATTACCTGGAAGGATCTGTCAAAGGTAAAAAATGCAGGAAAATGTAATCCCAGATACAAAAATACTCTGAAACTGAAAAGTGCTTTATAAATGTAAGGTGGCAGTGTTCTTAATATTATTCAGCTCAGAGAAGTAAGAAAATGAATCATGTATAATTCCTTTATTTCTTTTCACTCAGATTATCGCGGAACACCTGCCCATTAATCTTGACCCTGTTAAAACAATAACTGCCTATCCAGGTAATACATTGGAGTTAATGTGTAATTAAAGAAAATTATTATCACTTGGCTATGAAATGGGAATGGCAATATTTCAAGTTAATATGTATTTTAGACCAATAAATGTTTTAGTTTAAAAAAACTCTGCTGAAATGTACAATTTACAAAGATATCAAACCATCAGTTTAAAATTAAAGCGTAAGAAGCTTTATGTCTGTAAATGTGTTTTGTTGTAATGTCAATATGATATCATAATTGTCTTCCACACGAAGACATTGTCTTTCTGACAACCACTGTTTAAAGAAAATAGACCTTGGGAATGGGGAAAGTACATTTCTCTTGGATTTTCCTGTCTTTTGACATGTACCTTTGTGACGTGAACACATTAACGATGAACTCAGTTGACGGTCTTGAGGGTGAGGGATGATATGTAGCCTTCATTACATTGCCTTGGCTCCGGGCCCGTAGGCACCAGCAGCAAGAGCTTTGATTTCATTTTAAAAGGAGTTAGAAGAATGTGAAGAAGGTCATGGCCATCAATCTGTTATCACTCTGCTAGATAGGATCTCTTTAAGGAGGAGCATGAAACATATTCTAAAAGCTCCAGTGAAGGCCCCCAAATGGCGATGTTCATCCTACCGCTTCCTAGTGAAAGTGTGCAATCTCTGAAACAGAGCTCACAAGCACTGAACAACAACAAATAGTCTAAGGAAATGCTTTCATTTTAAATTGTCCCAGCTAGAGCCAGCATATATAGACAGTAGGTATAGTGAGGCATGTGGATGAAAGCAAAAAAAAAAATTTTGCACTCCTGTTAGCTTTATTAAATGTACATTATTGTGAGTGGGTCAGTAGCCATCCTACTGCAGAGAAAAGGAATGGAGACTGAAGTTAAATGTTCTGCTTAAGGCTACTTATTGATTGGAAGGCAGGGTATAGTCTTGGGGAGCCCTGAGCTCCTAGAATGCACCTCTGCTGTCACAAGCTATAGCCATGTGGTCTGTGAATATTATGTCCTTTGTTTTATTTCTTTTGTTTCATTTTTAAGGATATTTTAGAAGAGAAATTTACAGTACTTAGAATTTTGAGTTCTCCAATATAGGATTTAGTTTTGTGAAATGTCATCTAACTTTTAGGGACATGCATGTATATACACATATATATATATGTGTATATATATGTGTATATATATATGTGTATATATATATGTGTGTGTGTGTATATATATATATATATATATATTTTTTTTTTTTTTTTTTTGAGATGGAGTCTTGCTATCTCCCAGGCTGGAGTGCAGTGGCGCGATCTCGGCTCACTGCAAGCTTCGCCTCCCAGGTTCATGCCATTCTCCTGCCTCAGCCTCCCAAGTAGCTGGGACTACAGGCGCCCGCCACCACACATGCCTAATTTTTTTGTATTTTTAGTAGAGACGGGGTTTCACCGGGTTAGCCAGGATGGTCTCTATCTCCTGACCTCATGATCCGCCCGCCTCAGCCTCCCAAAGTGCTGGGATTACAGGCATGAGTCACGGCGCCTGGCTGCATATATATTTTTACATAATTAAAATTCTGATGCACGTCCAAATATGTGTTCTATTTATCATTATTAATATAAACATTTTTTGCTACTATGCTACAAAGTCTTTTTTTTTTTTTTTTTTTTTGTGAGACAGCGTCTTGCTCTGTCACCCAGCCTGGAGTGGGCAGTGGCGTGATCTCGGCTCATTGCAACCTCTACCTCCCAAGATCAGGTGATCCGCCTGCCTCAGCTTCCCAAGTAACTGGGACTACAGGTGTGCACCACCATACCTGGCTAATTTTTGTATTTTCAGTAGAGACAGGGTTTCACCATGTTGGCCAGGCTGGTCTCAAACTCCTAACCTCAAGTGATCCACCTGCTTTAGCCTCCCAAAGTGCTGCGATTACAGGTATGAGCGACCCCGCCTGGCAAAGTCTTAATGATATTTCAAGGTGGCATCATAGTTCATTAAGTTGATATGTCATAATTTAACAATTCCCATCCCATTGGACATATAGGTTGTTTCTAAAATTTCCTCTGCTGTAGATGACATGATACTAGTTTTCTTCATGAAGATAGCTTTTTTATTTCCTAAGGTATTGTTTTCTGAAGCTAAATTTTTTCAAGAGTGGATTTAGAGGGTCCAGTTCGCTTTTGTTTTTTATGCAATTCATCTTAATGGGTTTGCTTCCCTGAGGGATGGTGAGTGCTTTTTCTACTTTTTTATGTGATTAATTTTCAAAACTCTAATCTGCATTTAGGAGTTCACATAGAGCTGATTTGACTGACCAAATCTGATGATTGTTGCAGTCCCAGCAGAACACAGAATTCACCCCATTGGTTCAAATGAAGAGGATGTCATGAAGGGCTATAGTCACAGAAGTGTGTGCAGGGTTAAAGAGCAAACAAGGGACTCCAACAGTGGAAAGTCATGTCCAGCTCTGGGCTGAAGGGATGAGAGAGGAACATAGTGTTTCATGAGGGCTCATAGCCAGTCCTGGGCTGAAGGGGTGGTAGAAGGAAGTAATGTTCCATGAGCACTTAGAGCTGCAGCCACAGAGAAGCAGGACCTGCCGGGGCCAGGGCTGTGGAAGGACACAGCTTTCACCAGAGATGCTGCAGTGAAGCACCCAAGGATTGGAGGGAACACCTCAACCTCCTGTTCCTCTCTCCCTCCAGTCTCATGCTAGTGCCTCCCACTGACAGAACCCAACCAAAAGTCACCTGGCACAGGACCCTGGGTGGTGCTGCCTTCAGGAGTCACCCTCCTGGAGCACAGAGCAAGGCCAATAATGGATCCAGTGCTGGTGGAGGTGAAGGGGCAAATGGAAAAACCCCAAACGAGAAAGAAACAGACCAAAACAAACTATCACCATAATTGTGGAAGTTTGTTTCAGTAGCAGCACTAGGGACCCATTTAGTGGAATCTCAAGCATGGTTCATATTTCACACCCCTCTGGACTGCAGTCCAGAAAGGCCTTAAATATTGCATCCATTTTACCATGAAAACTGGGTCACAGTGGGAGAGCTGGGAGCTCCCGAAAGAGCACTCAGCACTGCCGAGATCGTGTCACAAGTCTGTGGGTGCTGTGCTTGCTCTGTGGCCATCTTTCTAGTCATCTTGTGTTAGCTCTGATTTTATTCTTTATAATAGCTGTTTCAGTTCTGCTCCAGCTCCTAACCCCACCCCTCCAGGTTTTGATGGAGGCATGTTTCTCATTTCTTTTTTTCTTTTTTTTAAAAATTATTATTTTTTCTTTTTCTTTTTTTTTATTATACTTTAAGTTCTAGGGTACATGTGCACAATGTGCAGGTTTGGTACATATGTATACATGTTCCATGTTGGTGTGCTGCACCCATTAACTCGTCATTTACATTAGTTATTCCTCCTAATGCTATCCCTCCCCCCTCCCCCCACCCCATGACAGGCCCTGGTGTGTGATGTCCCCCACCCTGTGTCCAAGTGTTCTCATTGTTCAATTCCCACCTGTGAGTGAGAGCATGTTTCTCATTTCAGTACATACTCAGGGCAGCTTGTCTGTGTAACCACATGGTCACCAGACAGCATTCCACAGGGCGGTTTCTCACTTTGGGGGCTGAGGGCCTCTGAACATTTATGGACTTTGGGGATTTGTGAGTCCTCTATACAGATTTTCACATGTTGCTTTTATTTGGATGGCAATAAAAATTTAAGATAGGCATATTCTGGATCATTTGGATGACTACCTTATAACTGAGTACTGTGACATGGTTTCCGTGTCTGCATCTACATTAGGTTTGTGTTCAAATTAGTGTCAAGCAGGACCACTTTCAATGTGGAGTGTTCTTAAGAAAAAATCACGGTAGATTTAGTTTGATCCCAGAGCACTGTTTACATTCAAAGAGCAAATGCCCACACAGAAGGCTGATGAAGAAAGGTTTCACAGTAGTTCCAGAAGGGAAGGTGGCAGGAGGATTCAGTCATCACATGGAACAGGAGTAAATGCTTGCTGAGCTCCAGAGAATCCATGCCACAGTGATCAGTACCATACAGCTCCTCATTTGGGCAGCAGTGTGGTTTCAGCAGAACATCATTCAGCATGTTAAATTAATCCTTTTAACTTAACTTGAATGCTATTGGCTTTATGGTTTTGGTTGTATTTATTTATGCATGTTCTGTGGTGTTGGTAGATGAAGGGTAGTATGTCTAAGGATTTTGGGCCTGGTTTTATGTTGATTGTTTTCTAAGTAACACCCTAATAATGATAATTAGAGTTAACATTATGGGAATTCAAGGGAAGATCTTTAAAAAAAGATCTGTACGTAACTAAAGTTGGACAATTACTACGCGGAGGAAAGGGCACTGAACTGATAATTTTGGCCTTTGTGTCCTCTTCATGAGAAAAGGAAAGAAAAGAGAAGGGAGGGAGGAAGAAAAGAACAATTTAAAAATGCTGTACACGCCTGTGATCCCAGCACTTTGGGAGGCCGAGGCAGGCAGATCACGAGGTCAAGAGATCGAGACCATCCTGGCCAACATGGTGAAACCCTGTCCCTACTAAAAATACAAAAATTAACCGGGCATGGTGGCACGCACCCCCAGCTACTCACTCGGGAGGCTGAGGCAGGAGAATCGCTTGAACCCAGGAGGCAGAGGTTGCAGTGAGCTGAGATTGCGCCACTGCACTCCAGCCTGGCCGACAGAGAGAGACTTCGTCTCTAAATACATACATAAATAATAATTTAAAAATGCTGTAAAAGACCACAGTTCTTCACCGCAAGAATTCGTGAAGTTTTGGATGATTTAGCAGCACATATTTAGGAAATGTAATACTCACCTGATGTTATCCAGGAAGGCCCCCCGGGCTCCTTTGCTGTATGCTTTTCTAGTTAAGGACCCACTCCTGTGGAATCCAAGGGCCATTCTTCCTATTTTTACTGTAACCAAACAGCATACTGAACTCTCATAGATATTTACTCACTCATTTTCTGAAGTACTAATTCCCTTTGTTGAAAATATTAAAGAATGTCTTGTCCTTTTAATTCCTCACTGCACTAACCCCTCCAAGAATATGGCTTATAAATACAACACTTCTTGGGGGATGCCAATATATAGTCCTTTCTGGGGCCGAGACCAACTACCTTGTAATTATCAATGACGGTTGTTCCACTGGGCAGAGAACATTATCTCCTCTTTGCATATAGCAGATAATTGTTATCAATGCTCAGGGCAATTATGTGCATGTGGAAAACCCACGTAAAGGTGTGTTTAGTGATAAGTGCGTGGTCTGTTTTTTTGGCAGGGGTTCTGAAACCCGTGATGTTAAGTGGGCATCACACGATACAACGAACAGGTGTGCATGCTGGAGTAGCTCAGCATTCTCAACTAGGGTTGTCCTCAGCAACCCACGAGAGTAGCATCACTTCTAACAGTCCTGAAGTTGCATTAGCCGGGCAACTATTAGCCGTTATTGCCACTGCTCACTAATCCCTCTAATGGAGTTCATCAGAAATAGAGCCCATGAAAATATTAGATAGTTCATAAATAATTTGGAACTGGCACTTAAATGTGTTATGCATTTTTTTTCCCCGGCCAACAGACCTTTCTACTTGCTTGCTTTAGGATTACGTAAAAAGGAGCCCGAATTCTACAAGTTAGGTTCCAATTGCAGTGTTGCTCATCCCCAACTCTTTTCCCACCTCCCGCTCCCTGTACCAACCCCACTGTCCAAGTTATCAGGGAATGTGATGAAGAAATGGCCACAAGAAGCTTCTGTAGGTCATTTTCCTACAGCCCAACATTCAGGTAGACCCAGGCTCAGCAACCAGGTTACAAAGAAGCCTTTGAAGGATGATCTTTCTGTGATTTATTATTTTCTAAGAAGCAAGTTGGTGTGGATCGATGTGGTCAGACTGCATCTAGCAGAAAAATTCCAGGAGGAAATTGGGTTCTCCCAGTCAAACAGAAACTTTTCATGTTGCCTCATTTCCGCCATCCCAAACCTCTGGATTGGTAAAACCCAGGAACTCAAACACATCTTACCTCCCAGTCAGTGCTGTAACGTCACAAATCACTAATCTCCAACCCTGTTTGCCAAAGTCAAACAACGCCTGGCCCCGACAAAGCCCTTCACAAACAAAGCCACACCTGGCCTGCAAGTTAGGATAAGTAGATTACTCTCTAGACACAGCTGAAAGTTTAAGCTGCCAAAACACTCTTTCCTCTTCCTGGAGGGTTTTTCTTTGCTCTAAGCCCCTCTTCCACCCAGGGAAGCCACCCTGCCTCCAGGGGCCATGGAATTCTCTGGAGAATTTAATTCTGTCAGGAAACAAGTCAACCTCTCCCCCATCACAAATGTGGAGGACAGGCTTGGCTGGAGTGGATTAGGTTAGGAGGGAAAGTGGTGAGGAAGTCCTGGCTTGAGGTCTTGGTGGATTAGGTCTATGATACCACTTTCTCCCACTGTGAATAAAGTTGGTATCCTAACCCCATTTCCAAAGAACTCAGGCATCTTCGAGTACCTTAACTCCAATCACTCTCTCTTGAATTATATGCTATTGTTGCCTGATATTTTAGTTCTGACTCCTTTTACCATCACAGTGTAAATATTTTTTGTTTTACAGAGACGTTTTAAAAATACTCATTTAAGATTACCTACCTATATACCAACTTTTCTAATCCTTGACATTCCTTATCTCCTCCTTCCTAAAGTAAGGTCTTTAGATATTCTTTTGAAGTTTTGTTGATAGTAAACTCCTCTGTTTTTGTGTATAAGAAAATATATTTCTTTCTCATTCTTAAAAAATTTCCTCATTGGGTGTTCTAGTTAAGACTTATTTTCTCCTACCACTTTGAAGATAACTACTGTCAGTTTATAAGTAAATAAGTACAACTGACCCTTGAACTTGAGAAGAGATGCTTAAACTCTTCATAATTAAACAAATGCAAGTGAAAATGAAAAGAAGATAACTACTATCTTCTGACTTCAGTGTGGCTGCTGAGAAATTAGCTGTCAGTCTAATTGCTGACCTCTTTTCTGGCTGCCTTCATAATATTGTGGTTGCTTTTGGTATTCTGTAGTATCATTTCAGTGTCTCTAGATGTGGAATATAGTTGACTCTCGGACAATGGTGGGCTTAGGGGTGCTGACCCCTCTGCATGGTTGAAAATCCATGTATGATTTCTAACTCCCCCAAAACTTAACTACTTAATAGCCTACTGTTGGCCAGAAGCCTTACCAATAAACAGTCAATGCATACTTATTTTGTATGTTATATGTATTATATGTTGTATTCTTACAATAAGGTGAGCCAGAGAAAAGAAAATGCTATTACAAAAATCATAAGGAAGAGAAAATATATTTACCATTGATAAAGTGAAAAGTACGGATAAAGGTCCTCATCCTTGTCATCTTTACATTGAGTCAGCTGAGGAGGAAAAGAAAGAGGAGGGGTGGGTCTTGCATCTCAAGGGTGGGAGAGGCAGAAGAAAATCCATGTATAAGTGTATCCACACAGTTCAAACCTGTGTCGTTCAAGGGTCAACCATGCTTTTGATTTCTTCTGCCTGGGATATAGGGTGTCTCTGCATCTTTGGATTGGTGTCTATCACCAGTTCTAGAGAAACCCTGGCCATTGTGTCACAAAATTACCTCTCCTCCATTCTCTATTCTCTCCTTCTAGGACGTCCATTAGACTTGTGTTCAACCTTTTTCTTCTGTGCTTCATGCCTCTTAATACCCTTTTAATAATTTCCATATCTTTATCTTTCTCTCTGTACTGCCTTCTGGTCATTTTTTTTTTTTTCATAAGCTTTGTCAGGTCAGTAATTCTCTATTCAGCTATATAAATCTGTGGTTTAATCCGTCCATTGAGTTTTCAGTTTTAATGATTTTATACTGTTGTTGTTTTGTAATTCTCTATGGCTAGTTTGCAAATCTTTCTGGTCATTTTCTTAAAGTCTCTTTTTGTTTGTTCATTTTAATATTTCATATTTTATTATATGAAATATTTTATATATAGTAATATTCTATGTCTGAGAATACTGGATATTTGGTAATTGAGGGTGTAATTCTGTTGTTTATCATTTATGCTCACTCTCATTTACATTGTTTTGTTTTCTTATGTTTTGAGAAATTATTTGTGTGAGCTTATATTTGATAAAATTTAACAGTATCGAGGGCTCAAACTGAGAACTTTCCTCCAGAGAAGATTGAAATTTCTTGTGTCCTGGAACTTGGGATCAGGACTGATCTGGGACTGCATTAGTAACCTTTAAGGATCTTGACTTATTGCCCAAGTCTCGGGTTCAGCTGCCCCACCATGGGAGGGTCCCAGCGCTCAGTCTCTGGTTCCAGAGGACTTAGCAGCACCTGCTCCCAGGGCTACCCTGACTTCTGTGTGTGCTTTCCACTTACTATTTTGATTTTATATTTCCTTCCTTTCCTCCCCTCTTCCTTGTATATATGTATGCATGTGTGTATCTATGTACTTTCTTGGGACATTTTCTTTAATTTTTTGGTGGTCATAAATGCATTATAAGATTGTTGTATTTCCCCAGGATCCTGTTATACTGTAGCAGGAAGACCTTGCAGAATATGTGCTAGGAGCAGAAAAATGGATCTCTTATAGAATACCCCCAGTTCCTTGTCTCCTTTCAGTTACAGCTAACTTGGGCCTAAGTGTCAAATGAGACCTGGAACTACTCTACTCTTGGTTTATGGGGTATAATGGTGCCCTAATACCCAGCACAATTTCACATTCTACCTATTAATCTTTTTTGTTGGACTGATCACCTTGAGGTCATTGGCCAGAGATGTGTCTTCAAAATATAGTACTGCATAGGTAAATGATGATTTTTTTTTTTAAAAAAGAAACAAATTAGACCCCATATTTGGTTATTCAACTCGTTTAAAAGATGTTTTCAGCTAACATATATCATTTACATGATTTCTTAAAAGAAAAAACATAACCTATTGCTTCTAAAATCTTTTTGTTTTTTCTTCTTGGAAATGATGTTGCCATCATTTGCTTCTTGAAAATCAAGCTTGAGTCTAATATTTCTTTTTGTACCTAGTCACATCTGTCATGTAACAAACTTTACTGGAATTGAATTGCATTTTCTAGATGGTTTGACAGAGACCTGGAAATGGCATTTAGGGATGTTCCATCAAATAGCATTTTAAATCTCCTGACAGGTCAGTCTTTAATTAGTAGAGCAGGTTATTTGGTTCAAATTATAGATCCAAATCATGGACTTTAGGGATACTTTCTGAAAACTGCTTCCTTGTTCTAGTTCTAATCATTGGCACTGCATTTGTTCCACATTACTGTTGAGCAGTTACTGTAATTAGATGAGAGAGTCTCACAAGGATGGAAGTTGGAGATAGAACTGGGTTTTATTTGGTGTTAATCAAGACAGTCTTTAGTGTTTTTGTCTCACCTGGATAGAGACTATTGAAAGAAATGTGTAAGGCACTAAGCATTTCCTAATGAATGGTGGTAAGAGGGTCTTTGAATGTGAACATTTCCTAAATTTTATCTCTCAAAAAATAACCTTACAAAACAAGTCAAAATTTCTTAGGGAAATTACAGAGCCTTTGTATCAACAAAATAGCAACAGGATGCATTGTAGAATGTTATGCATCTGTTCATTGCTCAGATGCATAAGGAATACCAGTAAAGAACATATCACCTACTTTTTCTTTGCTTTTGAGAGACTGCTCTATTTTTTATCTTGCCTAGTGTTCTGATCCCCTTGGTTGTAACCATAAGAAAATCTGATGAGAATTATGTAGGCCATCTGCCCTAACTTCACAAATGAGAGAAAAGGAGACTTTACCTGGGGAACCTCATCTCTTTTCTGATGAAAAATGATGAGTAACCCGTGATTGCTTGAAATACAATGTTGAATGGGTGAATAACAAAGGGCATGTGAGATTTGTGGGGTTGCTTGCATGCTTCCTAAAACTCAGCATATATGGCACATCCTTTAAACAGAAAAAGGTCCTCTGCTGGTTATCTGCCAGGGACATGCAAGGGAAGAATGACCAAAATCCATATGTTTAGGACAGTTCTTGAGAAAGTCATCTCCTATAGACTTTTAAGATGCTAATAAGAAAACAAATAAATTTAAGAGCTATAGCGGGTGAAGTTACTTAGGGTATAAATGATTTCGACAAGCTTGGGAATTTACAAAATATAGGAAGCAGGATGTTTCTTGAGAGTGTGGCCTAAAACACTTTGGACAAATGCCAGGCCTAGGCTAACCTCTGAATATGTGTCCCAACCCATACTTTAGGGAACCCCTCCTCAAACTCTCTATCTGAAAATCTCATCTTTGGGATGGATGCAGTGAACTCCTTCCTGCTGAAGTATAAATGACTAATAAGCTTTGTGGATTTCCTCCTCGTGGTTTATAACTGGAGATAATCTTTAAGTCAACGGAATGCAGCCTCAGTTGTGTACTAGCCAACTGTATCTCCTTGGAGGAAGTGGTGAGGAGTTCTAAGTGCTATTTAGAGTTATAATGCTTTTCCTGTGGTGTATGCAGCATTCCCAGCTGCTGGTGCTAAGATGAGGTAGGTAAGACTTATGGTGGACTTTATGCAGACTT
This sequence comes from Homo sapiens, assembly GCF_000001405.40. Classification (NCBI taxonomy): domain Eukaryota; kingdom Metazoa; phylum Chordata; class Mammalia; order Primates; family Hominidae; genus Homo; species Homo sapiens. Next base: position 149,129,755 of record NC_000002.12, read on the forward strand.
CTTGATGGGGCTTTGTAGGCAGAGCAGAGAGCCTGTGTAACTCATCTTTGTATTGTTCATTTCTAATTCAATGCCTGGTGCAAGATAGAAACTCTGTAAGTATTGGCTGTTGAATGGAGGTCAGCCTGGGACCTGCCAACAAGGCGTGGTGTCTGGGAAGGAAGAAGGAGGAGGTATATACGCAGGTGCCTGGACTTCTGCTTCCACTTCATCCCAGGTCCTCACCTTTCGTCCAGGAGCCTGGGTACTGCAGGCTTTGTGCTCCAGTTAAGTGGGTACACCCGCCTCTTTCTGGTAGGCCCCTAAGAGGCCAACTTGACCAGAACGCTGAACGGCAGCTTTTCTCCCTCCAACTCTTAAGTCTCTGTGATTTTCTGAGCCTTGGATTCATCAGGGCACAGAAGGAAGATTTGTTCCCCCATGAGGCTGTTGCTGAGGACAGTTTGTGCCAATCTACTGATCTGTCCCCCAGCCTTTGCTCTTAAAATGGCAAATTTCCAGATGTATGACGTTTTTATTATTCTAGGGGAAAAAGCTCTTTAAATGCCTTTTGAAGGGGAGGAGAAGAGAAGTCGCTAGTTTAATTTGGACAGAGTGGTTTGGCTTGGGTCCTATAGCCATATCATAATGAGTCTTTATTTAGGCACACATCCATGGAGTAATTAATCCAGGAGGGGCAAAAGCTAGTTTTTTATCTTAGGTACCTGACAAATTCTGTTTTATACCTGGAGGTAAAGTTGAAGATGCATGTTCACAACCAAAAACTTCTGCATCTAAAAGAGGGTATTAGGCCTTGTCCCACTAACTTACAGCAGAGCTGGATTAAGTGATTTTCTGTGACTGGGGAAAGGAGTGTTGACTGCATTCTCCTTCCTAATTCTTGCAGACACTAAAAATGTGTATCCATTCCATCTATGTCCTGCCAAATCTTTCTACCCAAGGACAAGAGGCCACTGTACAAAATCTGGTCTTTCTTGTACCTGGTTTGTGGTTAGGAAAGGTTATTGAGCCTAAGGATCTCTTTATGATGTGTCCCCAGCCTAAAACCCCCTACTTACTTAAAATCCCTTTATCCCAAATGTCTATAATATCAGTCATAATGATACCTTTTCATGTTCATTTGTTTAGATATGCCACACTTCTGCCTGCTGTTGGCAACCCTCCTGGACTAGGCTGCTCTTGTTAATCACATGGATGTTGTGAGTATTATATTCACAAGTGGATGTAGAGAAGATATTTTTATTTAACTATAAATGCTTACCACATGAGCTACTCATGCTTCGCAAAAATATATTAAACATTTGTGATCTGGAGTTTCATTAATCTCAGGGATTATGCTGCTTGTTCATTGGTTAAATAATGTGGTTTCAGTATCTTCCCCTAATCATATTGACTTTTTATGAAAGAACTTTTGACACAAAGCTGTGTCTCAGAATGTTTTGATGTAAAGGTAGCTGCTGATCTTAATTTGCAATTGTGGATTCATTTCATCTTGTATGCTTTTATGTTATAGGTTCCTTAAGGTTGCCAGCATGAAAGTGCTTCAGATGGCTTTGAGTCCTAATCTTGTGGTTCTGTTCACTGAAGATAAGCAGCAATTTTTTGATTATTTTATTTTCCTATGGATTGCCAATAGGTCTAAATAACCTCCTTAGTTGTACTGGCAGGACCAAGTAAAAAGACAAGGGATGAAAAGGAGGGAAGGAAAAAAAGGAAAGAAAGAGAGAAAGAGCGAGGAAATATGAGAAAGAAAAAGAGGAGGGAAAGAGGAAAGAGAGAATTGTCTTGGGAAGGTGATATAGGCCACTAATTACTTTAGAGCTGCAAGCCTCCTGCACAATAATTTATTTGTAAGAAAGGGCCCATCTTCAGAATCCCAAAAGAAAGTATATACGTGGACCTGTGTGGTTGGTCAGCACCACTTCTCTCCTCCCTAAGTTTAATGATCAAAGGATGGAAAAGCTGTCAGATCCCTTCCTGGATCTTAAGTCAGTCTCTTGTGTGACTGACTTGAAGAGTCACAATGAAAATTTCCAAACATAAAGCAAAGGACATCTGACCAGCAAAGTCTTTGGGAGCTAAAACAGAATGAGAGGCTAGAAAGAATTGATGATGAAAATACTTCTGTCAAAGAGAGAAGCATCTTAGAAAAGTCCACAGAACCACAGAATCTTAGACAGCACTCTCAGGTGATCATTTTAGTCTTGTCATTTGTGCTTTATTTATGGAGAAACTGAGACCGGGAGAGGGGAAAAGACATGCCAAAGCTAACACAGTATGGGGCTGAGCAAAGCCATGCATCCTGGGTCCATGCTCCCTTTTTTAAAAGAAACACTCATAGGCAAGTCAGGGCTGGTTGCATAGAATCAAATGAAATAGGGCAGACAGAATTTATTTCATTGAATGCTTAAAGAAGAGCCGTGCCTAGAATGAAGTTTATTTTTTTGAGGTTTTGAAAATGTAAATTTTCCAGGGCCATGCCAGATTCCCTGTGTGCAACAAATAGAAGCAGCATTCTAGATGGAACCCAGGGAGCCTGGGACAGATTTACAAAGGGTTCATGTAGAAATGGACTCACCTTTCATGTACCATGATTTGGTTTCGGTTTGGGCAAAAGGAAAGGGACATAGAAAAGTACATAGGTTAATGACAAGTGGAACATGATTGCTTAGGCCCTTTCTCTAGGAAAGGGGTTAGATGCAGCTCGATTTCTCAATCTCTGGCAGCTCTAGTGGGTGTGGGGCCAAAGCCCAACATTTTGGCTCCCTCTCCTTTTCTGCAGATGGAAGTGAAATGAACTCATTGGCAGCTACACACCGAGAAGGAGAAAGGCTTTGAAGCCTTTTTAGTGCTACTTAGCAAGGAGATGTACTGCTAAAGACTGGGGACAACTTATTTCCATTTTACAGATGTGCAGTTTGTTAACTGTGCTTGGCCCTGCCCCATTAAATTAGCTTTCCACTCTTGGTAGCTTGTTGAATGAATTGCTAGGGCTCTGCTTCATTGCTGCTTGGCAGGCAGTTTAGTAGAACACTTTGGTAGCAAGCACCAACACAGAATTCTGAGACTTAGATTGTTTCAAAGTCTGTCCAAAGCCCTCAGTTTCTGAGAACTGATGCTATTATTTATTTACTTATTTAAAAATTTTTTTCTATGGTGCATTTCATTGTAGCAACAGACCAAGAACAATTATGGATCAGGAACTGTAGTACTTATTTAATTATATTTCAGAGTTTTGTTTTTACTAGGTTCTAGATCTCCAGTGAATTATGTGGCCCACAGCCTCTCATTTCTATGTGCATCTGGGTTGCTTCCTCTTTAGCCAGACTTAAGATTTAAAGGGTCCCACAGACTCATATTCAGGAAATTGAATGTCTTTGGCTAGAGCGATTCTAAACTGCAAAGTAGTCTTGGGAAACTGGGCCTCTGTAGTCAGTTTAATGAGGTACTAAAACCCAGGAAAGGTACTAAGGCTCTGTGGTCAGTTTAATGAGGTACTAAGACCCAGGAAAAGTACTAAGCCTCTGTGGTTAGTTTAATGAGATACTAAGACCCAGGAAAGTTACTAAGACCCAGTGGTTATCAATAAAACAATATATTCATTAGTATAGTTTCATTGATAATTAGTGGATCTTAGTACCTTTCCTTCCTCCCTGTCCTTTGACTTTAGGTGCTGGAAAGGGAGGCAGTGTAGCCAGAGTAAATCTGTTTCACTTCAAGATCACAACTAGGCATTGGTATTGATTTCTCCTCCCTTTGGGAATATCTTAGAGAACAGTCTTGGGAACCATGAAGAGCTGGGCATCTTTCAAGAGTATCAGAACCACTAAGTCGAAATACATTCACATGTCGGCTTGTAAGGTATAATCCTAGATGTATTACTGCAAGATTAGCAGAACTTCTTGGCACTTGCTTCAGTTGGCTTTGACTTTTTGTAGAGTGCTTTTCTCTGCTAGAATCAGGGAGAAGGGAAGGTGAGAGAATGTTCTTTCTACCTTCATTCAGTGTACTTCAGTGTCAGTATGGAGATACACAGGAGAATGTGTGTGAGCTAAAAGAGTGAAATAAAGAAAATCCATTTAGCAAATATTTATTGAATGCCTTCTTGGTGCCAGATGCTGTAGTTACAGCAGTGAACAAGCCATGGTTCCTGTTCTCTGGGGATATGTTATATTGAGGGGAGAGGAAAGACCAACAAGCAATATATTTCTAGTGGTGGCAAGTGCTATGCGAAAACAAATAAATGAAGGAAGGAAGGTTAGGAAGAAGGAAGGAAGAGTAAGCAAAGCAAGCCAGCAGGGAAGGGGGCTGGGGAATGCTGGCGGTATTATTTTATGAAGTGTCGTTCTGAGAAGGGGACGTACAGCGGAGACCTGAAGAAAGGAGAGAGAGAGAGCCCCATGTACTTGAGCTGGAGAAGGATCAGGCAGAGGGCTTAGTGGGATGGAGTCAGCTTATCCCTATGCTCTTCTCTGCAGTCACATCTTACTACCTTGGCTGCTTCTGATTTACAAGTTGGCTATTCTCATTTTAACCATAGTTTTATGAGGTGGCTGCTATAGAATTATGCCTAGATTGTACTTTATTAAAGCAGTTGTTGTTGTTGTCAAGCACCAAATTCATTATATTTCGATTACATGGAATTCTGATTTTTTAGAAAGCCACAGAAAAGACTCCAGCCTACTAAACTCTTTATCGCTTCTAAGGTATCTGTAGGCCTGGAAAACTATTCCTTGGGGGATGGGAATGCTTATATAAATGTAGAGTTGTTTTACTGCCCCTGCAATTCAGATCGCTAGAGAGTATTCATCTGAAATAAAAGTAGGTTTGCTTAAGATAGATTTGAATCAATGATATAACTTGAAGTTATGCCAACAACCCCATTCTCTCACAGTATATGATGTGGCAGAGGGAAAAGTTGGTATGGGAGGAGGCAAAGGAATGCAAGAGCTTTGCATTAGCCAAATTTGGAAGCAAGCCAGGATCCATCCTGAGACCACGTAGTCAATCTGGGTTGTCAATCACTGTCTACCAGCCCAGGGCTACTTGATCAAGATCTTTGGAACTGGTGTGCTGGAACAAAGAGTAGCGAGGCATGCAAGGTTAAGAGCATGCTATATTCATAAAATAATATTTTAAAACCAAAGTTATCTTAGAATCATGGGAAATATTTAAAGCAACCATCAACTCTTTGAAGATTATTTGTAGGGCCGGGCACAGTGGCTTATGCCTGTAATCCCAGCACTTTGGGAGGCTGAGGCAGGTGGATCACTTGAGGTCAGGAGTTCAAGACCAGCCTGGCCGACATGATGAAACCCCATCTCTACTAAAAATACAAAAATTAGCCGGGTGTGGTGAGGCACGCCTGTAATCCTAGCTACTTAGGAGGCTGAGACACAACAATTGCTTGAACCCGGGAGACGGAGGTTGTAGTGAGCCAAGATTGTTCCACTGCTCTCCAGCCTGGGTGACAGAGCAAGACTCTGTCTCAAATTAAAAAAAAAAAAAAAAATAGATTACTTGCAGTTGTGTCTGATTTTCCCAGGGTCCCTTTGTAATGTCAATTGTAAACTATTTTTTTTGTAAGTTTTGAGAATTCCTTTAGGTTAAAAGGATATTGTTTAATGAGCTTTGTGTGCATATTTAAATATGTGTATGTATGAATAAAGAAATGTGTATTTTTGGCCAGGCACGGTGACTCACGCTTGTAACCCCAGCACTTTGGAAGGCCAAGGCGGGTGGATCACCTGAGGTCAGGAGTTCGAGACCAGCCTGGCCAACATGGTGAAACCCCATCTCTACTAAAAATACAAAAATAAGCCAGGGGTGGTGGCAGGCACCGGTAATCCCAGCTACTCAGGAGGCTGAGGCAGGAGAATCGCTTGAACCTGGGAGGCGGAGCCTGCTGTGAGCCAAGATCATGCCACTGCACTCCAGCCTGGGCAACAGAGGGAGACCATGTCTCAAAAAAAAAAAAAAAAAAAAAAAAAAAGTGTGTTTTTTTCCAAACTATTTCTGTGGAGGTCTAAAATATTTTTAAAGAAAGAATTAAGAAGCCTCAGAAGTCAATGAGAGATACTTTATTAAGAACCAGAGCTGATACCTTATGTCACATTAAGGGGACATTTTCCTTGATTCTCCCTGCCATCCCTCCCCATGCCAGGCTGGGAGTGGTACTCTTTCTTTGTGTTCCCAGAGTATCCCATGAATGCCTAATCATAGTCATCGCTACCTGCTAATTCATATCTTTCCATGGCTTTCTGGAGGGCTGACACTGTGTCCTTGAGCTTAAAATTACCAGCAGTTTGCATGGGGGCTGACATGTAATAGCGGCTCCATATATGTTTATTGAATACCTAGAAGAATGAATTAGTTATTAAGATTTATATCTTATTCAGAACATTCTGGCAACCAAAGCAAAAAGAAAAATGTATTAGTTTCACTGTTTCCTATGCATTTAAGTCTAAACAGAGCATTACTTCAGAAGTTACATTTTTCTCCCCTTGGTGCTAAGTGCCTGAAAGTATTTATCTGATGAAACAGTGAGTTTCATAAGAAGCATTATTTTCAATATTTCATAAGCTACCAGTGCCCTGGACTAAATGAAAGAATTACCGTGGCTTTTGGTAGAAGCTTACAGCCAGAGGCCAACTCCAGCATCCAGAGACTCCGAGTCTTCATTAGCTTCTTAGGAGATTCGCTGTTACAACGCCTCATTCCCAGATGGCAGTGGGTCACCAGCCATCTTATTTTATGCCACTGGATTTTATTTTCATGATTGCAACTCTCTAATAGATATTCTACTGAAAGATTTTACTGTGTTCATAGGCTGAAGCATTAAGTGAAGTGTGTGATTTAAGGAAAAACACCCAATAGAAAACAAATTGTAAGGGTGTTGCAGTTAGTTTAGAAGGATATGGCTCCTCCAAATTCTGCAGAGGCATTTGTCCTTGCTGACTTATAAGCTTTGTGAGAAAATAATTATTTCGTGAAAAAAATGTGAATACTGGTCAAAGTAAGCTAATGAATATTGGCCTAATTAAAAAATGTTTTTAGGCAGCTTATTCTATGAAGAGGGAACAGTGCTAAGGAGTACAAAGATGTAGTTGCTGAAGGAAAGAAGATTGATTGGTTTTTGCTCTGTATATATGGGCCAAGATAGAGAAAGAGGACAGAGAGGAAAATTAAAAATCCTTTGATCCAGCAACAATAATTCTTCATTTAAATGTTTTGGATGGATGCATTTCCTTTTAAGTTGGATAATAAATTAGTAGAGAAAGGCAATGAGTAGTTGTGTTCTGAATCCCAAGGCAGTCTAAGGAGAGTGAAGGCAGCAGACATTTATTGAGCATCTGCTATTTTCTAGGCATTGTGTAAAGGACTTTAGGTATTGTTTTTCTTTGAACTCTTATAGTAATCCTGTGAGTCAAAGAGGGGGAACTGGATGAGTGAGGTTAATTAAATTGTTAAGATCATGCAGTTAGTGTATATATCAAAGCCATGATTGAATCCACTTAAGTGTGTTCCAAAGCTCAGGCTGTTATTATTTTATTTTTAAGATACTCCAGTGGTTTCCCATTTACAAGTAAGGGACCCACAGGAGCTTCAGAGAGATTGCAAAGGGTTCATTTAAGGGTATATCTGGCTTATCTATGCATAAGAAAATATGTGTCTCTGAAATTATATGTACATCTCTATTTCAAAAACATGTAGGCATTTCAAAATTTACCAATTAAAATTTTATTCAAAAACATTTTGTCTGGAATATAAATTCAACAAGAGCAGAGATTTTTGTATATTTTATGTGATACAACTCATGTGCTTAGAACCATGCTCAGCATAGCAGATGCTCAATAAATATTTGTGCATACAAGAGTGAAACAATCATTATAGTTCTTTAAATATGCCAGGGCTTATTTAATCAAATTTTTGTTAGTAGACATTTAGATTGTTTTCATTTTTTCTTTCATAAACAACACATCTGTACTATAAATAAGTCTCTATACATATAACTTTGCACCTTACAAATAAATATTCTATTATTTCATTATAATAGATTGCTGGAAGTAAACTTGCTGGGTCAAAGGAATACATATTTTAAATTTTAATACAATCTTTCTGGGGCAATTTGGTATGATGTATCAATGCCATTACCTGTAGTGCCATATAAAATTATCTGTTTCACATCCACCTGGCTGACATTAGGAGTTAATCTTTTCACTCTTTATAAAGTATCATTAAATTCCAAGATTCAGAAGGCTTATTGCTTCCTCCAAGTTTCTATTTATCCTTCTTATAAGCTAGAGTAATATCCTGTGGCTTCTTTCCTCCTGAGTTGAAGGAGTTTGTGTGATGACATTTTTCAATGAAATTACTTTTTTAAAAAACACAAATTATGTTCTCTTTTCTACTCTCTGAACTCCTGTTTGAATATATGGATTCAGACTCTTGTCATTGGTAAATATGAACCTAGGGAGGGAAAGGAAGTCTGGAATTAGTTGCACATTATTAGCAGGTGGAATCTGACCACTTGCTGAGAAACAATTTATGTATTGCTGTACTCCATGTGATTTCTTGTTCCAGGCCCAACCAGTTTGAATGAATGTGACTCCATAGTATGTTCATGTTGGCTGTTAAAGATGTAGAGAAGGAGCTACTGACTTTTATCTTTGCCACATAAGCAGGTGCAGATGTGGATGGGAAAATCCATGTGTGACCAACAGATCTTTCCACCTAGCAAATAAAGAAAAGAGCACTGGCCTTTTGCATGGGTTTTCAGCAGAGGAGGTTTTCTTTTTTTAAGTAGACACAGGGTCTTGCTCTGTCACCCAGGCTGGAGTGCAGTGGTATGATTATAGCTCACTGTATCATCGAACTCCTGGGCTCAAGCAATCCTGTCACCTCAGGCTCCCAAGTGGCTAAGACTATAGGTATGTGTACCACACTCGGCCCATTTTTAATATTTTTGTAGAGACAGAGCCTTGCTATATTACCCAGGCTAGTCTTGAACTCCTGAACTCCTGCCTCAAGCAATCCTCCTACCTTGGCCTCCCAAAGTGCTAGGATTACACAGATGTGAGCCACTGCACATGGCCATCAGCAGAGGACTTTAAGAACACACAGAAGCATATGTTCAACATTCTCCAAAACAATTTTTGCAGTGTTATATTTTCTAAAGTAATGTTCTCTTCTGTCTTATGCACATGAAAACTACGTGAACTGGTATATTCCTCTTGCTGTTTACTAGGAAGTTCAGAACCAAATGTAAATCTTAATAACTCATTCATTCATTTATTCAATGAGGATACATGGAAACCCTGTGACATGTAGCACCGTGAAGTGCTGGCAGTCCTGAACTCAAGGCCACAGTGTCAGCCTTCCAGCAAGGTGGTTCGAGTTCCAACTCGGGAAGGAATGGTTTATTGCCTCCTGGAGCCCCTATGCTTTGGATGCTTGCCCTGGAAGGGGAGAGCATGGCTTTTCCATGAAACATAACCCGTTCTCCACTCAGCTTATTAGCAATAGAAAGGGGGCAGCTCATATTCCTCTCAGGTGTCGTCAAAGGCTGCTGTTGTCCAAGGGTGAAGGCCCCTTGGTAGCTTGATTAGCACACAGCTTGGCCTGTGCTGATTTTCAGATGGAGACCATCAGATATAATCTGCCGCTTCATTAGGTTGACACTCTTCCTGCCCCCTCTTGTAATAATGTCACCAGAGCACTTAATAATTTTAGGTAAAGGCTGTAAGCATACACTTCAGAGGCAACCTAGGGTCGGCGGTGACAGATGCTAGCAAGGCAAATCTTTTCTCATTCCTCATTTAAACAGCAAGGCACTGTTTAAAATATAACAAGCAAAGAGGTATCATAATGGGGAAAGTTTAAGTATTAGAGGAGCAGAACTTACAGCAACATAACTACTTTAAAACAAATATCTTATTCAAATTTGCCGTGTTTCAAGATCAAGGGGGCCATGAAATAAATTGGATGATTATTACAGACTTAAAGAAGAGAACTTGTTTATCTTAGAGAAGAGAAGGCAGAGAGAGGCCCTTAAGTATTTGAAGATAGGTAATATGGACATAGTTGTGAACTCCTCTCCATTTCCCATGAAAATTAGAGACATATGTCTTACATTTGTTCAAGAAGGAATTAGGTTAGACTATAAGAAGAACTTTCTAGGGACTGGAAAAGCCCATGGGTGGGAAGAAAAGAAGACTCACCTCTTTTTAAAATTTCTTGCTTCCTTCCTTTTTTGTTGTTGTGTGGGGGTGGATTTTTTTTTCTTTACTGGAACTGAATTCCAGAAGTAATTTATTGGCCTGACACCAGGCTGTGTATAAATTCACAAACGTATATAACCTGCTCCCAGAGGACCATGTGCATGTGGGAGGGATTGGACAGATTGTTCTATATTTCCTGGGTGACAGGCTGTGGTGGGAAAGGGCTGGGGACCCTGAGTGTTTGGCTTGTAGCCTACACCTAACACCAGCTTTTCTTGGTCAGTGCTGGTGATGCCAAGGCAACGAGCGAGCTTGTGGTTCAGCGCTTTGCATGATGTGGGGCTCCCTTAAAGAACCAAAGTGTGGGGAGAGTGCCTTCAGGGCAGGGCTGCTGGGAAGTGGCAGGGCGAGGAGGCTTCCTTCTGTCCCCATGATTCCCTCACATAGGGTAGTGCTAAGCGAGGTCCAGAGAAGGTAAATGGGAGAAGTCTCATAAAGAGTTGAACTTGTAGGAATCAGGGGTGCCCGTTCAGCATGGCAATTGAATCCTTGATCCTCAGGGAGTTAGCTAGATCCGACTCACACCTGCTGGACCGTGAGAGCCAATGTCCCTCCCACACTCTTAGATTCAAATAATCTCTTTAAGCTTATCCTTGCATTTAGAATGCCAGTACTTTTGTAGCATTGGTGTTGTATTCCCCACACTGGCTGAAAGAAGGTTTTCCCTCACTTTTATGATTGGGTCACCAAGGAAATAAATGCCTGGTGAATTTCCACAAAATCCAGCATCGTGGCATAAATTCTTTCTCTCCATCTTGAATTTTCTTTCTCCAGAGAGAAAACTTTTCTCCATTTGTCCCATCTTTGATCGTTCGTTAGGCATAAAAGGAGAGAGGAAGCTGCAGTTTGCAAAAATAAACACTTTAGAAGGGATTTGGCCAAAACATAAAACAATGTTTACATTTCCCATCTGCAAATTTTATGATAGAGGCACATATTTATTTGGTGCCTACTGTGTGCTATAGGTACTGATAGATAACAGTAAATAAAGTCCCTGTTCTCATGGAACTTACCTTCTAATGTGAGAGGCCAACAAAAATCATCAGGTGGTGGTAAGTGATGAAAAAAGCACTAAAACCAGGTAAGAAAATAGAGATTGATAGGGTAGAATATTCTTTAGATAACCTGGTCAGGGCAGGCTTTTGTGACTAAGTGACGTTTGGGCAGAGAGCTGAGTGAATGCAGGGAGTAAGCCATGTGACTGTCTGGGGCAGAGCATTCCAGGAAATGGGAACCATGCGTGCAAAGTCCTGAGGCAGGGCCACAATTGTACTTGGTGCATCCGCGTGGAGTACAGGGGGGAGAGAAATCAGGGAGGTAGCCTGATTTAAAGTTGTTTGGTGTGTCTTTTCATCTTCTGTATTTTTTGTATATTTTCTATCATTTTGTTCTGTTATTCTGGAAATGTCGTTAGGAATTACATAGCAATGAATCAGATTTGTAAAGCCATTCAACATTTTGCATTCCAAGTGAATTTAATGGGTCCATAGTTTCTGAATTACTGATATATTGAATTTTTTCTGCCTTGTTATTTTGTATTTGTTATATGAAATCTTTCTTACTTTTTTTCTTTTTATTTACTATTAAAAAAATTCCAACCTCCTGTTGGATTATCAAGTTTTCTCTTATTCTTCTTTTACCCCCTGTACCTAATTGGAAGCTGTATTAATTTTAATTTCCCAGGGCAACTATAACAAAGTAATACAAGCCGGATGGCTCAGAACAACAGAAATTTATTGTCTCATAGTCCTGGAGGTTAGAAGTCTGAAATCAAGGTGTCAGCAAGGCCATGCTTCCTCTAAGATCTGTAGAGAAATCTTTCTTCTCCTCTTTCAAGCTTCTGGTGGCTTGCTTGCAGTCTTTGGTGTTCCCTGGTTTGCAGCTGCATAACTCGAGTCTTGTCTGCACAGTGAGTTAGTAGCTGCTGGAGAGAAAATAGTACTAATTTGGAATTCTCACACCTGTACGGTTATAATAGTTAACTGATAACATCGAGACTTGGTCTGCTATCATTTACCTTATGGATTCCTGTATATGCAACCCTGCCCATGCTGCATATTAGAAACTTCTGCTCAGCTTTTAAAAAATACTGGTGTTCTGGCCAACTTCACTTAAGACCAGTTAAATTCGAATCTTGGTTGGCGTGGCTCTGGGCAATGGCGTTTATTAAAAGCTCCCCGGGTGACTTCATCACCCAGCCAGGATGCAGACCCATCGTGGGGAGACAATCTGGACAAATGTGTATTGAGCGCTGGCTGAGTGCAGCCAGCCCTGCACTGGGCTTGGGAGGTGCACCCGAAGAAGACCCATGGAGCACCCATCTTGCTTTTTCCAGGAATGGGGTCCTGTAGCATTTATTGAGGGTCTTACACCAGGGGCTCAGTTAATATTTGTTAATTGGTTGATTGAATTGCAGATCACTGATAAGGGGCCTGGGATACGAGTGAAAGAAGTGTTGAGTGAGAAGGGAATTGGAGAGTGCCAGCCAAGTATTAAATTAGGGGAACAGGACAGGAGATACCGCATCCTTAAAATGCAAACTTTGTTTTTGCCACTTTCTTTTGTGTGTGTTGTATATAATGCTTATCAACCTCTCCCCCCATAGACAACTTTTTCTTATCTCCTGTCTTTAAAAAAAAAAGTTTTAATTTTAGAGACAGGGTCTCACTATTTTGCCCAGGCTGGCCTTGAACTCCTGGTCTCAAGTGATCCTTCCATCTTAGCCCCGTGAGCAGCTGGGACTACAAGTGCATGCCACTACGCCCGGTTTCCTGCCCTCTTGAACTAAGTATTTTTTTAATCGACTTTTTCCTTCTTCACCTGATTACAAGCTACGTATCTTAATTGTATTCTTTAGGGAGTAACCTTCGTTTTAGAAATTAATAAACTTTTACTTTAGAATAGTTATAGATATATGGAGAAGTTGAAAAGATAGTACAAAGAGTTCACATATACCCCACACTCAGTTTCTGCTATTATTCACATCTTACATCAGTTTGGCACATTTTTTACAATTAATGAGGCAATAATGATACATTATTATTAGTTAACATGCATAATCATTCAGATTTCCTTAGTTCTTTTCCTTTTGTCCATTATCTCTCCCACTATCCCATCTATGATATTACATGTATGCACTACACTTTCAAAAATATGCATAAATCCATTTATTTCCCAGCAAAGTTTAACTTAATTGGCAGCTTTCTATTTGTATAAGATGAGACCATTAACACACTCTAATTCCCCTTTGTTTTTCCATCTCAACTTCTTGGCTCGTTGTATGTAAATTTTGGTTCCAACTTTTTTTTTTTAGGACAATGAGTTTATGATCTGGGCAGGGACCTTCGGTGAGAAATGGCAGTTCTTCTTGGTCTTCCTATGCTGAGGATGTGAGAGAAAACTACAAGACTACGCCATGTTTTTACTATACCGTTTGAAAAGTTTAGAAATTTGTGTTCTAACATTGCAACATGTGACGCAAAAAAAAAAAAAAAAAAAATCACACCACCATCACCCTAAAACAATGACAAGGGAAATTAGCTATGGGTGACAATAACTTGTCTTATCAATCTCAGCAGATCTCTCCTTCCAATTGTCTCTTCTGAGGAGCATAAAGACAGAATCATCACGAGATGCAGTAAATAACCCCCACAGAGTTTAATTGTTTTTAAATTGCAATTATAACTAATTAAATGCTAAGATGTGAACAGCTGCACAAGAATATTTAACAGATTTCTTGGCATCATCCCCACTTTTAATATTACTTTTAAAAGGCTAGCTATGGAAATAAGTAGTGAGTGGTTATTTTATGCTTTTCACATCAGAAACTGAAAAAACAACCTGAAAGTTGGCAAAGAAAGGATTCTGTGGTTTTTCTAAGTCTCTCAAGCCAGTGGACAGCCACGGCACTCAGCATAATTGGGTAAGTGTGGTCAGCAAGTCCTGAGAGATGAGATGAGATCAGTTCAAACTGCATGATAAGGGAGGTCTTTGTGGTGGATTCTTTCATCTAACATACATATATTCAGCTTTGACTGTGTACTTATCATTGTGTTAGAACTGGGGTCCCAGGGCAAAATAAATGATGACTTCTGCCTCAGAGGGGCTTATAGTATGATGGTGGAGATGGTCTGGTTCATCAGTGGCTTCAGCTTAATGCAGAGGATGGCAAACTATGGCCTGAAGCCAGCCTGCCAGTTTCTGTATGGCCTACAAGCTCAGAATGATTTGTATGAAGAAAAAAGAAAACAAGAATGGGGGTGGGGTCTTTGGGCACTGACTTTTTTGGCATTTCTGTCCAAAGTAGAGCCTCTATCTGGCCCTTTAGATGAAAGACTAGTTTTTTTTGTTTGTTTTTGTTTGTTTGTTTGTTTTCGAGACAGAGTCTCCCCCTGTCACCCAGGCTGGAATGCAGTGGCGTGATCTTGGCTCACTGTACTTTCCACCTCCCAGGTTCAAGCGAGTCTCCTGCCTTAGCCTCCCAAATAGCTGGGATTACAGGCACCCGCCACCACGCCTGGCTAATTTTTGTATTTTTAGTACAGACAAGGTTTCACCATGTTGGCCCTACTGGTTTTGAACTCCTGGGCTCAAGTCATCCGCCCACCTCAGCCTCCCAAAGTGCTGGGATTACAAGCATGAGCCATGGTGCCTGACCAAGACTAGTAGTATTTTGTAAGTAAGGATCACAGCATACTCATGAGGCTAGGACAGCAAAATCTTACTGGGGAAATCAGAGAAGTCACCCCCAGAAGAGGAGATACTATAGGAACAAACATTTAATGGCTTTTCCACTTGACGTGCCTTCAAATACAGCAAATTTCACATCTTCCACCCCTGATTTGTATTGAATTTGTTCTTTCCACTGTTCCCTATGAAACGTGGTGTCAACTGCTCTACTTGTTACTGCCCATTGATTGTGTTCCTTACTATGAAATCTACGGATGGGGCTTCAGAGGTCCTGAGAACCCCCTAAACTGAGAGTGTACAGATTCATATGTGCATATTTTTTCTGGGAAGAGGGGTTCATAGCCTCGCTCAGATTCTTTAAGTGGTCCGTCATTTGAAAATGTTGAGAAACACAGTTTTAAATTAGGCTTCTTGGAATTAAAATCAGTACCACTGATGGTGGGTTCTGACTAGAGCAGATTCAAGCAGAGGGATTATGAGTTTCCTTCTGTTAGTCCAGGTCAAATTTCCAATAGCTTCATCCATTCACAGCATATTTAGAGAGAAACCCTTCTCAAACTACTGGATTGTGTGCTTGGACGATACATGCAGTTGCGCTCTTGAGGGGACCTGGGATATTAGAGGATATTTGCCTGGATGCTCAAGAGAGCAGAGTCTGAGAAAAAGATTAAGATACTAACAGTTTACTTGGAAGACACAAGCCCGGGTGCGAGAGTGAGGGAAAACAGAAGTGAGACACAGGGGAAGATACGGTGAACACACTGGGATGCTTTATTGTGCTGACTGATGCCTTCCGGCAAGCCTGAAGAACCACATCTGTCTCTTCTGCAACTAATGCAGGAGGGTCACAAGGAAGGGCCACATGTTGAAACAGCCCATAGAAGAGAGAAAGAGGGGGTGGATGGATCTGCCAGCCTCCCTCCCTTCTCCCTTTTAACATCAGCAAAATTTTGTCCTATGAGCAGCTAATACTACTTCACTTGAAGTTGGCATCCTCCACCCCTCAGAGACTTCTCAGGAAGCTCTGTGGTGTGGTATTCTGGTCAATGCAAAACAGAGTGGTGACCCAGTGAAAGTGAGGGTGCCAGTCAAAAGAAAGAGAAATAAAAGCAATGCTTTAAGGAATCTGGGAAGGTGCACAAGGTTTGTTCCTCCTAGTAGGGGAGGCAGCAGACCTCTGAAGAAACAACAGGCAACAGTTGGGAGAAAGGAACTTCTGGGCAGAGGAAACATGTGACCGGAGGTGAAAACTGGAGAAGATAAGGTGTGCAAACTAGGGCAGGGAAGAAGACAGTTCTGCTGAGATAGTGTGTTCATGCCTCCATCTGCATGTCCATCTGATATTCATTAAGCTTCTATTCTGTGCCAATGACAATATGAGTGAACAAAAACAGAAATGGTCCTACCCTCGCAGAGCTTACAGTGCAAGAGACAGATATTAATCATGTAATTATACAAGCACGTGCAAAATTGCAATGACGTGGCGTGCTCATGGGGGAATGAAGAGTGGACTGTTCTGTGAACCTTTATTAGGTGGAGTTAATCATGGTGAGAGAGGCCAGGCTCTCCAGGCTGAGTGGTGCATGCACTGAGATAGACAGGAAGACTAAGAGTTAATAGCAAGTGAAAGGGAGGAAGGGGCACTGTAGGGGGGGATGCCATATCCAGAGGCTCTGCGGAAGGATGGAGCATGGCAAATACGAACCTCAGAAAGAAGACTGTGTGGCCAGAGCCAACAGAGGATGAGGGAGAATGGCAGGATGGGAGGTAGGCAGCAGGGCTGGGCCACGCCAGGCTGTGTGAAAGGAGTTTGCATTTGTCTGAGGAGCAGTGGGAGCCTTTGGATGCATTTATGTAGATAAGTATTATAATCAGGTTAGGGGTCATTTGGGAAGACCCAGTAAAGAGAACCCCTAGATATTAAAGACCCTCTCAGTTTAGACAGTCTTGGCCGAACTATGGCTATTGGGGGCCACTCCTCAGAGACCCCAAATATTAACAACCCCAAGGATGTGTGAAGGAAAAGCAACTCCAGGAGAATTCCGATAGTAACAAACAATAGGCACTGGAGACTTTAGGGGCTGGTAGCTGTGGGATTAGAAGACCCTTGCGCTTACCTGCCGGAACATATTTCAAACACTGTAGAATCTTCTACAAATTTTATTATTTTTTATTTCTTCACAACACTGTCAGGGCACAAGAAAGTCGAGGTGCACACATGGAAAGTCTAGAATTGAATCACGAATACGGGTGCCCTCCTGAGGCCTCATCCCTCCAGTGGGATTGCTGGGGATGGTCAGGTGAAGGGCTCCTCCCACACAGTCTAAGACTCCAGGGCGGAGAAGCACAACCCCAGCTTCTCAGCGGTTCCCAGAGCGTTGACTCAGATTCTCTTTGAGCCTTGCTTTGCCCAAGGCCCTGATGTCTACTCTGCTTCCAGGAGGCTTGGGGGTAGTTGTGTGGCCTCAAACTCTACGTGTTCAAAAGAAAACAAAAACAAAACAAAAAACGAAGCAGAAATCCATGGTGAAGCAATTTGAGGAGGAAGAGCTATTATCAATCCAACTACTAATTTACCTTTAACTTGTGATAAAGAGGGTAACCCAAGTCATTAATCCAGAGGAGGGTATCTCTGAAGGACAGGCTTTTCTGCCTCTTGAAAAGCTTTGAAAGGAATTTAAATTAATTCTTATCTGATAAGGATTTATTTGTGTATTGTGACTACCTCCAGTCAGATCATACTGTGTGATGCTTTGTTTGAGGGTTTGTTTGTTTTTTTGTTTTTTGTTTGTTTGTTTGTTTGTTTTTGAGATAGGGCCTTGCTCTGTCACACAGGCTGGAGTGCAGTGGCACAGTTTCAGTTCACTGCAGCCTCTACCTTCCAGGTTCAAGTGATTCTCCCCCTGCAGCCTCTGGAGTAGCTGGGATTACAGATGAGCGCCACCACGCCCGGCTAATTTTTGTATTTTTAGTAGAGACAGGGTTTCACCACGTTTGCCAGGCTGGTCTCGAACTCCTGACCACAGGTGATGCACTCATCTTGGCCTCCCAAAGTGCTGGGATTATAGGTGTGAGCCACTGCGCCCAGCCTTGTGTGATGCTTTGGTGTGACTATAAGAAGCTTCAAGATTGAGTAGGGCAGGCTTGGCTGATTGGCTGATTGCAAATTTATGCACATGGGCCTGTGTGTGTGTGTGTGTGTGTGTGTGTGTGTGTGTATAGTCAGAGATGATGGTAGTCATGTGTTCTGAGCTATGGGTAGTTTCCATTCTTCTTCTGTTTTCAGGATATTTCAAGATGGCTGTAGGAACAAGTTTCTCTTGACCCATTTGCCTGTCAATTCAGTACACAATCAGGCAAAGGAAATATCTCTATGCAATATTCCAGTGCCTCCTGTTCTATGGAATGCCCTGCATTTTCCTTTCTGAATTGAGCAGCTGCATGTGAAAATTGATTTAACATGTCAAATCTTGGATATTTCTTCTAAAAGCTTTTAGGTGAACCCTTGCTTAGTAATTCTAAACTGTGTTACATCTTCCCAGGGAAAAGAAATGCAGGACTTCACAGTTGGATTTGGACAAATTGGAGGCTTTTAGGAAAGTCATAAAAGTGATTAAGGGCTGGAGGGAGTGACTGACAAGAGATTAAAGGAGTGAAATTCGGATCTTTGCCAAACTACAGATGTTGGGGGAGCAGAGGGCAAAACACTTAGAAGATCATAAAATGCTGGGGAAGGAAGAGGGGCTGTTTCAAGGCTCTTAACCTCTTTTTGGCTCATGGACCTTTTGCAAATTCATAGTAGCTCTGAACCATCTCCTTAGAGGGATGTCCAGGCTCATACATTTTTGGCCTGTCTCTTTTCTCACTCTAGTTTCCAGACGTGTGGTGTTATCACGTAAGTCAGAAATGGCCAGCCCTTTTGCTTTTTCAGTAGAAGTTAGAAATATAGACTTTAGTGTGAATTTTTCCATTTAAAAAACTGTGCTGGCCAAATTAAACCCCTCTCTGTGCCCTCTAGATTGCCAGTTTGCCTCCTCTTGTTGAGGGCAGTGCTGAGGAAGGCTGGATGCAATGGCTCACAGGTGTGACACGAGTGCTTGGCTGACTGCAAAGAGTAGGATTATGGGACAGTGGACGAACAAGTGTTTTACAGACTTCTACAGCCTGCAGTCTTATTGAGCAAACAGTAGCTGCAACACTGAATCAAATACATACCTGGAAATGATGCTAAGTGCTGTGAAGAGGTGGTGAGTGCTGTGTACGAGGGAGAGTACCCAGGGAACTAACCGAAGCAGAAGGGGGCATGGAAAGACCTCTAAGAAAGCAGCTAACCTGAAACCTGAAGGATACATTGACAAGGGGTGCGGGGAGGAAGAACATTCCAGGCATTTGGAGTTACGCAAGAATGACCAGAGTTCTATTAGGTTGATGAAAAAATAATTGCAGTTTTCACCATTAAAAGTAATGGCAAAACTGCAATTACTTTTGCACCAACCTAATAGAAAGAACTTGAACATTTATGTGTCTTCACATGTTATTTTCTTCATTTACAGGTAAAAACAGAGCCCGAACCAAGAAACTAAGCTCTCTTGAAAGATTTCCAAGAGTTAATTTTGTGTGTGATTTTGTATGCTATTTTTCTTTCATTCATAGTTTATTGAGCATAAATTAGTCTCCTCCTGTACTCAAATCCTACACACACACACACACGCACACCCCTATGTCCTGTCTGCATAGTAATTGCTGGCCCTATTCATCTTAGCTGATTTTTCAAACATTCAACTTAGATTTTTAAAATTACTACTGAATGCAAATCCCTGTAAAAGATACAAAGGAAGTACCTGCCTTTGAGGAATTTATATTCCAAGCGGCCAGGGAAGACTTCTGCACAAGAAACAAGAATGTATCACATGCACCATAACGTGTGTTCCTTGATTAAATTCTTTTCTCACCCTCCCCGACCCTGCTTCATTCCCTGTGTATAACCTCCCCTACTTCTAACTGTAGAAGAACATCTTGAACTTTCCTTCATATCGTCTATCCTCAGAAAGTATCCATGAATCAATCCTTCCCCTTTCTTTATCTCCATGCAACCTCTAAAGGGCATATAATAGAAGCCTTATGATCCACATCCTTTAGTCCTGCTCTGTAGAGACCACCTTCCTTTATTGTTGTAGCTGTTTCTTTTGGTATTGACCTCTGCATTTCTAAATAACATGCGTATACCACTCTTTCTTGTCTTATCAGTTTGGGATGTTATCTATGACCTTTTGTTATATCAAAAGGCTCTAGTTAAATTAGTGGTAACAATTGACATTATTATGATTCTGCAATTTTGCCACTGCTTACCCAACATGTACTGTGATCACCTACTCCCTTCTTGTATATCTTCTCACTGTACCTAGAGGTTATTATTGACTGAGCATATGTAAACCTCATTGCTATAAGCAGCTTGGAGCCCTGAATCTTCTTGCGTTAATGTGGATGGGTTGCTCTGTATGCTTGGTGTGGAGCTGTTGTATTGCTATTTCCCTTTGTGGTGGTTCTTTGTTCTGATATTCTTGTTTTCTGAATCCATCATCCTCTTTCTTTGCTTACTCGTTTGTTTTGCTGGTGCACACCCTCTGATTTCTTCATGTGCATCTTTTAATAGGAAGTCAAATTCTTGATCCTTTGCATATATAAAAGTGTCTTTAATTCTGTATCAGCAAAATTATCTCTCAAGTTTAAGGGTTGAACAAAGAGTGAAATTGTTTGTTTGTTTGTTTGTTTTTAGGATTTTATAGTTACTTTCCATGCTTTTCTATATATGTGGCTGTGGAAAAGTCTGATGTCATTTTGGTTTGTGATCTTTTATTTGTAATTTTTTCCCCTTCTTCTCCAGAAACTTTTAGCATTTTCTCTGGTTCTGAAATTTCACAATAATGTACATGTATTTTTTCATTCATTTTGCTGGGCCTTCTCTCAGCCCTTTCAAACTGGAGACTCATGTACTTTAGTCGTAAAAAATTAAAAATATATATTTATTTGATTATTTCTTTCCTTGTATTTTTCTTCCCTTTGTTTATTTCTAGAACTCATTTGGCTCGTGTACTGATCTTCTGTGCCTTTATCATTTCCCTTCACAAATATTTCTACTTTCTGAAAGATTTCTTTGACTTCATCTTTAACCCTTCTACTGATTTTTTTAAATTTTCTAATAACTTCTTTTTACTTCTAAGAGTCCTACCCTATTCTCATTATTCTTTTTACAAAGAAATATTGCATCTGTAAAACAATAACCCGATGACATTTTTATCTTTTGAGAAAAAAATACAGTTTTTGTATTCCTTATTGTCTCTGAGGTCAATGTATTGTTTGTTATTTTTGGCCCCACTTTTTCACGTGGGAGGTTTGCCTCCAATGTCTGGTGATCCTGGGCTGTCTTTAAGCTGAAAGTTCAGTATGAATGGGTGGGGCTCTCCTGTAGGCGCTGGGTGGTGGGTATATATGGTGTCCTCTGGGGCACTGTAGTTTCTCCGGAGAAGAATTCTCCAGTCTCCTGGAGGAGGGAGGCCGGGTGTGAAGGAGGACACAGGGAGAAGGCCTGTGTTTCTGCAGCTGTTATAGGTGCAGGGTGCTTCAGTATTCAGACTGTGGCTGAATCTCCCAGTTCTCAGTCTCATACTTTATCCACTGCTCCATTTTGCCTGATGCTTTCAAGTCCAGAGAACTCTCCAGTTAAATTTTTCCAAATGAGGAAGCTGTAGTCTTCCGTAGGATCAGTGCCATGCCATATAGGGCTCAGGAGATGCTCTGGAGGTCTAAGTTATTCTGTCTACTTTTTAAAAATCACCTTGTTTTCAACCTAAGATTCACCGCTGCCTTTTTGCCGATGGATGTCCTTAGGTGCCAAACTCCTCAGGGATTCTATAGAACAAGTTAGCTTGCTTCTGGGTGTGTTGTTAGCAAGCTGTTGGAGAATGGAGAAGTGTTGTATTGTTATTTGTACTTTTCTGTATATATTAAGCAATTTGGAAACTCTCCAGGTGATTCTGATGTACATCCCAGCTTGGTTTCTGCGGTGCTGTGTAAATGATCATCTGAAAATGCAGATGAGGCTATATCACACCTCAGCTCCAAAGCCTTCCATGGCTCCCATCTCCTGTAGACTCAATTTCAAATTCCTTATTGTGATATTCCAGATGCTGGCCTCACTTTCTAGCCTTGCCTTCCACTACTCACCATTCTGTGCTTTTTACAGATGCTTTTGGTTCTGTATTTAACTCTTTTCCCTCACTCTCCGACATTTGCTCATCAAAATATTGTTTTTCCTCAAGATCTATTTTAAGTTCTACCTCCTTCATAAAACTCCTCTCTTTTCAAAAGCTTTCTTTTCTGTGCTGCCTACAGAATTTCTTTTATGTTTCTTTTATGATACTTAGAATATTATGGTATAGGTCATTGTTATTCACTTTTATGCTTATCTCATTATCCCCTATCACCAAACGCAGGCTCCTTAAACACAAGGATTGTATTATTCACCTATTCTATATATCTTTTATTGATCAAATATTTATGAGTACATGTCATATGCAAGGCCCTGTGCTAGATCATGGGGTATGTACGTAACTAAAGCAGAGTTCTGTTACCTGGGGTCCTGGTTACCCCAGAAAGGGGCTCTTTCCTATTCATTTTCATGAAGCCAACACACAAAACCAAAAGTGAGTGTCAAGCGCTGCAGGCTTTAGTCAATGGCTATGGAATTGGACAAGTGGGAATGTAGCTCACAAATCAACTTCTTGGTTGCTAAGAACTGGGAAGTTACAGACGTAGGGCATCCTTAATGAAGGGGCTGGGCGTTAAGGACAATGGGAGGCATATTCATGCTTTTTCTTAGAAAGGGATAAAGATTTTCTAGGAATCAAAGAGTTTCCTTTATTTTATCCTCTCTTGGTCTCATGCAGTCATTGCCATGGTAATTGTCAACTGTCTTGGCACTGGTGGGAGTGTCATTCAGTATGGAAATTGGATTATAATGAAGCTAGAGTTTCTTCAGAGGTTGAGTAAGCTGCCTAAGAAGGAACTTCTGACCACAGACATCCTGTTTCCTAAAAATAAGCAGGGTTAAAGCTCAGTAGGAATTTAGCTATGTTGCATAAACATTGCATTGGGCAACAAAAGTGGGGTAGGGGTCCAGCTAAGTCACCTGGGCATTGCAGTGGGTAACAGTTCCATCTATATTCTGCCATGAGGCTTATGGCAAGTGCTCTAAGGAAGCACTAAGTCCCCTAATGGAGCAGTAAGTACCCTAAGGAAGGGGAAAACAAGACTCCCTAATCTGTCAAGCATGCTGTTAAATTTTAAAAGGAGGAATCCAGTGTGGTTGATAAAAGCTGAACAGGGTCTTATAGGTAAGTTGTTTTGAGCTGGGCTTTTCTGTGTAAGATATTAACAAGGCACACGGGTTGAGATAAGGGCTTCTTGAATTAATGAATAAATCCCAGGCAGAGTCCTCTAAGACTTGGAGGCTCTATTTAAGGACAGTCAGTAATCTGTTTTGACCAGGGCTTGGACCAAATGGAGGACGGCAGTGGAAAATAAGCTTGGGAGAGGGATTTGGGACCCATTCTAGTGGACCTGGGTGCTTGGTTGTAAATAGATTGGGTTTTATTTGGTTCAATGCCACTGAAAGCTTGTGGACAGTGTCGTGGGATGGTCAGGATCTGTTTAAGGCAGACATGTGGTATGATCAGTAAAGGAAACTGGGAGAATAGTTAAGAAGAAGTCTTGGCTGGGCGCGGTGGCTCATGCCTGTAATCCCATCACTTTGGGAGGCCGAGGCGGGCGAATCACGAGATCAGGAGATTGAGACCATCCTGGCCAACATCATGAAACACGGTCTCTACTAAAATACAAAAAATTAGCCAGGCATGATGGTGCGTTCCTGTAGCTCCAGCTACTCGGGAGGCTGAAGCAGGGGAATCACTTGAACCCAGGAGGCGGAGATTGCAGTGAGCCGAGATCGTGCCACTGCACTCCAGCCTGGCAACAGAGTGAGACTCTGTCTCAAAAGAAAAAAAAAAAAGAAGAAGTCTTTACCTGGTCCAAGACAGGTGATCCAAGCTGGGGCCAGGGTGATCGTGACGGCAGGCATGGAAAAGAGAGGACAGACATGATAACTTTTGCAGGGCACAGCTGATGCACTTGTCCTTCATTACTGTGGATTATGGAATTTATTGGCATTGGGGAGCAACAAGGTGAGAGCCCTTGAAGATGACTCAAGAATTCAGCCTGGCTCCTGACTAGGAGGATGGTGATTCTAATAATGAAGAGAATGGGGAAGAAGATGGAGTTTTGTGGTAAAGATGATGTCTTCTCATTTTGAATATTATAGTGGATTTGTATTTCCCCCATCCCCCCACCCCCCAAAAAAATCCAAGTTCCAACCCCTAGTACCTTTGCAGATGTAATTAAGAATCTCAGGATGAGCTCATCCTGGATTGAATGTGGACTCTAGGTCCAATGACTGTTATCCTTATAAGAGAAAGGAAGGAACACACAGACACAAGGGGAAGGGCATGTGAAGAAAAGGCAGAGATTGGAGTTATGCAGCCAAAGCATGGCAATGATTGCTAGAACTACCAGAAACTAGGAGGAGAGAGGGCTGGAACACACCTTCCTCAGAGCCTCCAGAGTGAACCAACCCTGCCAGCATCTTTGACTATGGCCTTCTGGCCCTTCAGAAATGTGAGAATCGATTTATGTTGTTTTAAGCCACCATTTTTTTTTGTAATTTATTATAGCAGACCTAGGAAACTAATTCAGATTATGTTCAGATTTAAACATACAGCACAAGAATTTACCAACCAGCTCCATCCTAAACTTTTGTTATTTTATGTGATCCACTGAAAAGATAGATATTCATTGAGAATATCCTGTTGCTGATGTTGGCAACATTTGGTGATGGGGATGGGGTGGGGTGGGGTGGTGTGGGGAGAGTGGCGGAGTGGTGTTATTGAAAAATGAGACAGGTACAGTAGATTTGCTTCCCTACAGGAAAAACTATTTCAAAAGCAAGAAGCAATCAGTAATTGAGCATTCACTGAGTTTCTATTTTGTGTCCAATGCTATATGCTAGGGACCGAAAGAGATACAAGATAATATGATTCCATATGGACTCGCGAAATACTCACAATCCAATAATTGAAACAAAACCATTTAGTAAAGCTAATACATAACCAATTGATAAGGGAAGTAAGGAATATTGAACTGCATATGGAAGCTTTGTTTCTTTTTTATTAATTGGATACTTGAATTTTTTAAAAAATTTACCATCGAGTTTGAGATTCTGTTACAAAGTCACTCAGTGTCAAGGGTATGTTCCTTGATCCCTTAAAGTAAAATTACCTCTTTGCTTGAGGCATGATGCATGCTGAATTACCACAAGAGCCCTGGAACTTACAGGCTGAGAAATCATCCTTTTGCTTCTCCCTTCCTTGCTAGGAAAATGCTCTGCAGCCCGCAGAATCAGCAGCAGGCAGAAGCACAATCACCCTCTGGTTATGGGAACTGAAAGCATTCATGGACTGTCTTATCTAAATGGTTTGACAAGTTCTCTATTCACCTGGCCAATTGC
Source organism: Homo sapiens (assembly GCF_000001405.40). Lineage (NCBI taxonomy): Eukaryota > Metazoa > Chordata > Mammalia > Primates > Hominidae > Homo > Homo sapiens. The sequence continues at coordinate 149,155,342 of NC_000002.12, forward strand.
ATCAGGCCCTCTCCTTTTCCTTCCACTGCTGAAACTTGGCAGGTGCAAGTGTCAGTATTGCCCTGCGGCTGGAATGTGCCCTGGACAAGAACTCCCAGCCCATCACTGCAGCCTGGAGAGAACCAAGGGCCTTGTTTGCTGCCCCAGGGAGTGCTGCAGGGCATTACTTCTAATAGCAAAGGAAATTTCATATTCATTTGTGGATACTTCTGGGCAAAGCTGCACTCAGCTTGTATTGGCTTTGTCCGGAGGCTGGTGAGCAAGACCAGGGAGTCTAATGGATCTGGAACATGAGGACAGGCTAAGTGATCCCTCATTCTACCACTGTCACTTGTGACTTGCCTCCCAACAGTCCATTTTATTTTGCTCTCCCTCTGAATACACTGCAATCCCCTTTGAGCCACAGGATTGGGAGTCAGGCCTAATGCCTGCCTATGCTATAGGTCAAACATTGTCTGTGGAGGCTGTAGAAATTAAACTATGGTGTTCATGCCTCTCAGCACTAACAAAGGACATCAATCACTTCTCCTGTGTGAACTCTTCCAGTGAAGGAAAAAGCGATTATTTATGAATCAAGCCTTGAGGCAACTGGAAGTCTTTTTGTTGCTGGTAATCTCTTACTCTGGACTTGCTTCTGTAATGTGCAAGGATTTTTACCCCTACTCTTCCTTTTCTTTTCAGAAAGAGAGGAAATTGTGATTGGTTAAGGCATCTGAGCCAGCCTGGGTGTCAAGTAAGAGAAATGAGGACATGATTTCTGGAAACAGCATCCCAAAGATGCTGTTTGCAGTGGAACCTCTAGTCAGCACAGAGCATTTGAGAAGGGTGCAGAATGGTGTCATGCTATGGTGATCAGAGGGCATGGGGAAGGCAGTGGTCTCCTGTTTCAGAGTCGGGATCTTCAGGAAGTTTATGAGGTGTTCCTGTTTGTGACTTTCTTTGGATTTAGAGATTACCCTGCTTGGGGATAAGGGAATGAATGACAGTGAGGTCCTTGAGTAGGTCACAGAGTGTCCCCGTGACCTTTCCAGACTTTTCCCTGGGAATCCTGGCAATCCTGGAGGGGAAAGATTAAGGGGAGGTGTCTTAGCTCAGCCTTCCATAACAAAGCACCACAGATGATGTGGCTTAAACAAGAGAAATTTGTTTTCTCACACTTCTGGAGGCTGGAAGTTCAAAATCAAGGTGTCAGCAAGGTTGGGTCTTTCTGAGGCCTGTCTGCATAGCCTGTGGATGGTCTTCTCCCTGTGTCTTCCTATTTTCTTCCATCTGTATGTACGTGTCCCGATTTCTTCTTATAAGGTCACCAGTCACCTATTGGATTGGATTAGGGCCTACCCATATGACCTCATTTTAAATTAATTACCTCTTAAGACTCTCCAGATACATCACATTCTGAGGTACTAGGGATTAGGACCTCAACATATGAATCTGGTGTGGTGTGGTTGGGGTACACAGTTCAGCCCACAACAGAAGGGAATTGTCATTCTACAAATTCAAGTTCAATTTCATAACTGATAAAACTTGATTGCCTTATTGGGGTTCTTACCTTTGAGAATTGGATTCAGGCTAATGGGACTATTTTAGGGGAAGTGGGGGTGTGGTTGTACATCAGAAAGGCCTGAATTAACTTAATCACACTTGGAGGGTAGGAATGGTATTCACAGTTAAAAGTTTAGCTCTCAAATTTTGCGTCTCATCTATCCAGAATGTGTATTACTGATGTCCTGAGATGGGGTAAGTAATTACTTCGGACAGAGAGCTGAGTGCCTTTTTCATTCTGAGGGCTCCTGATTAGGCTAGCTTGAGATCCTTTGTATTAGCATCCTAGTTTCAGCCTGTCGGGGGCCGGCTTCTGCAGCCTATGGGAATGTCTCCTGTTTTAGAGGCAAAGGACTGCTTACTTATATACTAAAAAGAACAATCTTAACAGTATTCATTTTGTCTTTAAAAAAAAACCTATTGCTCTAGAAGTCAGTCTAAAAACACACAGGAGGAACTCAAGACTTAATTCTCTATAGTTTTCTACAAGAGCTTTTGTTGTTTAAATGACATGTTCCCAACTAACTGAACACAAAAGTAGTGAATGAACTTCAACTCAGCCAAGTGCTAACAATCTGCGATGACAGCAGATCCTCCCAGCTGAGACGTTTATGCTGAACAAAGTGGCCTGAATCCTTTATGGCTATTGATTTTGCTTGCAATTCCCTTGCCAGTGTGCAAAAATGGTTGTTTTTTGTTGACTTTCTCTGGACATCTTTTGATGACTCACACTGTGCCAGCTTTGTGAACTCGGGTGTGCATTGACATGCCTGCTTCATGCCATCTGCTCTTCCATACACGTTGAAGGTGAAGACCAGCAGTGGAGCCTCTCCCCTTTTCTTTCAACTATTAGATTCTCTTGCTGAGAGCTGTGTTCTTCTGAGGACCTATGTTTGCACACGGAAGCCTGGTTACCTTATTTATATACCCTAGAAATGAAAAACTTTTGGGTGATATTTTACCTGCGGGGATAGAAACCGATGCTTCAGGTTACTGCAGTATCTGACTTCTTGACATCAGCTTTTTGACAGAAGCTCATTATCACTGGGTCGGGGGTCAGGAATGACACATTCTAAGCTTTAGCCACATGGTATGAAGAGTTACACGTAGCAGGGGATATTGTAGTCTCGCTTCAGCTTTAAATATGAAGAACATTAATTAAGATTGGGGTGGGGAGATTTACCAAACCCTTAGGGAAGAAAAACTATTTAACAGACTTTTGTTTTCTTGCTGCTACTACTGATTCTGAAACTAGGATTTGTATAATTAACTGGTTTCTTGTGGAGTAACTCTTCTACCTCTTACATATGGTTCTTAAGAATGTAGCTAATATTTTAAAAAGACTTTTCACACCGTAAGTACTCTATAATTACTCGGTGAATTAACTATATAAAAATTGATTCCAGGGTAAACAAAATGTGGTATATACTTACAATGGAATATTATTCAGCCATAAAAAGGAATGATATTCTGATACATACTACCACATGGATGAAACTTGAAAACAATGTGTTAAGTAAAATAAGCCAGACACAAGAAAGGATAAATATTGTATGATTCCATTTATATGACGTACCTAGAATAGTCAAACTCAAAGAGACAGAAGGTAGAATAGAGGTTACCAGGGGCTGAGGGTAGAGGAAATGGGGAATTAGCATTTAAAGGGTACAAAGTTTCTGTTTCAGACGACAAAAAAGTTATGGGAATGGATCATGGTGATGGTTATACAACACTGTGAATGTACTGAATGCCACTGAATTAGACACTTTAAAAATGGTTAAAATGATAAACTTTTCATTATGCTCGTTTTACCATAATAAAAAAGTTTTAAAATATTGATTCCAATGCAGAAAGCATATTTGAGACTTATACACATACAAACATATAAAATTTAAACTTTGTATTCCTTAGACATATATTACTTGAGCTTAAAAACCTGCCTGAGGGCAGTTTTTCTATGGATTTCCTACTAATCAGCAATAGAGAAAACTTCTACTCCAGGCTGTTGCCAGGACTGTAGTCTCAGACAGTTGTAGCCCAATTCCTACCCAACTTTTTATTGGAAGAAATAATAACATTTATGGGAAATAACTCAAAGGATATGGAGTTCATTAGTTTTTCCAGAAATTCTAACTTTTATCCCTGGATCAGGCCAGATAATCAGATTTTTATGTTTTTTTTTCCTTGCCAGATCACTTTAGTGTGTTGTACTTTGGTGTCGTATTTCATGTTGTGGGATGCAGTAAGAAGACATTATAGGAGACTCCCTACTGTGTATACTTAGAGACATTGTTAATTAATTACTCTCCTCTTCCTCCCCAAATGTGGATGATAAAGGATCCTTTGAGGTAGGGAAGGTTAACACCTTGGAAGAAATTTCTCAATGACACAAAGCTAACACTCTTGAGGAGTATGTGTATGGTATTTTATATTTTGTTCAATGTGACCATAGTGTGTCTATTTTCTTCTTTGCTTTGGCTACTAGCATGCTCAGAGCCTAATTTTTGAACCACATCAAGTAATAATTACCTTACAACATACATTTCTGTGGACTTTTTCTCATGTTCTTACAGCCTCTTTTTATGTTGTCTTCTCTACATAGTATATATGTTTTGTAAATGAACTCATTCTTTTTTGAAATTAGATGGCATACTAGTACTAATTAGGGTTCTTCAGAGAACCCTGCCCGAGAGAGCATATGTGTGCGTGTGTGTGTGTGTGTGTGTGTGTGTGTGTGTGTGTATAGAAAGAGAGAGAGAGTAGGGGCAAGGGGATTTATTTTAAGGAATTTTCTCATACAATTGTGGGGCTTGGCAAGTATGAGATTCATAGGGCAGGCTACCAGGTTGGAGATCCAAGGAAGAGTTATTGTTGCAATCTTGAGTCCAAAGAGAGGCTGGAGGCAAAATTTCTTCTTGGGGGACCTCAGTCTTTTTTCTTAAAGCCTCGACTGATCAAATAAGGCTCACTCACATTATGAAAGGTAATTTGCTTTATTCAAAAGCTACTGATTTAAATGCTAATCACATATAAAAAATACCTTCTTGGCATGGACTGATGTCTGACCAAACAGCGGGCCACCATAGCCTAGCCAAGTTGATGTATAAAATTAGCTATCACATTAGTCAGGTGTGGTGGTACATGCCTGAAGTCCCAACTACTCAAGAGGCTAAGATGGGAGGATCGCTTGAGCCCAAGAATTTGAGACTACAGTGAGCTATGATCATACCATTGTATTCTAGCCTGGGCCAGAGTGAGATCCCATCTCTTACCAAAAAAAAAGGTATAAATATATAATAGAATTTTCTTAAAATTGGGCATAATTTTTGTCTTTTATATTTGCTCATTTGAATGCATATAGGGAAACATTCCAGTTCCCTCCCACCTCCTCATCTGGGTTCAAGACTCATGTTGTCATTATTTCATCAGCTGGTAGGGCTGTCTTCCAAACCAGGTTAAATGGCACAGAGTCTTCATTGTGGATGTGTTGAATGTGTGAATGCTACGGCCTGCCAAATACCCTGATATATGCCAGTGTTGTAGAGAGTTCTGCCAGCTCTTTGGTAAGCAGCCATTTTTGTGGAGGGATGTGATGAGGTGTATGATTTCACCAATTATTACCATTCTTAATTAGATGGGGCCCAGGTGTGTGTTAATAAAACGCTAGCTCACACTCTCTGTAATGTTAATGGCCCCACCTTGACTTGATTCCAGGGATTTCATGCATTTGATATTGTTCAATTGACTGTATTGCTGTTCTATTCTGAAACATCTCCAAACATCCAGAAACCTGCCTTTTGTTAGAAAACATTCCAGTTGTTCAAGAACGTTACTCATCGTCAGCAGTGGCTCTTTCCTTATCTTTTTTTATCTCTGGTAGGCTGATTACTCTGAGTGCAAACCTTTTCACTGTTCCAGAGAGGAGCCTGACAACCACATTCTCCTTCTCAAGGTAAGAATGGCAGCTGTTACAACAGCCCTCGGCTTTTCATTTGGGAGCTCTGGTTAAGTTGTTGGGAATGGACTCCTGAAAGTCCCGGGACCCTGTGTTTTTCCCATCTCCTTGGCAGTTTGCCAGGTTTCCCATCCTAAGCCCTCACTGCTCACTGTGATCCTGCGGTTTGGAAGCCTGGCTTGTGCTTAAGTTACAATTCTGGTGAACCAAAAAGGGGAGTCCCCATGCTCAGCGAATGGTTGGTAGATCAAAGACTTCTCTGCTTACCACAGAAGCTAATTTGGTCAATTGAAAGAGAACTTCCTCAGAGTAATCTTCTCAGTGACAGATGGGGGTGCGTCGGGGGTGTGGAGCAATGTTCAAAAGTGTCTGCATTAAGTGAAATACATTGCCGAATACACTTAGAACATGTGTGCACTAATTATTGAGCATTTGTAGTTACAGAATCTTTGCATGTTAAGCCTTAGAAAATATTTACTGATCTAAAACAGGACGAGAGTGTTACCCCAACAAAGAAGAGAGACAGCATAGATGGACGTGGGCACATTGAAAGTTATGTGTTTAATTGATGATTGCTTTTTACTTGATGCATTTTGTCTTTTGGTTTTAGGTGTGGTGCTTACTGCGCAGGCTGACCAGGTTAGTGTGTCAGGCCTGATTCCATTTTTTTAGGTGAAGACATCAAATCAGAGGTTTGGTTTTTCTGAGGGCAGGTGGCAAATGCCAAGGAATGCCTGTGTGAGGCTTCGGGGACTGGGCCTGGTTGTCTCATGGTCTTCTTCTTGGCTATCAAGGCTATCAACTACCAGCCCAGAGGCCTTCTGCCTGTCAAACAGGCCTCCCACTTTGCATCTGATGGCTGGAAGAGAGGGAGGAAACATGCAAAGGAAATTGCTTAAGATTATGAGCTGATCTGGCCAGGGCCATGTTTATGTTCCTGTTTCTTGCCTAAAGAGCAGATTGAATTATTAGCACCTGTGTTTGTTAATGATAATTATATGTTTCAAGTACAAAGCAGAATTCTGTAAAATATCTACTAAGATGCCTTTCTAAATGGATAACATTTTATGACCCTAATAAGGCCCAAGACAACAAGCAGGAATTTATATATTATCATCACTCTTTTCCCCGGGGCATATTGGGTGGAATGTGAGCTGTAACTTCAACTTAAGAATCTGCTAGTAAGAAACCCAGAGGACTTGAGGATCAGAGGAATGACGGTCTAGTCATAAGACATATGGGAACATTGGGTCATTTTCCAAAGCAAGGAAACGTAATTCATTGTTAGTAACAGTGTTAAACAGTGTCAGGATCATCATCATCATGATCACCGTGGTGATAAAATGTAACTCTATTATTAACCATCTCTATCACCACCATCACTACAGGTAACATTTGTTTGTTCTTACTGTCTACCAGGCAACACCCTAAGCATTTTGCATGCATTCTCTCACTCAATCTGCACAGCATTCCTGTAAGGAAGGGTCTATTAATATCCACCTTTTATAGTTGAGGAAACTGAGGCTTACCTAAGAGATTAGGTAAGTTGCCCAAAGTTAGACAAGCTAAAAGGTGGCAGAACTGGAATGTAACCCATTGAACAGCACTGAATGGGGCCAACCCATGTGGAGTATTTACGGCTGTGCTTTACTCGATGTCCACACTCACCCCTGCTTGCATTCCCTTTTGTCCTGACCACCACCTACTGTTGACACTCTAGCTATCTCTTCTGCATGAAGGTAGCCAAAAAATTCAAGAGCATTTAAGTAGTTCAAGATCGTTAAAGCATATTTGGCCTATGGAGAACAGCAGAAAGAATTAAGAGTAAAAATCACCCAATTTTAAAAGGTGCCAGTTGTAGTCATGAACACTTTAGTGTATTTTGCTGTTGTTTTCCCCTTTGTATTTACTTTTTTCACATAGTCTCTATGTACTTAAGTTTTGAACTTTAAACGTAACCAAGTCGTTTCTTGCGCTTTTGCCTGTTTTAATGGCTGCTGAGTACTCTATTAAATGTGTATGGTTAGAGAGCCTTAAGTCTACTCCACAAGAAGTTATATCCTTGACTTGCTCCTACGTGATAAGTGCGGAGTTTCTGCTCACCATATGTGATAGCTAATTTCTGTTTTCTGGGCAACTGGGTTGGAATTGTGGGGTGCCTGCATCCCCTCACATTTTAAATACCTTGCATCTTGAGAGGGGTCTCTGTGGGGGGTGGGGCAGGAGTCCTGCTTGCCTGGAGCCCAGATTCAGCTCTGTGCCAAAACTAGCTGTAAGTTACTTTATTTTATGGCATCTTCATCTGTGAACATCTCATCAGCTCTGTAATTCCACACAGTCAGGAGTTTTCTGAACTCTCTTGATTCATAACCTGAGGAGTTTCAATAGATGCAGCAATTTTGGTTGAGCTCAGTGGAGTTACTCTGAGATGCTTTAAGCAGGGAATTTTGTTTTTCAAGATGATCAGACCTGTAAGCTCTTGGAAGGAGAGGGTCTTACTTTTATATAATTCTTGCCATTCCCGCCTCTGCACCCTCAACAAACTTCTTCCTCCATGCTGACATACCCACAAAATAGATAGTACAAGGTATGAAATCAACAAACAGAAGAACAAACAAGTAATGCACAGACAAAGGCTACCGGGCTTGTGTAAGAACCTTTAGCATCATGGCTGTCCAGCTTATCAAATAATTGAGTAAGATTGTTTTCATTTCAATGTGTTAGCTTTGTTTATAACAAATGGGGACTTAAGCCTCCAGATCCTCTCATCATATATTTCAGAGTAATTTCCCTATAAAGTTGGGTATCAGTTCTTCCCTCAGGTTACAGGTGAGGGAACACTGATTTATGGAACTTGCTATTTTTTCCCCCTGTGTCCTGGAGTGAAGTAACCTTTTGCTTAGGTCACAGTAAAATCAAAGCTTAGAATGTAATCATTCTCTTGTTTTGGGAAGGGAAGACTTTTGCTCTAACCTGGGGGGTCAACAATTGGGTCTATGAAATAAACTGACAACAGGCAGATTAACAGGAGAAAAGGTATGCAAATTTATTATATGCATGAGTGCATCATAGGAAAGAAAGTGAATATCCAAAGACATAGTCAGATTTAGGAGCTCATATATTCTCTTCGTAAGAGAGAGAGGAGGAAGGACGTAGGCAAATAAGAGAAGAGTAAATGATTTTTTGGGAAGATGAATGGGCCCTCAGAAGAATAGATCGGAGATACGGTAGTTTGTGACAGAGTTTGTCTGGGTGGGGTGTGTGTTCTAGTTTCCTTACCGGTGATAAGATTTAATCTCCTCTGGTTGATGAAACTTCTGTGGAGGGAATTGATGACAACCTAGTTTCTTTTGGAGCATCTGTCTGTCTTTAGGCAGATAAGGGGAGCTCAGAGCAAGCCTCTCTCTGCACTTGCTGTTTTTCAAATGCCTTCAGCTCAAAATAATCATACTAATACAGTGTGTTTTGGGGTGGCATATCCTGAAGTCCTTCACTTGCTTTTACCAGCAGAATAAAATGAAGGCATTCTGGGCTTCCTGCATTCTTGGAGCCACATATCTGGACCATGGATATGACATGATTGGTTCTGACTGGCTCCCCTGATTCTCCCTTAGTGATGCTGATCTTGAATTTTGTGACTCATGCCATGAAGGTGTCTACCCACACTGTTGTGCAATATCCAAGACCTGTGGAATAACACTGCTTCCAAGGAAGCCAAATTCAGGCATTTCTGGCTTTGTATTCTATTGCAGACTAAAAGGAACAAACAAAATCCTGTATTCCCACGATATCCCTCTACAAGGATCTAACTTGGCACCCTACCTTGGTGCTGAAAGCTTGCCTCCATCTTCCCAAATTTGATCACTAATTGGTCTTAGCTTTTTCCAAGTGAATGTGCTGCCTCACTGGCCCTAGGTGGGTGATATAAGAGCTTGGAAACACCTTGTGATGGTTGGTAAACCTGCTGGCAAGTGGCCTGGTTTTATGTGTGTGTGTTTGAAATACTATTGATAATAAATCCTCATTTGTATCAGTGAGGGCTCTGCATCAGTTATCTATTGCACAACAAACCACCTCATACATAGTGGCTTAAAACAACAGCTGTTTAATTTGCTCATGATTCTGTGGGTCAGCAATTTGGGCACTTTTGCTAATATTGCCATTTGGGCTCAGCTGGGTGGTTCTTCTGTTAGTTTCACCTGGGGTCACTCATGCCCCTGTGCTCAGCTGGTACCTTGGAGCTAGGTGATCTAGGGGATCTCAGCTGAGATGACTCATTTCTGCCACATGGTCTGCCCCTCCAATAGCCTAGCTCAGCCTCCTTGACATGACAGAACTTTCTGGCAAGAGGACAAGAGCAAAAACTATAAGCTTGAAGCCTAAACTCAGAAATTACGTAGCCTCTCTTCTGCCACATTCTGTTGGTCAAAGAAAGCTATAGGACCAGCCCAGATTCAAGGGGAGGGCATTGGAAATAGACTCCACCTCTAACTTGGAGTAGCTGCAAAGAATGCATGGCCATTTTAAATTTATTGCAGGCTCTTAACTTTGTTATAAAAGCAATCTGAAATTACTTTAAAATTATTTTGTCATTTAAAAATCCTGGAATAGGGATGGTCTTGTCAGCCCATCTGAGAGGAGTCTGGAAAGTGGAGGTCTTCAGTAATGTACCTAAGAATATAATAAAGTTAATAACAACACAAGCAGGCACTAATATTGTTTTTACTATATGCCCAGCACTATATGGAGTCCTTTAGATATCATAACTCATTTGGTCATTACAAAATCTTATGAATAGGTGTTATTTTTATCCCTAACTTATAGGTGAGAAAACTGAGGCACAGAGCGGTTAAGCAACTTCCCTCGAAGTCATACAGCTAAGTCGTAGACCTGGGATTCCACTCCAGGAGGTCAGGCTTCAGAGTCTGCATGTTAACCCTAATGCTTCTCAAGTTAATGGAAATTACATCTTTCTGACTCCTAGCAGAGTTCTCTCTTGGACTGTGTGGTTTTTCTAGAGACAGGGGGATTGGCTATTTAGAGATGGTTGCTAGGCCTTCCTGGGTACACCCAAGTGACCAAAAATGGTTCTGTCACATTATAGGAGACCCTAATTAGATGTAATAAAGACACTTATTATCCCATGGAACACACAGTAATTCTCCTGAGCCCAACAGTATTTCCTGGGGGTAGGGGTGGAGGTAGAGGGTTCTTATTCTTCTCTTTGGTTGGCAGGCATTTGAAGAATGAGGATATTTAATAACGCCCTCTATAACCTTTCAGGTAGCCTCTTATTTTTTGGTTTCAAGTAATCAGAAAGACTTAGCCTCAAAGAAAAAAATGTTGTGTTTATTTAGCTTTTTGTTTAAGGACTATCCCAAGGAAAGGGTGGGTTGATAGCCTTTTTAATCTAGGGTTTGTTGAACTCAATTAAGTCCAGTGTCCAGGTAGAACAGGTGGTTTATCTAAGAAAAATGACAAATTTTGCTGACATTTTTGAGGTCACCCTTGCAGCCATGAATAAAGTGGCTCATAGTACCAATATGAGTTACAATAAGAAGTTACTTAACCTCTCTGTGCCTCAGTTTTCTAATCTATAAATTAGGGACCCTTTCTGTTTGAGGGGCATGGCACATTTAGGAGCCAGGACTAGACTTGCGTCTCCAGGATGGTCATATCTCACTCTCCATTTAGCTATGGAGTGGGGGAGAGACTGCCAATCTAAGGCTTAAGGGAAGTCACTCTGGCTGTCTAGCATCTTATCTCCCTTAAATCCCATCCTTGTCTCTTGACTCTACAACTGGCCTCCTTCTGACACCCTCATCGTCTTATGTGGGCTCAGGTTGGCATCAATGTCTGTTGCATTGCTACCGAGAGTGTTTGCTACAACTTTGCACTCATGAGAATTTGCATGTTCACCCTAATATGGACTCCAGCTAGAATCTGAGCTGGAAAATGGGCAATCTGGACATGCATGGTCCCACCAGAGAGGAGAGATCACAGGATGGGGACTAGGGAGACCCAAGCTGCAGACTGCCCCGCCCCTTCCATCATTGCTCACCTTCCCACACCAAAAACTTCTCAGGACAGCTTTCTTGCTTGTCAACCACGACATCCTAGGGTTATTTTCCCCATACCAGTGGAAACCCTGTTACCTTCATAATCTTTTCCTTCAACTAATCTTGAAGAGTTTATAATCCTCTTCTGCATTAAGTGTTTTTTTTTTTTCTCTTGTGGATGCTCACTTTCCTCGTTTCTTATTCAAACCAGCTGGGACAGTTTATCCCCTAGCATAGAAATGAAAACCTGACAGGCAGGTCTCTGCAGTCGAGATTGGGCTGGTTCTCTCTCCAAACAGTATTTTACTGTTGGCTGCTGCAGTTGAATAGCTCAGCCTGCCATTATGACAGAATGGCCCAGGACAGACTACAGGCAGGAAGCGTCTTTTGTTTCAGGGGGCTTTGGAGCTGTTTTTTCCCTGCCATAAACTTAATTGCTTTCTGTGATATATCTGGCAAACCTACCACTGTCCTTTTTGCTGCCTCCTGCTTGGTCAATCAGGACTACCAAAGCCTGCAGCTTTGCTTTTTAGGAGGTTTGGTTGATTAACATGAGTTTGCCTTTGGCTTTTGCTAACATTGCCTTTTTTGGGGCACTAGTGGTGCCCAGGAGAAGGATGTGAGTGTGGTACGTGTGTGGGGAGGTATAGATGAGAGACAGCTGGGTCTTCTGGGACAGTGGGGGAGCAGGCTCAGAAAATTGTGGTTCACCACAGGGTCCTCACGTGCATGAGTAAGTCATCCTCCTTCCTGAAAGGGAGGTTTTATTCACCTTATCACCATAGAGGATGTTTCAGATGTGGCAATTCCTTTAAGTCACTGCAATTTTGACTCACCCTAGGATTTCTGGGTTTAATTGCTCCCCTTTCTTGTTGGTTTTATGACCAGTGTTGCAGGAAAGACAATACTTGAAAGTCTGTGGAAGCCCCTTCTTTTTATATTTTTCTTTGCAGTGACGATGATTGCTTAACAATAATAAACATAGAGGTTTTTTTATGTTTTTTGTTTTTGTTTTTGTTTTTTTAAAAAGACCTTTGGGCCAGGTGTGGTGGCTCATGCCTGTAAACTTTGGAAGGCCTTGGCAAGTGGATCACTTGAGGTCAGGAGTTCAAGACCAGCATGGCAAACATGTCAAAACCCAATCTCTACAAGAAATACAAAAATTAGCCAGACGCAGGGGCATTTGCCTGTAGTCTCAGCTACTCAGGAGGCTGAGGCAGGAGAGTTGCTAGAACGGGGGAGGCGGAGTTTGCAGTGAGCCAAGAGATTGCACCACTGCACTGTAGCCTGGGCAACAGAGTGAGGCTCTGTCTCAAAAAAAAAAAAAAAAAAAAAAAAGAACCTTGCTCTAGGCTGGTTCCTGGTGAGGAAGAGGAGCTGGGGATGGTGCTTTCAATGGTTAAAGGCATATTTACACATTTGCACATGTGCCCGTCAGGTTCCAGTCCACAGTAGCAGCCACTTTAGCAACGTTCTCATAATCCTCAGTGGCACCTTCTTTAAAGCTTGTTATCAACAATCCAACCAAAGCATCACATTCCAAATTTAACTTTAACCTGCCCTTGAAATTTCATCCTTAGAAAGTCTTTCTAGAATGGAGATGAAAACCTCTTCTGTGTCTAAATACGACAAGCCCATGCCTGATTTGCCTGTTCTCACCATGGTCATTTCCATATTTAAGCTGTGAATATTGAGTTCTGTCTGCTATCAGCTGTGGCTCCCCATGCCTGTTCTCTGAATGTAGGTCTTGCTAGAACAAAAAGGGTAAAGGTTGTTATTCCTGGATGGCAGATCTATGTAACCACCAGTGTGGTGCCACCAGATAGACAATGAATGAATGTGTTTGGACAATAATATAACCTGCAGCACACACTCTGATCATAGGGGCCTAGCTTCTCTTTTGCATTAAGCCTCAGGTATTCTTTGATCAAGTGTGTGGTCAAGTCTTTGTAAGTTTACTTTGGGGCCTTAGCAGTATACCCAAACAGATTGTTGCCAAAATCACACATGGTATGAGCCTATTTAGGTATTATCTAACAGAACTCTAATGGGCAACAATTATGTAGACAGTTACTTGTCATCTATTAAATCAGTGTATTTTCTATAGGTTTTTAAATAGTGCTTCATTTGTAATTAAACTGTATTTTAACATATCCCCTCAAAAAGGGTAAATTTGAGTAATGCACTATGGAAATGGTAAGGAGATTCAGATTAATTAGGAAATGATTAATTCAGATTAATTAGGAAATACCCTAATTCATGCATGGACCCGCTCTTGGGGGTCTAGGTGAGAGACCTAGCTGTCTCTCACCTGTCCATCTTCAACACACACATCACACTCATGTCCTTCTCTTGGACATGTCTCTTCCCCAAAACAGGCAATGTTAGCAAAAGCCAAAGGCAAACTCATGTTAATTAACTAAACCTACTAAAAAGCAAAGCTGGCAGGCATTTGTAGTCCTGATTGACTAAACAGGAGGAAGTGTTACTCTGGTAGTCTGATTGGAGCATGACTTTGAAGGGGATAAGGTTCTCAATTGTCAAGTCTTTAAACTGGACTGCCATTTTAGAGGCTTTTACTGTTCCTTGTCAACATATGTGTTTGGCTTGTTTCAAAAAGACACTGCATTAGTTGTATACAAGGGATTCCTAAAATAACCAAGGGAGTGACCTAAGAGAGACAACCAGCTAGTGTTCCCATAGGATTTTTCTCCTGAAACTGAAGTTACAAATCTCTTCTCTTCCATTTTTCACCTATCAGTCGATCCCTGTTATCACCAGAGGCCAGATGGATAGTTCTGGGGATTGTCTTCCTTGAGTTGTGAGCTGAAATGCAGACTTTAAATACAGGGTTTTAAGATGTTAGGGAGGAAAGCGACATTGATTTATTTGTTCTGTTCCCTGCCAGCCTGAGAAACCTGTCCCGCCAGGTAATGAACAACTGTTCTTATCCTAACTAGCAACTTCAAGAGAACGATTACTCATCCCATCATTACCACTCCCCCTGAGTCATCCAGGCTGGTACATTTTGGTTTCCACTGAATAAAAATCTCCAGGCAATGGGAGTCTAGGGCCAAGGTTTCTGTTTAGTAATATGAATTATATAAATGTGCCTTGGACATGGAAGCTGTGGATCCTTCTGGAAAGATATTTCATAGGCCCAGGTCTTCAGCCATGTCTCTATTTGAAAAATTGTATTGGTCAGTATTGCCAAAAGTGGCCATCTTAATGGTCAGTACAGAATGATACAGCTAATCTGGTTGATCACAAGGGCAAAGATACAGCTATGAAAATGGATAGTTATTTGCCTGTACCTCTTGCTTGTAATTTCATAGTCATGTTGCATGTTAACCACTCAGTATTCATGGGGGATTTTAGTAAACCTTTTTTCAGGCCTTGTTCTTGTGACAGTGCTGAGAGGGCTTTCACACTTGACATATGCCATCATAGATGAGGACTATTGAAAGGCAGCTGGAGTCATTTCCATTTTACAAATACCATCTGTCTTCTATCACGTCACTGTTCTCTGTGCTATATTCTGTTCTCTGTGCTATGTCCTGTTGTGCCTGATTTGGGAGACAAATGTGAGACTGGATTGTCCTGGATTAAATTTGGATGTATGGGTAGTTATAGAAATCAATATTGATAGGCATGTGTGTTCAGTTCATTTCAAGGTTTAGTTTATTTCAAAAGTCTTAATATTTATATTTATTACAGATCTAGAGACACATAGCTTTGAGTAGGAGCTGTATTTTGAAACATTATGGTTTATGGGAAAACCTGGCATGTAGAAAATCAAAAGAAAGTACTCAAGGCAGAATGCTGAATGTAAGTTTGTGGGTTAATAGAAAATCCTACCTTTTTTCTACAAATTCCCAACTAATCCTTCCTAGGTTTAAATAAAACCAACAGTCACTATTCTAACAGCTATTCTGTCACCTTTCTTTGTCTTCAGGCACTTGAAATACATCATTAAACAACACAGAATTAATCCCAGGCCCTTTAGACTTTATACAGAGCTTCTTGGGGCAGGAACTTTATCTTCTTCATCTTGAATCCTGAGAACTAAGAAAAATAAATGTTTTATAAGCAGGCATGTATGAAATAATTAGTAGCTGTGAAAATAAAACAAGTGGTGATCCTGAAGCCCTGGCAGTTTGACAGCATGTCCTGTCGGGTCAGTGTGAGATAGGACCTGGTTGCAGGTGGGAGCAGCCACTCTGGGACTCTCAGATAAGGCCTGAATGGAAAGGCAATAATGTGTGCCCGGGAGCAGATTGACTTTACCATTGCCTGCGATTCCTGTGTGAAATAGGAAGGCTCAACCCAGGCAAATGCTAAGGAAGCAACACCAAGTCTTTTATTACTGTCCACAACATTTATAGCCAAGTCCTATTCCATGCCCTTCTCCTTGAGGCATTCTGACAGTCATTTTAATGATTTATTTTCTTTTTCATTATCAAAAAACAAATAACATATTTTATTACCTTTTGTGTAGACTTGATGTCTTTCTCTTCATTTCATCAGTATCTGGGTCTGCAAAATTCCCCTTCCCTTTCAATTTTTATAACTCAAGGATAGGAATTCTGTTTTTCTCATTCCTTACGTGAGAGCTCTTTTTTGAAGTCTGATTTTTTTTTTTTGATCCTATATCCCCAGCCTATTTTCTTGTTGTTACTTTATATCTGTGAGTGGGATAGGTGGAGAGGAAAGGAGTATATGGAAAGGGGGACTCAAGAAAGGCCACATCTTTACAATAACATATGGATGGCAGGGAAAGGTTTTGAATAAGAAAAACATTTTTTCAATGCTCTTCTCCACTATTTAAAGATGTAAGAACATTGGCGCTATGCTGCTGAAGATGTTCTGTTGGTTTAGGGAGAAAACACTCTACTACTGAAATTTGCTCTGTGATTTCTTTCCTAGGATCTACAATAAAAACCAATGATCTATGTGAGAGCCCATGGCATTGTGATTCCCCTCCATCCTGAATTGCATGTCTTCAATTCAAGCACCCTGCTTTGTGGCTCCCAGGCCCCTGGTTTCTACCCTCTGCCCTTTTGGCTCATTTCCTCCTCATTTTCCGTATGCCTCTGTATTAGTTTGTTATCATGCTGCTACTAAAGATATACTGAGACTGGGTAATTTACAAAGGAAAGAGGTTTAATTGACTCACAGTTCAGCATGGCTGGGGAGGCCTCAGGAAACTTACAATCATGGCAGAAGGGGAAGCAAACATGTCCTTCTTCACATGGCGGCAGGAAGAAGAAGAATGAGCAAAAGGGGGAGAAGCCCCTTATAAACTTATTAGACCGTATGAGAATTCACTCACTATCACAAGAATAGCAGCATGGGGATAGCCACCCCCGTGATTCAATTACCTTCTACTGGGTCTCTCCCATGTCATGTGAGGATTATGGAAACTACAATGAGATTTGGGTGGGGACACAGCCAAACCATATCACCCTCCTTACATTAAGGTATCAGCAGCAGGATCTCCTCCTTCAGACCAGTCATCATGGGCTTCAAAACCTACCCGACCACATGCGTGGATTTGTAAGGGCAAAGCTCTTCTTGGAGAGGTGATTTCAGGTCAGAGTTGATGCAGGATGAGATTATGCCTTGTTCAGTGGTACAACCAGGACATCTGTTCTGTGGACCTCCTAATCAGAACTGGATGTACTATTCCAATGGTGATCACACTCATCATGATGGTCTGGGATGCCCAGATAGTTAGTAAAACATTATTTCTGGGTGTGTCTGTGAGGATGTTTCTAGAAGAGATGAGCTAAACTTTAATTGGTAGATGGCCCTCTTCTATGTAGGTGGGTACTGTCCAATCCATTAAGGGCCTGAACAGAACGAAAAGGCAGAGGAGGATTGAATTAGCTCTCTCTGCCTGACTGCTTGAGCTGAGACATGGATGTTCTGCCTTCAGTGCTCCTGGTTCTCAGGCCTTCAGACTCTGACTGGAATCAACACCATTAGCTCCCAGCTCTCCAGGTCTTCAAACTATACCACCAGCTTGCAGATGGGGCTTTTTGGCCTTTCTAATATCATAAGCCAATACCTTTTAATAAGCATATATATATATATATATGCGCTTATATATATGTGTGTGTACATATATGTATATATATTCACATATTTATATATATGTTCTATGGGTTGAATTTCTCTGGAAAAACCTGACTAATACAATCGTGAAGAAGAATTTTGTTTGATTCAGGATGAGGTTCAGTTGTGCATTAGTTTCTTTAAGCAGCAGCACTATTACTGTGTTTTTTTTTTTAAAAAAAGACATGGTGTTTGTAATTACTTATAATTCATATAGACGAATTGCTAACTAGCAAGGTCTTGGTTATTCTTTGCCCGTTCTGTTGATTATTTGAACCATAAGTTTATATTTAACATCTTGTTGATTTCAGCTTGATGCTTTAGTCTGTCAGGCCTTTTTTTTTTTTTTTTTTTTGCATCTTGATTCTGCTATGAAACATAGTAGCTGCCATTCCTGGCTTTGTGCCATCAGTAAGTTTGATAAAATGTCTTCTTATCTTCATTCAAGTAATTCATTCATTCAAGTAATTGATAAAAATGTTAACTACAATAAATGACAGAGTTCCGCAGGATACTATTAGCACATTTAGGGTTGAGACTCATCTATTAAAAAAATTATTTGGCAGCTTATAATTTGCTATCATTTCCCTAAGGATAGAATATTCTATTTATTGCTTTGCCAAAATCTAGGTTGTGTATGGAACTCTACTGATGTAATATCTTGTAACCATGTCACAAAAGAAGGGAGATTTGTTTGGCTTGACTTTACGTTATGATACACATCCTGGACCTAACTAATCACTTCCTTTTTTTTCTGTTTGCTTACAAACCAGCTACTTATCTGCACATTAATCTACACCTTTATTTATTAATTCAGAGATTTGTTTATTTGTGAATGTTCAGTGTCATGTCTAGTACTCAGTTTACAAGACATGGTTCCTGCTTTCAGAAACCTTATAGTCTAATTCTGTGAAGAATGTCAATGATAGTTTAATGGGAATAGTATTGAATCTATAAATTGCTTTGGGCAGTACGGCCATTTTCACAATATTGATGCCTCCTTTCCATGACCATGGAATGTTTTTCCATTTATTTGTGTCATCTCTGATTTCTTTGAGCAGTGGTTTGTAGTTCTCATTGAAGAGGTCCTTCACTTCCCTTATTAGCTGTATTCCTAGATATTTTATTCTTTTTGTGGCAATCGTGAATGGGAGTTCATTCATGATTTGGCTCTCAGCTTGGTGTAAAGGAATGCTTGTGCTTTTTGCACATTGATTTTGCATCCTGAGAATTTGCTGAAGTTGCTTATCAGCTAAAGAAGCTTTTGGGCTGAGATGATGGTGTTTTCTAGAAAAAGGATTGTGTCATCTGCCAACAAAGATAGTTTGATATCCTCCCTTCCTATTTGAATACCATTTATTTCTTTCTCTTGCCTGATTGCCCTGGCCAGAACTTCCAATACTATGTTAAATAGGAGTGGTGAGAGAGGGCATCCTTGTCTTGTGCTAGTTTTCAAAGAGAATGCTTCCAGCTTTTGCCCATTCAGTATGATATTGGCTGTGGGTTTGTCATATATGGCTCTTATTATTTTGAGATATGGTCCTTTAATACCTAGTTTATTGAGAGTTTTTAACATGAAGGATGTTGAATTTTATCAAAGGCCTTTTCTGCATCTATTGAGATAACCATGTAGTTTTTGTCTTTAGTTCTGTTTATATGATGAATCGCATTAATTGATTTGTGTATGTTGAACCAACCTTGCATCCTAGGGATGAAGTCTGTTGTTCGTGGTGGATTAGCTTTTTGATGTGCTGCTGGATTCCTGTCAGAGGTTGGGGGGGTGGGAGGAGGGAGAGAATCAGGAAGAATATGGATACTGGGCTTAATACCTTATGAATGGATGATCTGTGCCGCAAACCACCATGGCACACGTTTACCTGTGTAACAAACCTGCACATCCTGCACATGTACCCCTGAACCTAAGATAAGAGTTGGAAATAAAAAAAAATTTATAGTCTAGTGAAGGGAAGAGATATATAATTATAATACTCTGTGAATAATCTCTTTAATCTCTCTCTCTCTCTCTCTCTCTCTCTCTCTCTCTCTCTGTGTGTGTGTGTGTGTGTGTGTGTAGTCAGGTGTCACTTAATGACAAGAATATATTCTGATAAATGCATCATTAAGGCATTTCATCATTGTGCAAACATCATAGAGTGCACTCACACAAACCTAGATGGTACAACCTACGATACTCCCATGCTATATGTTATAGCCTATTCCTCCTAGGGCTACAATCCTATACAGCATGTTACTCTACTGAATACTGTGGGAAGCTGTAACACAGTGGAAAGTATTTGGGCATCCAAATATATCTAAACATGAAAGAAGTACAATAAAAATACTGTATGAAAGATAAAAAATGGTACACCTGTATAGGGCATTTACCATGAATAGAACTTGCAGGACTGGAAGTTGCTCTGGGTGAGTGAGTGAGTGGTAAGTGAATGTGAAGGCCTGGGACATTACTGTAGACTTTAAAAACACTATACTTAGGCTACACTAAATTTATTAAAAATATTTTTCTTTTTTTATTAACTAATTTTAGTTTACTGTAACTCTTTATAAACTGAAAGATTTTTAACTTTTTCACAGTTAAGTAATAACATTTAGCTTAAAACACATTTTGCAGATATACAAAAATATTTTTTCTTTACATCCTTATTCTATCAGCCTTTTTTCTATTTTTAAAATTTTTAATTTTTAATTTTTTTTTTTTTTTACTTTTTAAACTTTTGTCTTAAAAACTAAGACACAAACACACACATTAGCCTAAGCCTACACAGGGTCAGGATCATCAATATCACTGTCTTCCACCTCCACATCTTGTCCCACTGGAAGGTCTTCAGGGGCAATAACATGCATGGAGCTGACATCTCCTATGATAACAATGCTTTCTTCTGGAATACCTCCTGAAGGACCTGTCTGAGGCTGTATACAGTTCACTTTTTAAAACAAATAAATAAAAGTATACTCTAAAATAATAATAAAATATAGTAAATACATCAGCCAGTAACATAGTCATTTATTATCAGGTATTATGTACTATACTTAATTGTCTGTGCTATAGCTTTATACAACAAGCAGCACAGTAAGTTTGTTTACACCAGCATCACCACAAACATGTTAGCAATGCACTGTGCTATGATGTTATGACTATGAAGTCAATAAGGGATAGGAATTTTTCAGCTCCATTCTCATCTTGTAGGACCACTGTTGTGTATGCTGTTCATCCTTGACTAAAACATCATTATGCGGCATGTGACTGTATGTGCGTGTGTGCACACAGATGTGTGTGTTTGTGTTACTTGTATAATAAAGATGGAGTTTTATAAACATAAAAGAGTAAATAATACCTAGTAAAGATGTGTCCAAGAGAGCAGACAACCACCTGGTGAGCTCAGGACAAGTTAAGTAAAATTTGAGCTGGGCCTTACAGAATAAGGAGTCGATCATTAGTTTCAGAAAGTGTGGCAGGGTATTGCAAGAAAGGAATAAAACCTCCATTGATAAGTTGTCTGGAGCTGGACTCCAGATGCCTGCAAAGACCCCTCTGCCTGCCCCCATGACATCCTAACCCCTGACCTGTGGCTTGTACTTGGTCATGTTATCTACTGACTTTCTTGCCCTTTCCTCAACCATTTGATTCACAGACTTCCAAACTGTGTCTGATGTTTTACTTTGGTGGGGCCTTCAGGCTAAACAGGTGACTACAGGCAGTTGATAAGACCTGCCTGAGGGCCATCTATATGCTAGCATGGTAGCCACCCCAAAGACTACAGAAGGCAGTGGATTTGGTTCTAAAAGACGTCCCATGCAGCCATATAGAATGCATACCTGACAAACTTTAAAATTAGAGTAGCAGCTATGCTTTAAACCAATAATAACTCTGCTAAAAAGTGCCTCTCCCCATACACACACCCACCATCCCCATGTCCCTGGTCATCTAAACATCCTCACTTTGAAATGTCTTACCTGCTTTCATCCTCAGTTGAATTGTTTATGAAGATTTGAAGTGGATCAATTCAGCTGTGTTTGCATTCTGTAGGGCATGAAAAATGGTGTTTCAGTTATTATTGTGGTGAACTGAGGAACCAAATGCGCAGTCTGGGTTTTTAGATTGCAGGTGGAATTGGCAGCATCTGTGGTTAGAGAAATGGCCCCCAAACACGTGAACTGGGTAAATTTGATTAGCGTTGCATGGAGAGAGCCTGGAACATCCCAATGCCATTCTTCAAATGCATTTCCAGCTACTCATTTGGTGGGGAAATGCTTTTATTTTTCCATTGTTGGATCTCTGTTTCCATCAAATATGTAGCCATGTGGCTAAGGTGGTAACTAACAAAGCTGGCTGGGGTTATGTTTTTAGTATCTTGGCAGTAAAGAGAGATGTTTATTTGGTTACCTTAGCTCTGCTCCCATTTGGCTATTTCCTTCTGTCTCTTATTCCCCTTCACTTTGTTTCTTTGGCAGCCAGTAGCATTGCTCTTTGTAAAGAAAATGGATGTAAATTACCAGGGGAAATGAAACAACTCATACATTGATTTTTGGCTTAGAGGCCCGACATTTTGGGAGTCAACAGCAGGATGCTTTGCTTTGGGATCTGCAAGGGATTGGAGTAGATGGCTAATGCTCTGTGGGCAAATCTCATGCCTGCCAGGTGCTTCTTCATTATCCCTTCCATGCAATGAGCAACTTTAGCAGGCGATGTGCAGAGACTGTTTATAGGACTGATGGTGGTTCACGAAATCTGCTGCCCAAACAAGAGAGCTCAAACTGCATCTTCTCCTTACACAACCTGGCACTGTATCCCTTCTGCAAGAGTTTTTTTTTTTTTTTTTTGTACTATTGAAAGTGAATAGAACTGGAAGTAAGGTAATGTTTATTGAGCACTTATTATATGCTAGGCATTGTAAAACACACTTTGTACTTAATTAATGTAATTTTCACTGTATTTTTTATAATTTACTCTGTACTATATCCCTAACATTTAAGTATTACTGTCCTGATTTATAGAAGAGAAAATTGAGATTCCAAGAAGTATTTTTTTTTTCAGGTTAAACAGTTCCTAATAGTTCTTAAGTTGAGGATCTCAGAAAAATATCCTTGACTCCAATTAAATCTAAAATACACTAAGTCTTAAGACTAACTCGTGTTCCATTAGGGGCCAGAGGTTTAAATACTCAGGCTGAGAAGCAATTAGGCTTCCAGCACAGCCTTTCCATGTGGATTCAGCATATAGACAGTGTCCATTGTTCTTTCCTCTATCGCCATCCAATAATGTCAGGGCTTTCATATTTAGTTTTCATCTTTTAGAAATTTATTTTAAAGTATTATAAAGACAACATCTTATCACCACTGTGATCTAGATGTCCGTGCAAAATTAACTAAAAGTCAGTTTCCTATCACTTTACTCCCCCCACCCCCGTGAAACTGAACAGTGCTACCTGAACATTCTGTCCTTTCAGCTGACAACAAACAACGAAGTGACGGAGGCCATGCAGTGTGTAGTCCCTGTTCACAGAGCAGAGCCTGTCAAAGTCAAGGGACTCTGCATCTCCATCAACTTCAGACACTGGCAGCCTAACTCACCTTGCTTTTGAAATTTTGTTTTCCGTTAAACTTGAGAAATGCCTTTAATGCTTTCTTCCTGATACTAATACATTGTAGACATGATCTTCTAAGCCTAATGGCTGTTTTATGAGCTCCTGGAAACCAGTCAGTGGTATATATTCTTCTCTTTCTCAACAAATGATGCATCCCTGTACTTACTCTAGCCAGTGGGTCTTGTCAATAAATCTGTCAAAGGCCAGGCCAGTCTGCACAAACATGCTCTCCACCTTCCCCGATGGAATGAGAGGCGGCCATTTAGAGCTTGGTGGGATGGAGATTGCTTTTTAAAATCAAGCTCAAGAATAAAAGTATATATCAATTTTCATTTCTGTCTACTACCGTCGTCATGAGATTACTTATTTTTCCTTCATTAGCCAATTTGTAGATTGCCAAGTTTGGGAGTGGGGAAAGAAAGTCGCAGCGGTACACACTGACTTCAGAATCACCAACTAGCTGCAGGCAGGAGACGAGTGCATGCTGGCTGGCCTGCTCCCACCTCCCACAGTGATGCTGAAGTGCTAGTCCTTCAGGAGGAACCCAAAGGGAGGCTTGTGTATTGAGTTATCAGGCTGGGGACCTGAGAGCCTCAATTTCTCCTGGCATAATGATGAGTCTTCAACGTGAATTAGAAAGCTCTGCAGTTATGCAGATAATTTTCAGAGACGGCACACACAGTGTTTTAACCCTCAAACCAAGTCTACCAATCTCAGTAACTCTTAGTAGCTATCTGGCAGTGCCGATGACGATGATAAAATCTGTAGCCTTTATGTTGGTGAATTACTTATGATGTATAGAGAGCTGTGTGACTTATTTTAAGGAGATTTTATATTCCTAACAGGGGTGATTAAAAAGACAGACTCTATAGCTCAGATCAGTATATGTGCCACAAACGTGTTTTTCCATCCATATTTCTAACTGGGATGTTTCTGTTAACAGTGTTGGTGAGTGCCTGAAGGTCATTTTGATTTATTATTTTTTAAACCAGGCATTCAGAATATCCAGGAGTTAATCAGTTCGCAGAGACCTGCTAATTCATAACTTACAGTCTCTTGCCACTAATGTCACTGCCAGCAAAGTCACAGTCCCCTCAGCATCCTCCATCTTGAAAGGGTGACGTGCCGCCCTGCCAGCGGAAAGCTTACCTGGCACTGTTGGTTTGTGTATCATCCACATTCTCCCCAGTTTTTCTAAATTAACAATAGGAAGCATAGCTGGTTTAGGAATTCTTTTAGTTAGATTAGGTAATTCACAAAACTGGTAGGAAATCGTTCAACCTAAGTTAAAACCAAAACAGCCATATCTTCAGGAGACATTTTCTATAAAATTTTATCACTTTTATTTATTTTATTTTTCCTGACAATAATGAAAGGAAATGTCAGAAATGGAAAGTTTGTCCCTTTGTAACTGGCGAGAAACTGGGTTTGTGTTTGCCTAACTTTTCTCCTGGAAGATTTAATCAGTATTTGCTGTCAAAGAAGAGAAATGCTCTAGCATCTGCGAAGACACTTTGTCTGTCTCGATAAACATAGTTAAGGTGACGGTATGCCTTATGTGAAAAGGTGTGGGGAATACTTTTTTAGGATTCGAATACAAAAAGACAGATTTACTAGGGGCTCTACTGGGTTTTTTTCTCCCTAAACTTCCTGATTCAGCGGGCAGTGAAGGAGCTGGTACAATGTTATATGCTGTTATACAAGTGAAACCAGCTGGATTTAATGATTCCCTGCTTCTGGGTCATAATTCTTTGGTAACTGCGAGAATTCCAAACTTGCAGCACTTCTTTGTCTTCCCCAGGGCACAACAGCCCTTTTCTTAAGGTGGTTTTTGTTGGTGGTGGTGGAGGTGGATTTTTATTTTGTTTTGGCCTTAGTCTTAGCCCCCCAGAGGAGACTGAAGTGAGGAAAAAAAGAAATTATGAAGTGTTGAACTATGAATGAGTCAGAGGAAGTATTAACTAGACCCTCTTTCCTACTGGAAGCATCCTAAGCTTAATTTGTGGGCAGGAGGCTCAGCCCTGGAACAGGCTCCCGGTCTCACTTCTGGCGATCTGAGGCCCAGCCTCGCTGCCTGTGGCCGGGAGCTGTGTCCTGATCCTTGATCCTGGCTGTGTGTGCTGTCCTGGTTAGGACATCTGAGAACCGGCTCTGCCACAGGCACAAAAAGGACCCGGAAAGAATCCTGGCCCTGGGGCTTCAAAGTACACGAACTGATTTTTGTTCTTTCAGTCCTCAGTTGCCCAATTTGATGTACTTTAAAAAGGCCTCTCAGTGGGCCTCACCTGCTCTGTGACCTTGGACCAGGCCCTGTACTTCTCTGGTCCTGCTTCCCAATCTGTCTGTGGCTGGGGATGGACTAGATTGTTGGCTTTTCAGATGTGTTAAGCTATGGAAGCCTTTACCCAAATAAAATTTTGTCAAAGATCCTAAAAGGAGCAATTTTATAAAATCAAATCTATTCTCATTTAAATGGGGGTGAGGGACCCAGAGTACCTACCCCACACCCCTCTCAATTCCCCTTCATCTGTTGGAACTCCAGCAGGGTTGTGGGGCCCCCATCCATTCCAGTCTAATAATAGACTGGCTGAGTTCAGGAAGTCACATTAAATGGAGGCCTGAAAATGCAGGTAATTTTACCTTTGTTAATCCTGAATCCTGGAGACGGCGTATCTTATAGGTTTTAAGCGAACCAACCTAAAATGGCTTAATCCATGTTAAGTTTGTAAACACCAAATCCCCTATCCCTTGTAGCCAGAGTCGTTCAGCTTTGCTGTTGTTCAGTGACATGAGATGACAGATGCATCTGTGATGAATTCTGCCAGGATACCCACCTTAATATCTCAGAACTACATCAGGCCCCCAGCCACTCTCTGCTGGATTCCAGAAACCCAGACTCTTTGCCTCCCACCTTCCATCCCTTGAACCCATCTAGCACAGGAGAACACTGTATCAACTTCCTTAAACTTTGCATTGATCTTGGCAGTCTCCTTTGCAAAAAAGTCTCATTGCTTGAAAGACTCTAACTCAACTCCTGACTTTCTGAATCCTCCATGGATAATTCCATTTTCCTATCATACCCTGTTTTCCTTCTAATACACTTCCTTCTAATACATAATCCATTTCACGAAATCATTCTTCTAGTCTCTGCCTCTAAACCTGTGGTCATGCTCTTTGCCCCTGCCACTATTTGCCTTTCCCCATGAAAATCTTACATCCTATTTTTCATTCAACAATATCCTTTACAGTTCACCCTCCAAATTCTTCTTTCTTCTCCCTCCCATGGCAAGGAAAAGGCAGCATGGTATGGCAGCAAGATTATGGAACCAGGAGAGAGCACCATGGCTGCCGTCTGGAATTCTGCCGTGTATCTGCAGGGTGCCCTTGCCTAAGCCCCTTGACCTCTTTGGTTATAGTTTCCTCATCTGTAAGTGGCGTTAATAATATCTCCCTCACCTACCTCACCATGTGGTTGTAAGAGTCAAAGAGGTATTGTGTGTGAATGCATTTCATCTAATTTAAGCACCTTATATTTTTAAATTTTTGTTATTTAATAGTAAGGTATGTATGAGGTATAATCATAATCATTTTCTGTACCCTATAGCACTCATTTTAATTCTTTATTATATGCTGCCCTGTGCTTACTCCAGTTATTTAATGCATCATCAGTTTTTTGGGTCGAAGAGTTTTCATATAGTTTAAAACTCCATGGTGGTTATCACAGTGTTGACCACACAATACGTACTTCGTATAGATCTGTTTAATAGAACTTTGATTTCTGATATCCTCCAACACCTACTATTTTTGGTGTGCTGGCAGTAGCAGCCATTTAATCATCAGATAAATACTTGAAGTTTTGGCAATCCTCCCACAGCAAGATTGAAATTCTAAGGATTTAAAACAGACATGGAAGACCTTAAGAAGCAGCGTAAATAAGTTGCTTGGGTGAGATACTCTCTTGAAAATTAATTCAAGTGGAACTCAGTCCTAGGACTGGTTAGAATGAGTCCAGCTGTCAGTCCCTTGAATCAGCACTGCCTCTCTAAAGCTCTGTGGATGCTCACAACCAACAAGGAGAAAGTCCCCTTCAGTAGGAATGAATCTCAGACTGTCAGGATATACTGTTATTTACTGAAGGGGCTGCTTCAGAAATAGCAAAATTGCCCTTCAATAGGGTCAAGGGATTATGTATTTTAATAGCCCACATTACTTTGCATTCCACTTTTTCCTAGTCAAATACTTTCCATGAGAAAATGTTCCTGTATTAAGTTATGTCCATTATAAAAGTGAGTGCTCTTAGTGCTTCAGTAAGTGGATGGCAAATACTTCTTCATGTAAGTGGAAATTATTTCATTTTGGATCACAGAGAAATATACCATTTTTTTTAGATAACTAGAATATCTTTAGGAAAATAAGGTGAACATGTGATAAATTCTTATCAGGGAAACAGGCATTCTGGGTACCACTTAATACACTGAAGATTTAATTTGCAAAGGATAAGTTGGTGATCAGTAAAATTTAATTTTTTTCCCTTTCAAGCTTGATGTATCTACTGTACCTTATGCTTCTGGAAGAAGTAAACTTTGTTGGAAGGGTGAAATTTCTAAACCAGAAATGGAGATAGAAGAGCTATGGAGTTTGCTGGAAATCCTCTAAGTAGGAGATTGCCCAATTCCTAGTTTAGGGTGCGTAGACTGAGCCTCAGCAAGATACCTGGTCATACTGCAAACCTAAGCACTTGTCTGTACCCATCCATTTATTCTGATGACATCTGCAGAAAATCCTAACCAGTGTGCTTGCTTTCTTTTTTGTTTTTTTAAGAAAATAATTTTTTTTTCCTGAGACATTTGTTCTATGTGGCCAATCTACAATGTGTATAGATTTGTTTTCTGCAGATGTGCTTATTTCTGGGAACATCTCTGCATGGTTTCAGCATAAATAATATGCTTCCTTACCTACTATAAGCTACAGAAATTACTGGCATTTTAGAATACATGTAGTAGAGTTAGTAATGCTTCATAACTCATTGTCCCTATAGCAACGGCCACAGGTTTGCAGTTTGTACGTGGACTGCCTTCATCACTATATTCAAATCACTTTAGGACATGGGCCATGTCTTACTTAAATTTTTATTTCTAGTTCCTCATATAGCGCACAGTAAGTGCTCAAGAATGTTTATTCAATGAATAAAAGAGGAAAATACATACATATACATATATGTGTATGTGTATGTGTGTGTGTGTGTGTATATATATATATATATGCCTGTATTTTCAGTTTTAAAACTTTATTTGGCCAGGCGCAGTGGCTCATGCCTGTAATTGCAGCACTTTGGGAGGCCGAGGTGGGTGGATCACCTGAGGTTGGGAGTTTGAGACCAGCCTGACTAACATGGAGAAACTCCATCTCTACTAAAAATACAAAATTAGCCGGGCATGGTGGCGCATGCCTGTGATCCCAGCTACTCGGGAGGCTGAGGCAGGAGAATCACTTGAACCCAAGAGGTGGAGGTTGCAGTGAGCCAAGATTGAGCCATTGCACTCCAGCAACAAGAGTGAAACTCCATCTCAAAAAAAAAAAAAGTTTATTTGATTAATGCTTCCTCCACTAAGAGAAATTCCACAGGTAAATTTGGATTGATGATGCCAAAACATGGCTTTTCTAATCCAGTGTGCAACATAATTACTTACATGTAAGGAAGCCAAGGACATGGGATACATTCATCAATGTGTGGCCATGGAGCAGCTGTGAACTTTGCCAAGTTTTCTTACATCTGTCCTTCTGCAGGGCCCAGGGACCTCAGCCTCATAAAGAAACTCTTGAACCATCTCTCAGTTTTCTTTCATGAGCTACCATTGCCAAAATGTGTAGAAAGTTAAGTAGAAGCATAAGAAGGGAGAGCAATATTTTGATATACCACTACCTAGTAGGCCTCATTAAGGTGTTATATTCCTGAAGTTCTAGAATTTTCCCTGAAGAATTTTATAACCAAATAAAGCTTGTTAGAATGTTGATTGTTGCTTGGCTGTTGTTTTCCTGATGGAAGTTTGTGATTTGACATCAGCTTGGTACTTTTCTTCTGCACTCCAACCTCTGTCTCTTTCTCTTGCTTTGTCATACAGACTTGTCACCTCTGACTGTTTTGAGTTAATGGTGAGAAACCAGATATGCATTGCTGTCAGGTGTGTATGGAGTGGTGGCCATGTGGCTTAGAACACTCCTAAGTCTCTGTCTTCTCAGTGTTCTCATTTAAATGTAGTACGCGATAGGCATGTTCCCTGTACAAGCATTT
Organism: Homo sapiens; assembly: GCF_000001405.40. Taxonomy (NCBI): domain Eukaryota; kingdom Metazoa; phylum Chordata; class Mammalia; order Primates; family Hominidae; genus Homo; species Homo sapiens. Next base: position 149,184,910 of record NC_000002.12, read on the forward strand.
TTTTTCCTTATTAAATCCTTTGTCCCATAAAGTGCCTCTTAAAAGAAAATATGACTTTGCTTTCTCTTCTTTGTTCATTCCAAGATATTCAGCAAACATTTGAGCCTCTGCTCCATGTCAGGCTCATTTCTAGGGATGAAAGATTACTCCTGCCATCAGGGAGCTCAAATGTGGTAAGAGAGGGAGACCGGCATCTCCTCCTATACACATATTCTTCTTCCTGTTGAAGAATCTGGCACCATGCCCAACTGTTGCATGGGCTTCTGGGGCACTCAGGGATTAAAGGCAAGATTTTTTTCAGTGGACCAATTAAAGAAATTGAAGAATAATAAGGGTCTGAAGCCCAAAACTAGAACAATCTCACATTAAGCTGGTGAAATAGCAGCAGTGATTGCCATCTGCTGACACACCACCCACCGGTAGGAAGCAAGAGTTCTAGGCCAGTCAGGCCTCCTGTGAGCTGGGAACCTATCCCTGATTAGAGTAATTAGAGCGACTCCCTGAGCTGGCTTATAATTTGCTTAATCACACTTATTTCACTGAACTATGGTTTTGGCATAGGTGGTTTTAGTGGGGAAAAATGCAAGGTTTGGAGAAAAAGGAAAGTAAGCAATTAGGGAAAAGGAATTCCAATTGATTCTCCTCCCTAGTCAGTTTGGGGTTGGCAGAAAGGGAGGCAAATGACATGAATGACCACACGTAAGTAGAAGGAGGCTGATTTGGAAAATACAGGCCTACCTTGTTTTATTGCATTTGGCTTTATTGCACTTCACAAAGATTGCATTTTCTGCAAATGGAAGGTTTATGGAAAGGTTTAAGCAAGTCAATCAGTGCTGTTTTTCCAACAGCGTGTGCTCACTTTGTGTCTCTTCATCACATTTTGGTACTTCTCACAATATTTCAAACTTCCTCATTATTATTATACCTGTTATGGTGATCTGTGATTAGTGATCTTTGATGTTACTATTGTAATTGTTTGGGGGCACCATGAAATATACCCATATAAGGTGGTGAACTTGATCCATCAATGCTGTGGATGTTCTGACCGTACCAGTGATTGATCATTCCCTCATCTCTCTTCCCCTCCTTGGGCTTCCCTATTCCTTGAGACATACACTATTGAAATTAGTTCAATTAATAACCCTATGGCCTCTAAGTGTTCAAGTGAAAGGAGGAGTCACATATCTCTCACTTTAAATCGAAAGCTAGAAATGATTAGTCTTACTGAGGAAGGCGTGTCAAAAGCGGAGACAGGCTGAAAGCTCGGCCTCTTGTGCCAAACAGCCAAGTTGAGAATACAAGGGAGAAGTTCTTGAAGGAAATTAAAAGTGCTACTCCAGTGAACTCATGAATGATAAGAAAACAAAACAGCCTTATTGCTAATACAGAAAAAGTGTGAGTGGTCTGGATAGAAGACCAAACTAACCACAGCATTCCCTTAAACCAAAGCCTAATCCAGAGCAAGGCCCTAGCTCTCTTCAATTCTGTAAAGGCTGAGAGAGGTGAGGAAGCTGCAGAAGAAGACTTTGAAACTAGCAGAGGTGGGTTCATGAGGATGAAGGAAAGAAGCCATGCCCATAACATAAAAGTGCAAGGTGAAGCAGGAGGTGCTGATGAAGAAGCTGCAGCAAGTGATCCAGAAGATCTAGCTAAGATCATTGATGAAGGTAGTTACACTAAACAACAGTTTTTTGTTTGTTTGTTTGTTTGTTTAGAAAAAAGTCTCACTCTGTCACTCAGGCTGGAGTGCAGTGGTGTGATCATGGCTCACAGCAGCCTCAACTTTCTGGACTCAAGTAAGCCTCTTGCCTCAGCCTCCTGAGTAGCTAGGATTTAGAATATTTCAGAAACTTAGTTGGTAAAACAGTGACAGGGTTTGAGAGGATTGGCTCCAATTTTGAAAAATGTTCTATGGGTAAAATGCTATTAACCAGTATCACATGCTACAGAGAAATCTTTGATGAAGGGAAGACTCAATTGATGTAGCAAACTTTATTGATGACTTAAGAAATTTCCACAGCCACCCCAACCTTTAGCAACCACCACCCTGATGAGTCAGCAGCCATTAACATTAAGGCAGGACCCTCCACCAGCAAAAAGATTATGACTTGCTTAAGGCTCAGATGATAGGTAGCATTTTAAAATATTTTAAAATTAAGGTAGGTACAACTTAATAGACTCCAGTATAGTGTAAACATAACTTTTGTCTGCACCAGGAAACTAAAACATTTGTGTGACTTGCTGTATTGCAGTAGTCTGGAATCAAACCCACAATATCTCTGAGGTATGCCTGTAGGTCCTTTGAGTCTTGTTTTTTGAGAGTTACTGAGATCACAAAAGGAAGCAGCTGGTAATTTCCAGAAACATGTTTGTATAAGCCCAGAATTTGAATAATGCACTAAATGAAGTGTATTGCATATATTTAATTATTTATGCCCAAATGGCTATCATTTCTGAGCCTGCTCTGCCATGGTCCCATGACTTGATACAATTGTTATAAGATTATTATTTTCTAGATGTGAAAGGCATTGTACAGAAGAAGATGAGAATCACAGTAAACCAAACAAAGGAAATGCAGAAGAGATATTTTCAGCTGAATATTGGAAAGTAAGATTCCCTGCGAGCAGGATCTCAGGCAACGTCAATGAACAACATGAAGCCTGACACATTGTAGGTGCCCCGTAAATATTGGTTGAGTAACTGAATAAACGTATTTAGTAACTTAAGCAGGCTTGTCCAATCTTTTGGATTCTGTGGGCCACATTAGAAGAAGAGCTATCTTGGACCACACATAAAATACGCTAACACTAATGATAGCTGATAAGCTGAAAAAAAGAAGTGCAAAAGAAAATCTCAAAATGTTTTAAGAAAGTTTACAAAATTTGTGTTTGGCCGCATTCAAAGCCTTCCTGGGCTGCATGCAGCCTGTGGGCCATGGGTTGGACGAGCTTGCCTTAGAGGGTATAAATTGGATTATTTTATGAAATTAATTAAAATGTGGCTTTTAGGTAAGGAAAATGTAAGGAAAGAAATGAATGGGTGAAGATTTTGAATGTGGCAAAGCATATTTTTCAAAGTTTTAGCTGGGAAAACATTAGTTATTCTCATTTCCCATCAGGGACACAGTTTGGTTCCATTTTCTTCCCTAAGATTCAATGACTAGGGAAGCATTTTTGTAAAATTGTCTTTTCCTGGGTACAGCATTCCTAGTTTCTTTTGCTCACCTGTATGGATGTTGTGAAGAGACAGTATAGGAGAGAGACAAGTGCACATTTAAACTACTGATTATAAACATTATTTTCTCTCATTTACTTCTAGATCATGAATTTAATATCCCCCCTGTGATGCAAAGTAGAGACTCAGAGGTGTCAGATTCTGGAGGCTAATTGGAGGCCTTGTTTTTTCACTTATAAATAGGCCCTACCTTGGATCTCTTCTAAACTCTCTTGTCAAGCCATGGGCTGGTTGGTTCTGACTTTATCTGAATGTGATGTCTTCCTCTGCTCCCATGTTCTAAGCCCTTGCACCGAGGGTGGGGAAAAGGATTGACATTCTCCACCTAACCCCAGCCCAGAGTCATTACTCATTCAGGATGTGATGAATAAATATTGCCTTTGAGGAAGACATACAAATTTGCCAAAGAAAGGAATGCAGTTCTGGGACCTCCTAGCTACAGGATTATGTAAATCACTCAACACCCAGTAAAGTTGAGATTGTGAAAGTCAATAATTTTCCATTTGTATTACAGCTAATTAGTCTAAGGAAAATGGTGACAGAGGATATATTCCGTAACGTCTCAGGAGGTCGCCTGGCTCCAGAGAGGTAGTTTTAAACATACTTACCTCTAAGATGTTTCATGTGGGTAGCTAGTATTTATGGAGTTCTTCCTGTCTTCCAGGCATTAGTCTAAGTGCCTTAAGACAAATGAACTCACTCACTCGAGGTCATTGTTTTCTATTATTTTGTCATTTTCACAATGAGGAAACTGAGGCACTGAGAGATTCAATAACTTGCCCAATGTTATACTCTTAACTTTTAAGACCTGATTCTACATGTAAGGAAACTGAAATGCTGAGAAATAGCCCAGGTGTGCCAAAATATTTAGCTTTTTCACTAAGCTAAATAACAAGAATTTCCCCCTTACTATATATGTACAAGGGACCATTGCCTCCTTTCCTATTGGAGTGGATGGTAGCCCCCTCTTCCTATGAAGACTTCATGCCAGGGGCTAAAGAGTGAGAATTCTCAGGCCTCCTCCTCTTGCCTACTCAGCAGCCTGAAATCTGGGGTCCCAGAACCTCAAATGTAGTCGTGGGAGATATGGAGCTATTTTTAATATTTCAAAAAGCATAAAATAAATTGTCTATTCAAGGGCAATAAAACAATATGGGCTAATGAGGGTATAAAAACAATTTTTTTGATTTGTCCAAAATTATATATATATATATATATATATATACACACACATATGTATATATGTATATATCATGTTAAATAGTAATTTAGTTATCTCATGTGGATCACTTTTTACGGCAATTATGTGTTTTTAATCTTAAAAATGGATAATGAATTATCTTCTACATAGAGTTTAGATAAATCCTTCTAAACATGGAATCTGAAGTTAGGAGTAGGGGCAAGATAGAAATAGAGCTGGGGGACAAAAAAGTTGGTGCCTGTTGGTCTGTAGAGTAAGGGAGAAGTGCTGCTAATAGCCAGCACATCACAACACTATATACATAAATGGAAATAAACCTGTTGGGGAAGCAAGGCAATGCTTCCTGGCTGTTGATCTTCCTTACCTTCATTCTTAATCAGCTTTTATTTAGACAACTGTGAATGTGCTCTTAGCAGGATCTCAGGGGACTTTACCAGTGCAGTTTGCAAAATGTAATTAGGATGGTGAATTGTCAGGTACCCCTATGCCCACCTCCAAATGATGCATTTCAAAGCCAAACAAAAATGCTATTTTGTACCATCTGCTGTTTGAATTTTTCAAGTCATTGGTCCATTAGAGAGAACTATTGAGCTTTAACCATAAACTATAGAGCCAATTGAATTGTTTTGTTTTAATTTAATTTTTGAATGAGTCATGCATTCACATGGATTATAAATCAAAACAGTGAAATGAGTTATACTCTGAGAAGTCCCTTTCTCACTTCTGTTCCCTTGTACTATAATTTTTTTATCCCTGGCTCTCTACCTGTAGGCCATTGCTTTTATTAGTTTCCTAGGTATTCTTACTGAGTATATTTATCCATATATGAGTAAACACATATAGTGTTTTTCATACTGTTCCCTCTCTAACACAATAGGTAACATATGAGGTAACATTGGTAACACAATAGGTAATGTGTGTGTGTGTGCACGCACGTGCGTGTGTGTGTCTCTGTGTGTGTGCACGTATCTATATTCCTTTTAATGGACACTTGGGTTGTTTTCAGACATTTACTATTACACACAGTGCTACAATGATATCATGCCAATGTATCATTGTACATGTATGCAAGTCTACCTGTAGAATAAAACTAGAGTAGGATTTTTGGGGTCAAGGGTAAGTACATCTAAAATTTTAATAATGTTGTCAAATTGCTCCATAGGGTTTGTATTCCCCCAAGCAATATATGAAAATTTCCTGTGGTCTTCTCAAAAGGAGAGTGTTAAGAAAACATGTTCATGTATCAGCTTGGCCAAAATTTAGAAGTTATAAAGTACAATTTTCATTTTCATTTCTCCTATTCAAAAGATGCTCAGCTGTTCTCATGACATTTAAGGGCCATTTGGTGGATTTTTCTATGAAATGTGTATTAATTTTCTTTGCCAATTTTTCTATTGGATTTCTGATAATTTTCTTATGATTTCTAGTAGCTATTTCCATATTAGTGAGATTATCTATTGTTTTAAATGTGATAGGAGTTGAAAATATTTTCTTCAAGTTATATGTTTCTTAACTTTGCTTATGAGTTTTTTGTTATACATACAGAAGTTGTCTAATATAGTTGAATTTATCAAACTTTAATTTTATACTTTCTGTGTTTTGAATCATGGTTAGAAAGACCTTTCCCTACTCCAAGAAAGTCACTCATATTTTCTTCTGGCACTAAAAAAAATACATTTTATCATGAACAATTTTAAGCTTATACAAATAGAGAAAATAGTACAATAGACCCCAGCTACCCATCATTCAGCCTCAACAATTAAGAATATTTTGCCAATCTTATTTTATCTATTTTCTCACTCATTTTGAGAATGCTTAGAGCAAACTCCAGATATATTATTTTCTTCATAAGTGCATCTCTATATGTAGCAATAATATGTAAGGATGGACTTTTTAGAATATATCCTCTAAACAATTAAGATAACAACAATTCTTTAAAACTTAATTAAATAATGTAAAATTATTTAATAAAATTATTCTTGTTCAAATATTCTTTTTGGAAATGTTTATGGCTTTGTTTTTGTGTGTATAGTATGAGGTATGTATCCAACCATATTTTTTTCCTGGCCACTCACTTGTCCCAACTCAACTTCTTTAAGTATATCCCTGCTTCACTAGATTATGTTTGTGATATAACAAATTCTTATATGTATTTGAGTCTATGTCTGGACCGTCTATTCTGTTTCATTTGTCTGTCTGCTCATATGCTAGTCCTGTCTATACTGTTTTAATTATTGGCACATTACAGAGTTTCACTATTAGGACTAGTCATTCTCCAAATGAAATAGTAAATTACCTACTCCAACTCATACTATATAAAAATTGAAAAAATTATAATTTACAATGCAGCCTTTTCAGGTCAGGGAGAGGCCTGGTGATTTAGAAACTGGCAATAGAGAAATGGGAGTCAAATATGTGACAGTGAATGTGATCCCTAACGAAAGTACTAGTAATAGCATCCTGCTATTATATAGTTATATATTAGTTATATCCTAATATACCATGAGAAAGTAAATAGTAATAACATAAAAGCCTGAAGCTTGGGGCAGGCAGGAGGAGGAAGAGGAGCCAGCAAAGGAAAAAGGACACTGTTTTGGTGGTTGAATTGGAAATCACCAATGCTGGTTCTTCTTCAGCAAAGTGAGAAAGGTCTAGGGTAGAGATGGCTGAAATATTTGCTTTATGCCATTCTCTGGGGAGCTTGCAGAGAAGCAAGGCCTAGGTAAAGCGTGTTAAGGAGGGCTATGCTATCATCCTGCTCCAGGCAGATCACAGGTCTGGACAGGCAGCAACCCTGAACCTCAAGCCTGCCGGTGGGCTGGCTTGTGCCTCTGAAGACGTTAGAGTTAACCTCACTGTATGCTTCCCAGGAAGACAGATGAAGATGTATTTTTCTCAGCCTTCTTTCCAGGAAACAGTATTAAATTTACCTAACGACATATTTTTGTCGGGAAGAAACTAAGAGAAGTGGCTTCCTTTTTGTTTTTCTTGGATACTTTGATATTGGCAAAGAAGCGGCTTCTAATACCAACTTATTGTAGGAAAGACATCTCAAGTGTTTGGCAGGGGCAAGTCTTTTTTTTTTTTTTTTTTAATTCTCATATCTCCTAGACTCTGTCTATGTTTTCACCAAAGCCCAGAGAATGATCAGATGGTCAAAGCATGGTGAAAGGTGGAGGAATGGCCTGGGATTGGTATATCATGACTTCATTCCCCTGCAGACACCCTTAATTACCCTTGGCACAGCTTGTAACCTCCTCATCCCCAATTTCCTCCTTATACCCTGGAGATGATCACACCACCCTTACCTCACAGGGATGTGGAGAGGATTAATTAGTTTCGGATGGGAAAGTTCTTTGAAGATGAATCATGGAGTATAGTGAATGTGCTAATTTGAGCCCTCTTAGCCCTCAAGTTGGAATAACTGCCCACTGCCCAAATGCAGACACTAAAGGGTAAATGCAAATTGATCTGCCTCAGAGCCAGGGGAGTGGGCTTTGCAAACTGAAGAGAATGGTGAAGTCAACCTCAATCAAGCATTTATTCAATGATTACGTTGGGCAGTCTCTGGGGGGCTTTTGGGGAGTGTTAAGTGGGGGAGTGATGAGCCCTGAAGTACATGTGCTGTGCTCGCTTCTGGAGTGATTATTACCCACAGCAGAAGACAGTTGCCAGACTTGTGAGTCTGTGGATTAGAAGTCATCTTTGCCATCAGTGGATGTGAGCTGGGCATCGGGTACAGTGGGCTCCACATCCCATACACTGTGAACAATTAGGGTCATCGGTGCTTCCCCAGGCCTCTCACCTTCCAGATGGTCACCTCACCAAGTACTTTGGCCAGTCTCTTAGGCACTTGTAGTGAGAAGAATCTCTGCATTCATTAATAATAAAAAAGGAATAAAAAACAGAAGAATCCTTTTTCTTGGCCTCTTTCAGTTCTGTTGTTACATGCCACTACTTTTAAAGGTACATCCAAGGTGTGGTTTTTTCAAAACACAAGCTAAAAGGGGCTATTTTAGGCATTATCAAAGAACACTTTCTCTAGGAGTCTTATGGTCTGGAAATCAGTACAGAATATGAATGAGATCTCAATGTGTGTTTCCAGCTGAACTTCTTTTTTAAACACTTTTTTTCTCTTTGAGGTGACCTTGAGTGAGGGTAGCAGGGAGTAGAAGAGGGGGAAGAGGAAATAAAATTGATTAAGAAAGGTGGGTACGAGTAAATTTGGAAGGTGCAGGAAAGGGCTTCCCTGGACACAAGAGGCTCCTGAGAACATTATTCCAGTGAGAAGGTCTGGGACTGTGGAAGATGAGAGGCCACCAGAATAATAAGCAGACAGCAGTTCAGGAGTAGCTTCTTAATTTAAGTGAGAAGCCTTTTGTCAAGTAGGAATCTAGTGTTGTTTCTTGAAATACTAGATCTTAGAAAGGAAACTGTAGGGCCAAGCATCATCACACAAATAGAGGAATCCAGGTTTCAGTGAATTTATTATATTCAAATAAACTTACATTTCCATGTAGATATTGATAGGTATAATATTGCAATAAAAGAGTACAGCCCAGAATATAGTATAGCCTCAGTGGGCTTCAGCGCTATGTCCATACCAACATGTGTCCATCTTTCTGAGCCCTTTTATTGAAGTTCAAGGATCTTGCCCATCTCTCTCTGCTTATTTAATGATGTGCTTTAGTGATGGTAGAAGCAGAAAAAGCTAAATTTTGGGGAGGGTGGTGACATTTGTATGAAATTATAAAATATTCTTCAGCTAGCTCTATCTTCTGGTATACTGCTCATTAATATTCTCATTTTCTTACTAATGTCTTTCTTCTTACCCTGATTGGTTTGTAGCATAAATCTAGTTGTTGGTTTCCTATAACTTAATGGATCATAACAATTGCCCTTACACTTCATAGTAAAGAGGCTACTCTTTATTCGTTGCAACATTGCCTGTAATACCTCTGCTAAAACAAGCCATAATGCTTTGGTCCAGAGTGGCTCTTTTCCTGGTGTTTCTAGCCTAGATTCAAGACTCAGTTGGGGTCATGGCAGAAACCACCTGGTATAAACAACCTGGCATTATTTAAGAGAGTTAATAAAGGGACTGTTTACAATGATGTGGGCCAGATTTAGAGGTAGTAGCAGATTCCAGTGCTAGCAGCAGAGAAAATCATTTCTGCTGTATTGTATTATAGGCCTAGAAGACAAGATGAGAAAACAGTTACCAGAATCTAGGAGATGGTAGCTGCAGAGTTGGCCACCTGCTAGGAGCTGTGGGACATGATGATAACCTGATGGGGAGGGAGTCAGGGGAATAAATACCCAGTCTCACTGTCTTTCCATCTGCCAGTCTACCAGCACCTGCTATTGGCCAAACCAAACCAGCAGCCAGTGGAAAGGGAACTATGTGAGCATTCTTTAGCTCAGCTTCCCAGAGCACAGTGTAGGGTGGAGAGGGATAGAGGGTGTTTCTGGAGAAGCAAAGAGGGAAGCCAAGGAGAGTTCATTTCCCTTTCACCGACTGGGATAGCTTGGGAAGGTGGTGTGATTGTAGTGTATTTCAAGCCCCACACAGTGTGTGTTGAATCACAGGTGAATGTACTAGGCCGTTGTTGAACAGACCTTCAGTTGCTGAAAATGGAGTTCTCATAATTTCCACGTGGGTAACTTAAAAGAAGAATGTTGTTAAAAGATTGTTACAAAACTTAAAACATTGTTCACTTAAATGAACAATCAAAATAGAAATGGCAATTCTGTTGGCAAAAAAGGTGAAAAGTCATTTTTTTAAAATTTGCAATATCTGCAAGCGTATGAGGTCTGTGTTCACTTAGAGACCTTCAGCCCATCTCCAAACATAGACTGGGCCTTCTCTGCCCAACCCATTGCTAAGCAAGGAAGGACAGTCTGTGTCCACAAGCAAACTCCAAGCTTTCTTCAGGCTAGAGACCAACTCATGGGCTGGAGTAGGCATGGAAAGATTTTGTGAATGAAAAATATATGAACTGGACCTTCAAAGCAGAATGGGAAGTATGACACACACTTGAGGCAATAAAACAATGATACGAATGAAAGCACAGAGCCTGTTGCTTTTTAAAGCAAATGCTATGAGAACTACTGCGTGTTATTTATGAGTATAGGCAAATCATATAGATTTACCAGAAGGCTGATAAATGGAAATGCTCCAGTGAAGCCTAAATACTGCTCTCACATGTATGTTAGAGTAGTTTTCTTAAAATTGGTCTTCAGAGGAATTTTACATTCTGCTGTCATATGTGCTCAGATAATCATAGAATTTGAGAGCTGAAAATATGTATATTGAATTTCAGTCTTAAATCTTGTCAGCTATTGTATGGCCTTAATGATATTGGCCTGTATGATCATCCATAGAGGAACAATAAATCTCTGTATTGAGCTTTCTAAGTGATTTAATAATTTGACAAAAATGGAAATAGATAGGGGCTTATTTTTTATTCTCCTTTAATTTGCATAAAACTCTCTGCAATATAGGTATTTGATATCTCTATTTTACTGATAGGGAAACAGTCTCAGAGCAATCCAGTGATCAGCTAGAGGCAGTAGATCCTGGACAGAGCTAGAATTTGCCCCCAGGCCTGAGTGCCTCCAGAGGCCGGTTTCTCCCCATTATACTAGGCAGCATTTACACTTGACTTTACCCTTGTGGGACCATGAACCGTATCGTGAACCATTTAATGTAGTTTTTCATTTTGCAATTAAAACACTATTTAACATACATAATTTTTCAGTTTCCAGGGAATATGAAATTATGCACATATATATCTTTATATATGTACATTTCCTTCTGCTCCAAGTGGTAATAGTGGCAATTTATGGAGCAAGTGACACGCTGTAACTTTGTTATATATTCAGAATGCAGAAATTTTTTATTAGTATTGCTTTTATAAGCTTGTCAGCTTCCAGAGAGTTCTTTGAATAATCTGTTCTGGATTTTGTGACTATGCAAAAGTCAGCATGATATTCTTTGCCATAGCATGCAGTTTATTGTTCGTTTTTAAATGCCCTCCTGTTTCAAAATGATAGATATCTACAAACATGTTCTTTACTTGGGTAATATATTTCTAGATGTGGATTCAAGAATAAAGTTGAGTGAGTGGGGGCTTTATAAACAATGGTCAGCGACATGAAACCCTAGGACAGAAGTAAAAAGACAGGACAGATGCATAGTAACAATTCTGCATCGTGCAGCTCTCCCAGTTGAAAGATAACCATGTGGGTGCTGAAGGCAGTTGAGATTATAGGGAATACTGTCTCCTAAACAGAGTTCTAGGGACAATTTTACAATCTGGCACACAGTGCTTAAGCAATGAATTCATTCAATAAAATATATGTATGTCTGTGTATATGCACATATACACATATCCAAACACACATATACAGAGACATTTCTCAAGTGAGAAACACATCTGTATGAAAACTTTATTTTTACGATCATTTTTCTATGTCAGCTGAGGCTAAACGAAGTCAAAAAGTGCTAGCCATCACCTTACACACCGAGTGACCCTGAATGCTAAATTTCCTCAACTGAATGCCACGTATTAGAGTGCATTTGTGGCATGATACACTCCTCCACTCAACCAATGTCGAGTAATGGACTGTTAGCCAGCTGCAGGACATTTCAGCCTCCATTTCTCTTAAGAGAGCTTTGATTGGTTATTAAAAGAAATGAGTTCAATAAAGAGAGCAGCTCTCCTGCAGAACTTCTGTCCACCTATATCTTTCTCTCAAGTATAAAGACACTCCTCTCCCATGGAAAAGAAAAACAAATCTTTCATTTATATACCTGATAGCAGAAGGGTCTGTATAGAATTACCTTTCCATGTTATGTCCTTGGCTTTTTTAAAGAAATGGTCAGGCTAGACACGGTGGCTCATGCCTGTAATCCCAGCACTTTGGGAGACCGAGGCGGGCAGATCACAAGGTCAAGAGATCGAGACCATCCTGGCCAACATGGTGAAACCCCGTCTCTACTAAAAATACAAAAATTAGCTGAGCGTGGTGGCACACGCCTATAGTCCCAGCTACTCAGGAGGCTGAGGCAGGAGAATCGCTTGAACCTGGGAGGTGGAGGTTGCAGTGAGCCGAGATCGCACCACTGCACTCAAGCCTGATGATAGAGCGAGACTCTGTCTCAAGAAAAATAAATAAATGGCCAAATGATGGATGCATCTGGAGGTCCTCAAAACGAATTTCAGGTGTTATTCATATGTTGCTTGGTGCCCCCTATATTGTAGCTGGTATGACTCATTAATTAGAGAATTAAGTATCAGGAAGAGTTATCTTTTCTCAAATAATGAGAATCAGTGCGTCCCATGTCTCCCCTGGCTTCTAGGAAGTACAGAGCAAAGGGAAATGCACAGCTGAGTGCTTCGTTCATGGAAGGGGTTAGGATCTTTGCTATCCTCTCATCCAGTATGGGTTTTATTCAGTATTTTAAGAGCTTTAATGCATACATGACTTGGCATAAGCCTCCTAAAAATCATTTATGGAAACAAACAGGGTAAAAATTATTTCACCTGTGTGAAGGAGACTCTCAAATGTGATCAACGCACTTATTAGGTTCCTACCATTTGTCCAAATAGTTGGATAAGACATGGCAAACCAATCTTGATTCTTTTTAAAGGGAGTTTCTAATTCCTAAACATCTAAGCTTTTCTTTTTTTTTTTTTCTTTTCTTTTTTGTGAGACAGAGTCTCGCTCTGTCACCCAGGCTAGAGTGCAGTGGCATGACCTCGGCTCACTGCAATCCCCGCCTCCTAGGTTCAAGTGATTCTCCTGCCTCAGCCTCCTGAGTAGCTGGGATTACAGGCACGTGCCACCAGCCGAGCTAATTTTTGTATTTTTTAAGTAAAGACAGGGTTTCACCATGTTGGTCAGGCTGGTCTCGAACTCTTGATCTCATGATCTGCCCACCTTGGCCTCCCAAAGTGCTGGGATTACAGGCATGAGCCACCGCGCCTCACTGCTTTTAAATTTTTTCTATGTGGAGCTCTTACCATGTTACCTTTCTGGTGTCATGAAAGCCTTCTCCAGAAAGGTATAAAATCCTGTCTTTGACAGAAATGTAGTTGAAGAGCTGTTACCTTAGAAGAGTCTTTTAGGTTTTTCTTAAAATTTGAATCACATTTAAAAAGATGTCTTTAAAATTGATTAGACTGTTTCTCCACCCAAATTATACACTTATGGGCCATGTATTAATTCATGATTAGATTGAAAATTGATTTGCATAATGAAATTATTTTAACATCAGTGCTGCTTTAGACATTCTCTTTGATCAGGTTGCATGTAGTAGAAAAAGCTTCTGTCTTTGGCATTGCAAAATATACAGCTTTATACTTAAAAAATGAGTTACTTATTTCTGATGAGTTTTTGATCCTATGCTTGATGAGATTTTTTGTAAGTTTAGATTATTTAAAGCAGTACAGCAGGAATCTGAAATGTGATGGGACTGCTGTATTACATTTATGACTCTTTATGGAATAACTAGAATTCTTCATTAATCTCTTTCCATAAAAATTACAGAATATTAGAAGTGGAAGGGACCTTGGCAGTCATTCATTCCAACTTTCCCTTGGTTGCAATAGAGAGAATTTCTAAATCTTAAGAAATCAGTGCACAGAACTCAATCCTGTTGACCAGATTTACTCCAGCCAGTATGCGATGAAGCTGAACATTTATGCCACTTGATCTGATCTCTATTCTGCTGCTAATGATGTCTAAAGCAAGGGCGAAGGAGGGAGAAATGCGGGAAGCAGGCACCTAAGATTTCTTGAACCCCATCTAAGTAAAATGTATTTTACTTATGTAATTGTGCTCAATCCACACCACAACTTAGAAGTTTCCTGTGTGACTCTAAGACTCACTTTTCTTACTGGCAAATGGGCACAGTATTTCTTAACTCTGTGGTCACCTGATTGGTAAATGTAGAACCAGAATTTTCTTCTAGGTATTTCTGAACCTAAAGCTCATTGTTATTCCTCCTCTCAAAGATGATTGTATTAATTCTTGTCAGTCACATCTTACCAGTGGCTCATATTGACTTTTGGTCCCAATAATTTTTGAGCGCACAAGGACGGTGTGCTCAGTACAGTACCTGGTACAAATGCATGACTTATAATTGCACTACTTTCAAGGTTTGGACAAGCTATAGTGAAGGCTGAGGCTGAATCATGATTTTATTTTTTCCTATTGAATGTTGTTATCCAAGAGTAAAGTCTGTTGTGCTCTATAGAGATCTAATCGTCAGATCAAGATGATGGGGTTGATTGTAAGCTCAACTTCTCTCTCCTATTCTGCTTCAGGCACATAGAATGCTAGCTTAAATATATTAAAATTAAAATAATTCATATTTAAACTTGTGGGGGAAAACAACACTCCATGTACCAGAAATAGAGAACCTATTGGCAAAGAGAAATTGAAGCCGTAGGAACTGGGTTCCCAACGCCCAGGGAAGGTTAGGAACTGAAGCCTCAGTTCCCTTGCAAGGAAGGGAGTGAGCACCTGGTCTTGACTAAGCCCCACCTGTGTTCTTCCTAAATTTAATGGGAACCAAAATATCTCCAGTTGCCAACCTGGCCTAACAGCCAGAAGCAAGTAAATGGTAAACTTTTCTGGCCAATTTCCCTTTGGAGGAGGAGTCTTTTTGTCTGTTCCATTCTTTCTGAGTAAAACTTCTGCTCTCATTTTGAATTTCCACTTTGCCTTCTATTCTTTTTACAAGGGAAGCCAGGCCTGTTAAAGATGTCATTAAAGTGTCTTACTGTGAGATAAGTGGTGCTTGCAGGAAGGTGTGAATGTGAGTGTTGATAGGCATGTTGGACTTAGTAGAGCTGTTCCCCTTACATTATGTATTTCATTTATTTTATTGGCAGCTGAAGTTGGCCTTGTGCTTGCTGACTCATTTTTAGCAATTGTGCAAGAAATGGCAGCATTTGCCACCTTTGTTTAGTCTCTTCTTTTTCAAATCACCTTTCATCATTTCTTTATCATCTTTGGACACCCTGCCAATTCTTTACTGCCCACAACTTTTGTCTTGCTTACTAGCTAAGGCACTCTTTATAGGTCATAGCTAATGAGGTTGGCTCTATTCCATAAAGTATCTACTGAGTATCTAGCATGCACTGAGCATGGCCTGGGGAATATAACAAAAAAAAAATGTGGGTCATTTTCCTACCTCAAAAGAGTTTATGATGTCAAAGATGTGCTGCTTCCTGAAGACCCCGTCAACTTTCTGTCTTTTCCCTGGAAGTGTAAAATGCCACACGTTGGATGAGATGATTATCCGAGCTCAGACTTGGGAAATAGTCATGCTTCTGGACCAAGTGCCAGGTAAGTCCTTGATTCTGGTCAGTAATAGGCCAAAGTCTCAGGTGGGGTTTCCTAAATTTACAAATCTGGCTACCTGCCATTCTCTGGAAGCCTGAGAGTTGCCCATCCCTTCTGTATCCCTATAAATATGCCTTGCAGAAATCCCTTCCTTCTGGCAAAGAAGCACTCTGCATTCTGGAGCAAGTATTAATGTATCTTCCGAAGGGAGGACTCATAAAACACAGGAAAAATCAGTACCATAGGTGAGGGATTTCTGACCAGGCCTACTATGTAGGAAAGATGGATGAAGGTAATAAGCTCTGTGTTGGGAAAAATGTTTTGAGCTACGCTTGAAGTCACGATACCTAATATCTATGTGGAACTTTTTCCCTTAGTGTCAAAATATGAAAATGTCTAAGTCACAGGAAGCCAAATTATTATAGCCATATTCTGAAACAGCAAGAAGTCGCTCTTAACCATTATGTGGGTCTCTACAATCGATTATGTGGATTCCTTTGAGATACTCCACCCAGAGGGAAAACATGTCTAGACACATAATTTTGCAAATAACCTGAAGACGCTCATAGGTCACCTGTCTTCACATATGAAGAAGTAACACTGCTCTATGTGATGGCTTAGGACAAAATAACCTGAATGGCTTAATCTCATCCATATAAAAGATTTCTCCCCCTCTGGAGCAAAATATAAGCTCTATTGTGACCTTGATCTGCCACAAAGACTGCAATGAAAGCCTACTCAGCAAAGTCTCAGCAGATAATTTTTAGTTCAGAGTCTCTGTGAAATGATTCTAATGTAAAACAACTGTCAGCTACTATAGTTAGTCATTTACTTTTTCATTATCCTAATGTGTTTGAGTTGTGAAAAATAAAAGTCATGTTAACACAAACATACACACTGAAGAATAGATATAGATAGATATAGGTGCTCAGGAAGAAGTGGTAGATGGTAATAGATTAGAAAACATGCTCTGGAAATAGAAGACATTTTTATTTAGTACTTTCCTCACTTGACAGGCAAAACTTTGGCAGTTTTGCAGAATTTTGATAGAATAAGTCTATGCTGTTTTAGTTAAAAATGGAAATGAAAATACATTTTGTCTATATGGAAGCAATTTTTGGTATACTTCTCGTTAGTTTTCAAGTTTAGCAGGCTAGGCTGTGCTATGTGGAAGTTTTTTGAGAGGATGCTATGTTCTGAGCAGTGTGCTGGGATCATTACATATGTTGCTGCTAAACCACGGTTTCCTCACTTGTACAATGATAATGGCACTAGGGTTCCTACAGTGCTATTTTGAAGGATGGAAAAACCAGAAAGAAGCCTAATCCTTGTGCTTGTTTTCAATCAGTTGTTTTTAAGTTGTCTATCATTTATTCTTAGAGAGACCTTTGCAGTGTATCTGAATTCCATATTCCTCTATGTTCACTATCATTTATATCCCTTTATTTCAGGAACTAGAGATAAGACTAGGAATCTGGGACCAATTACTTGACAGAGAAAAAGCATTCTTGGCATTTTTCACAATTAGATGGTCTAAATTCAAAAATTTCTTGATTTTGCTGGACTCAAAATTCTTGCTATGGCCTGTAAGCATCTGTGTGATCTGGTCCCACCGACTCCCTGACTGTCCAGTCCCCTCCTTCGTGTTCCAGCCACACTGGCTGCTTTTTTTGAGTTCCCCCATGAGGCAAGCTTCTTCCCATCTTAGGACCTTGGTTACTTTTCCCTTGATTCTTTGCTTGGCTGATTCTTTCCCATCATTTAATTTACCTGTTCGAATGTCAACTACTCAGAGAGACATACTGGGTCCTTGTCTGTGTAAAGTAGCACCTGCTATTCACCATCGTCTCACCTTATTGTGTTTCCTTCATGAAACTTATGACTATCTGAAATTATGTTTTGCCCGCATGTATTGCCTGTTTTCTCCCTCTAAAATGCAATTTGCATTAGAGTCAAGACCTTGTTGGGGAGTCAGCGATAACAATAACTTGTTATTTATTAGGTATCAATAACAACATGTTGAATGAATGAATGGGCTTTTGTCTCACACTGAGATTACATGAGGAAAACCAAACTTCTTACTTGTGATACCAAACTGGGGATTTGTTCATAATAGTAAGTGCTTACTTAGTAAAAATTAGCAAAATTCCACACACGTAACTCATTTAAGTACTTTACAGGCATTAATTTAATTCCTACAACCCTATGAAATGGGTATTATTACTCCCATTTTATAGATGCAAAAATTTTGGTACAGGGAAGTTAAGGAACTTGCACCAAATAGCAGTTTTGGATACAGGTATTTGAGCCAATGCTCTTTACTATTGAGTAGAAAGTGCTCAATAAATAGAGCTTTAACCATGTGCTCAGCACATGCACTCAGCGCGTGCAAACTATGTGCTTAGCTTCCCTATGCACTGGGTCATTCAGTCCTCACTCCAAAACTATGAGGTAAGTACTATCCTATGCTTGTTCTAGAGATGAGGAAGCCAAGACTTGGAAACCTTCAGCAACTTGTCTAAGGTCCCATAGTTGCTTAGTAGTGAAAAAGAGATTTGAATGTAGATAACGTGACACTGAAACCTGTATCTTAGGCCTTCTCTCCATATTATAAGAACACTTGAATATTGCTACTGGAACATAGTCCTTCTGAGACTGTGAAAAAGGGATTAGTCTCCCCCACACAAAGGGTCTCCACTGGTATAAAGAAGGGTATAATAATGACTATGGAATAGACCAACTCAGAGAAATGAATAGGAGAAGCAGAATCTGTATCAGTACAACCACTTGACTGTAAGGGATAATATTATTTGCTAACTGTCCATTTCTTCAGAAAGAGCATAAGAATGGAATTTAGAAATCCAATAACTGAAAGGTCAATCTTGGTTTCTAAAATGAACCAGGAAAGAATTATATATATTTGTATATATCACTAGGTATGATTATGTACATGAGCTATAATGCAGTGTAGAAAGTTTAGCTATTGTTTTTTGAAACATACTCACAAAAGTGGTTGCTGTTTTATAACTCTGCTGTTGTTTTATAACTCTTAGTACTTTCTTAGCAGCTCAGTTCTATCAGTGGCAAACACCATCGATAGGGATGATAGGATGTTGTGGCTATGTATTGTCTAATAATTTAGTTCCATCCCCATGGGAAGGCCTTATTAGTGACACATGCAAAATCAGTATACCCACAATAAGAGAGGGAAGAAAATTCCTAGAATCTATGCATTATTGCTCTGGGTTCAAACAAAACGTGCATGTGAAGGATTATGCTTGTATATGCAGAGATCAAACCTTTTTCCTTTGAAATATTCCCTAAACCCATTGAAACCAGTTGATTCAGCAAGAAGGAGTTCAGCCAATATTATTGAACTCTAGTATTCCAGTATTTTCACAGAACTTTTATGATGAGTTCTTTTATGTACACAATCCTATGTGATCCTTTCTGAACCCACATTTGACGCTCACATTTACCTAAATATGTGGGCAGTGTAGGTATTATTAAGCCACATTACAGATGAGGAAATTGAGGTTAATAGAGTTTCAAGAGCTTGCCCAAGGTCAGGCAGCTAATAAATAGCAGAGCCAGCACCTGAACCAAAGTCTTCGGGTTCCCGGTTACATACTTTTTCTGCTGCCCACACCTCCTCCTTGTCAAAGGAAACCTGTCAGTGGTGACATTATAAATTTTCTTGCTACCAGTTCTGCCTCTGGGGAAGTAGAGCCAGGGGGCTTAAGATGTCATATCTTTTACTCAGTGCTATGTGCCTGTCTGTCATTTTGTTGGGATTTTCCCCTGCCTACTTGAAGTCTATAAATGCGGTGAGTAGTATTTGTGGACCAGGACTAACATTATATGGTTGTCAGCTTTTCAGACAACTTTTATTCTGTTTCCTCTAGAGCCTCCTGGCAGCTTCTTGTGCCCAGGGTGACAGAAACAGGAGGGGCTGGCAGTTCACAACGACTCTTGTCTCTCTTCTCAATGTCGGTGTGCTCTAGGATCTGGCAGAGATTTTATTTCTCAGACTCCTTGTCCTTTCCCCTGCTGTCCTTCTCACTGCTCCCAGTTTTATTGTTTCTTCTAGGTTTTGAAAGAGTTGCAAAATTTATCAAATGCAAATGTTGACTCAAGGAATGGAACTGACAGATAGGTGGTCCAGTGACTTTGGCTCAACATGCCTCAGAACCACGGTTGATTTGAGAAATCCAGTGATTCAGCACAGAGGAAACCAGCTAGCCGCAGTCACTGAGGGAATGGGGTGCAGCCAGGCCAGCTCTGCCTGCTTGTCCTTCCTGAACTCAAAAGGCCATCGAGTGTTCTGCTAAAGCCCACCTGGCTAGTGCAGAGGCCTGACCAGTAGAAGGAGGTCATTACTTACCTTTCATTTGATCAAAAACAATGCAATTTACTCGCAGGTCCTGGCCCTACACAACAGGTAGATGGTTGGATATATTTGGATAATGGAGCTTTCCAAACAGAAGCAAAACACAAACCCACTGATGTAAAATATAAAGAAACTGAACCAGTGTGTCTTTTCACCATAGATATAAGAGTTCGGACCGCCCAGCACACAAGGTCAGCATGCTGCTCCTCTGTCACGCTCTCGCTATAGCTGTTGTCCAGATCGTTATCTTCTCAGAAAGCTGGGCATTTGCCAAGAACATCAACTTCTATAATGTGAGGCCTCCTCTCGACCGTAAGTAGTGGTGGTTGCCATCCTAGTTCATGGCTGTGGGGCCAGAGTGTTAATATGAAGCCCCCTTTTCCATTTATTGTAACTTCGTCTTTCCCAGAACATTTGTTTTATCCCTAGAATAAAACAGAAAGTCTCCATTACTTCTATGGGTAAGCATATGGTAAGTGAAATTTTCTCCATTTCCTTAAAATGGTCTGGCTTCCTGCTGAAGTTTTAAAAGCATTCTTGTTTTAAAAAAAACTTTTGGAGCACTGTTCCTAATCATGGCATAGTAGAGGAAATTCATTGTTCTTTGTCTGTCTTCCCTGGAGAAGGAAATTGGCTGTTGCATGTTTCTGCATAAATGATCTATTAATTCTTTCAAATGGCCATTAACAATTTTGAAAACAGATTTGTATGTTTGAAATTTGGAGGGAAATATCACCTGGATTTTCATTACTACCGCGCGTAATCACCATTAGCAAAGGTTACATAAGACTCAACTTTTCCACTAATAGTTTAAAGATAGGCAAATATTAGTAACACATACAGGATATATATGTTAATACATTTTACATACATATGTCTAGATATGTGTTTGTATACATATGTCATTAACCCTCCTTTCTTTTCAGACAAGTAAAACGTCTTTGATATACTTTATTAGAGAGTGATTCTTATAAATAAAAAATTATTTGGTATACATGTGGGTACCTGTAGTTCCCACGCCTGGAAGAGTATCAGAATCATGATGAAAGGATTTTTAACTGCATATCCCTAATCACTTCTCCAGAGATTTAACAGTCAAGAGGGTGAGATGCAGAATATATTTATATCTTTTTTCTCTGCTTTTCTTTTTTAAGAAGCTCTTCTGATACGGTTGATACATGGTCAGGTGTGAGAACCCCCTCTTCTTATACTACTCATAAATGAGATCTGTATCATTACTGTTCTTTACTTTGTGCTTTATTATTTGGGACAGTCATCTCTGTGTGTGTGTGCATATATACACATGTATACTATAGACATGTACATATACTTACATATACTACACATACACACCTTGAACTACCATTATACATTTCTAAATTGGTAATAATTGTATACTGATAGCTGAAAGACATGGCACAGACATCATTTTCATAGACCCTAACTTCTCTGCAAATTTTGAAATTTTTAAGCTTAGTACAATTTTATGATGAGAAAAAAATCATTTTAAAAAAGACAAAAAAGTAATTCATGTTCATTATAGAAAATTCCAAAGAGACGGAAAACATATAGAAGAAAATAAAATTCATTCATAACCTCAAGATTCAAAGGAGCTTTTCTTTTGGAATATTTCCTTCCAGTATTTTTTCTATGTATGTGTATTTACATATGTGATATACTGAGATCGTACAAATGTAGTTTACACAGTTTTTCCCTCTTTATACATATTTTGAATATTTTCCAATGTCTTTGAAGATAGTTTAATGTCTTCTACATTTAAAAAAATCATAAGGCTGGTCTGTAGCTTATTTCACTATTCCCCCACACTTTATATCAGAAAGAAAAAGAAATCACAAGCAAACTAAATGTTAAATAATTCTTCATTGAAAATCGTTTTAAATTCACTATTTCTTCAATTGGCTAATGACCTTAGAATAGATTTCCTGGAATTGGAATTACTAAATCAAAAAGGTTGTGCCAATTTATACTTTAACCATTTACCTACCAGCATTGACTGTAAGTATTTTTTAACTGTACTGATTTAATTGGTTAAAATGGATGTCATTATTTATTTTCCTGCTGATACACTTTTGAACATAGGCAAAACTGAAATATATTCTCAGTATTTAACTTCTTGTCCTCCAAACTTTAGCTTTTGATATTTTGTTCTTGTTTTGTGCTACCATACATATCCTCCCCTTTATCTGAAATGCCCACTGCTTTCTGGTTTTCACCCCATCTTCTAGTTATATTACTAAGATGGTTACTGTGTTACTAATAGAATGAAGAGAATGAAACAGTGTCTTTGTCTTAGGAAAATGGGAGAATTGAAAGTTTTACACAGGGTCCTATACCTGGTCTACACAGAAATGTCAAATTATTTTATTTTTTTCTTCTTGTCCGCTAAAATTACAAGATACAAGGCCAAAAGAAAAAAAAAAGGCATAAAGACAAGTTGCTCTCAGTCCAGACTACCAGCAACTCAGAAATTCTTCTTTCCATAACAAACTGGCCTAATTATAAGGGCTTAAGAATTACTATCATCCTCATATTAAATGTTATATTCCTGGCCAAGGTCTAATGTTGTGATAATTGACATATATCAGATGAGATTACATGTTTGAGGTTAAATGTAGCTGTACTGGAAGTGCATATGGACAGAAACCAGCATGATTTGACGTGCTAGAGACTACAAGGTATTTTCTTGCAACTTCCCATTTAATCCTCATTATACCTCTGCAAGTCATGGGGATCTTCATTATTAATATAAATATTATTATATCTTAGAATTTTAAAAAATCACACAACTAATCTGTGGGGAGAACAGAATTCAAACTCAGGTTAATCTGACTCCAGTTCTTTTCAGGGATGACACGTGTGTTCCAATACCTCTACTGCCCTCATCTACCCCCTCAACCCCTACTTATTCCCAAATTATAAATGATAATAGAACAATACTATGCATCTTTCAAAGTAGCTGTGGGACCACTTTCATCACTCTATAGTGGCAATTCTTAGAAGACATATTTAAACAAAAGGGAATAAAGAAAATTCCCCAAAAGCCTGATGAGTAAATCTAGCTCTCTAGAAACAGTAATTGTAAGGATGAAAGCTTATAAGTTTTGTTTCATCTGTTAAAGTTGCTCATTTTGTACCATGTTTGATGTTCGAAATTTTTGTCTTCTGTAGCTTACTGTTTCACTTTGCTTTTTTCTTTAAAGCTACACCATTTCCAAATAGCTTCAAGTGCTTTACTTGTGAAAACGCAGGGGATAATTATAACTGCAATCGATGGGCAGAAGACAAATGGTGTCCACAAAGTAAGTGTGCTGAGTTTGGAAGACTTCTGTGATCTCATTTCATTTGAATCTCTCCTGACTTGATGATGTTCTTTAGGAATCAGATGTATTTTTTTCTGAGACTATCCGGACATCAGACTATATTGAGAGTTCTTGGAAACTGGTGTCAAAGACTCTAACTGAAGTTGAGTACCTTAAGGAAGAATTTCTTAAATGTTATTTACCAGGGAGAACACATAGACCACAATATTAAGTCATTCTCAGAATTTCAGAAATACTTGATTATACCTCTAGAAAAGTCATACTTACCATCTCAACAAAGGATGATTTCTATACTCTTGAGATACATTGATATTTGGGAAACTCATTCATTCATTTAACAAACTTCCAAGTATCTTTTTAGTTTGTTTAGTTTACAGATATATCCCAGTGCCTAATCCAGTGCCTGGCCCATGTTTACTCAGTAAATATTTGCTGACAGAATGAATGGAAGCCTCTGATTAGATAGTCAGGGAAATCTTCTCTGAGAACTGTACCTTAGAACTACGACCTGAGTGACCATAGCAAGCTGCCACGTGGAGATCTGTGGGAAGAACATACTGGAAAGAGGGAATCGCAAATGCAGAGTTTTCAAGGGTGATAGTTGGCTTGGCCTCTTCAATGAACAGGAAGGAGACTGGCTGCAGAGGCTTAGTGGGAGATGGAGGAAGGATCCGAGAGGGAAGCAAGGGCCAGGATATGCAGGAGCTTCTTTTTTCTAATAATTTGGATTTTATTGTAAAGGTGGTGAGAAGGCGGTAGGGAGTTTTAAGCTAGGGAATACATAGCAGTTGTGTTCCAAAATATTGCTCTGGCTGCTGTGTGGAGAATGGAGGGTTGGGGACAAGAGTAGGAGGGAACGCCAAATGAGGACTCTCATCTTCAGACAGAAGATGAGAATTTGGACTAGGTTGGTAGGAGCAGAGGAGGTGGGGAGGTGAATGATTGAATGCATATGAACTTGGAAGTAAAGCAGACAGAATGTGCTGATGGATGAATTGAAATGTTAAAACCCTACTTAGGAGATCGGGTTGTTCAGATTTTAGGATGTACTGTTTTTTAGGTTTTTCAGATATAAGAGGCCAAGAAAAAAAAACTCTTACAGAATTAGAGATAACTAGTTTTGGTCTACTGTTACCCGGAATCTTTTGGAAATTCCAGTACCACATTATTTATAGCAGTGGCATAGCTTTACCTCTTCCAGTTACAGCCAATGTGTGGAGCCAATAAATACTAATCCAATAAATACATTGGAGACCTCTACTATGCCTGAGAATCGTATGCCATAAATTAGCACAAATGGCCGTGGCATCCATGTGGACAGTGTTTTTTGTTATTTATTTTCAAGAATAATTAATTAACAAAATATGTTTTTCTTGAGGTTCTTTTACATTTCTGTCAAGGGATCATCCTTAAGTTGTGTGTGCGCTTATGAGTGTATGTGCATGCATGATTGTATGTATTTGGGGATTTATTTCTACATTTTCAACAGAAATTTATCTTTGTTATTTCAAAGTTTTCAAGGTTTGTTGATGCTTCTCTTTACTAATTTATTTCAGAGAGTATCATCCTTTAACAATTTGCTTTAAGTTGCCTTGAAAGCTGGGCAGCAAGGGTTAGAACAGTAGTAAACTGCGGCACTGATGTCCAACCTGGTAGGCCTTATCTTCATGGCTCATGCTATTGTTTTGAATTGTACCAAAACACTGCTCCTTCTAGGTCTGTACATAATGCTCCAACTTGTCATTAGTTGACCAAAGCCATCTTAGCATGCAGGCAAAGAAGATGCATGGCTGTTTCTGGGCTTTAGGATTTCTTCTCTGTTGAAACATGGCTGAACCAAAGGAGAAGCTGCAGCTTTCCACCACCAAGAAAACATCAGAGATGGGAAGGGTGGAAGAGAGTCTGCTCTGCCAAGTCCACCTGAGAGGCTGACTCTTAATGGGCTCAATACGGAATGGCCCTGCATTCCAGCATGGCATGATAGGACATTCTTACTATAGGCCAGGCAGGTCCCAAAGATACTAACCACCTGGAATTCTAATTGAGGGTGTAACTTCTTACTTTTCACTTTGTCATTTCAGGGAGTGATAGTCAACCATTTCTCGGGGCAAATAGGCCTACGGCTATTGTTCTTTGTCATCTCAGATTTCCTTTTTACTTTACAGCTTCACTTCTGTGGTCTGTTGGTGTTGTTAAAAGAAGTCTTCTGTGTAACAGGATATGACAAGAATGACATTTCTTGTTTTATTTACCCCGGCTTTTATGCTGACTTTTTAGGGCTGCCTTAGCATGTGTCCCGTTCTGTATGAACACATGCAGCCACCAGTTTTCGATTCTTCTTTGTTTAGAGTGGAAATTGAAATGTTTTCTCCAGAACTTTTAGCGGCTCCCTTTCCTTTTGAATCTGGAAGTCAGCTACTCTTGTAGGACACTCTACATTATATCACTGTATTAGTCCGTTCTTGCATTGCTATAAAGAAACACCTGAGACTGGGTCATTTATAAAGAAAAGAGATTTAATTGGCTTACGGTTCCATAGGCTGTTCAGGAAGCATGATGCTGGCGTCTTCTTGGCTTCTGGGGAGGGCTCAGGAAACTTACAATCATGGCAGAAGGCAAAGAGGGAATGAGGCATCTCACATGGTGGTTGCAGGAGCAAGAAAGAGAGGGGGGAGGTGCTACACAGTTTTAGACAAGCAGATCTCATGAGAACTCACTATCACAAGAACAGCACTAAGGGGATGGCACTAAACCATTCATGAAGGATCCACCCCCATGATTTAATCACCTCCCCTCTCCAACATGGGGGCTCACAGTTTGATATGAGATTTGGGTGAGACACAGACTCAAACCATATCAATTGCCACGTGGTTTAATATTAAGTATACTGAGGAGTAGAATAATGTTCTGGTTAAGAGTGCAAGCCCTAGGAAAACTACTGGGTTAGAATCCTACTTTTCACCATTTTCTTTCTCTGTGACCATGGGCAAGAAATTGTCCTCAGTTTACCAGTAAAATGAGGCTTACCTTAATATGACTTACCTTAAGGCTTATGGTGAAGATTGAATGCTTGAACACAAGTTATAGGAGTACCTGGCTGATAGTGCACACTCAGTATGGGTTTGCTACTGTTTGTATTATGTAAAGCTTATCACAACCCTATCAAAGCATCAAGACACTTATTATCTATCATTTTACTAAAACCAAAAAAAAAAAAATGAGCTCAGAAGATCTACCATGACTTGCTCACCTATGACAAAGGCAGTTCCATAAGCCCAGTCTTCTCAGCTTTAGTCCAATTTTTTTCCCATTCTATGACATTGCTGTTGTAGTCTCTGATCAGTAAACTAAGAAGCATTTCATTGGCCTCTGGTATAAAAGAGACACAGAACCAAAGAATAATGTCCTAGGATATTGAATGAAACTTCTTCAAAGAACCCTAAGTAATAAAATGTGAGTGGTTAAAACCTTAAGGATAATTCTGGGTAGAAATGAGGTACTGTAGATAGCTGGGTAGAAATGAGGTACTGTAGATAAGCAGGAGGTGGTGGGTGGGAAACAGAGAAAGTAAAAGAGGAGGAAAAAAAATGGAAATACATGGATGAGAAAAGTCTAACATGTTGGTAGGATTAGAACCAGAATAGAAATTATTAGGTTGGTGCAGCCGGGCGCGGTGGCTCACGCCTGTAATCCCAGCACTTTGGGAGGCCGAGGCGGGCGGATCATGAGGTCAGGAGATCGAGGTCATCCTGGCTAACATGGTCAAACCCCGTCTCTACTAAAAATCAAAAAAAAAAAATTAGCCAGGCGTGGTGGCGGGTGCCTGTAGTCCCAGCTACTCAGGAGGTTGAGGAAGGAGAATGGTGTGAACCCGGGAGGCAGGGCTTGCAGTGAGCCGAGATCACGCCACTGCACTCCAGCCTGGGGACAGAGTAAGACTCCGTCTCAAAAAAAAAAAAAAAAAAAAAAAAGAAATTATTAGGTTGGTGCAAAATGAATTGCGGGTTTTACAATTTAATAAATGAGTGAAAAAGGTGATTGTGATGTATAATTCGAAGCACCTGCTTTTCACCCCAGCTCACCACATGGCCTATTAGTATACAAGAGAAAAATGATGAGTAATGAAACAACTGTATAATGAAACAACTGTTCTGACCCATTGCGTTTTACCATCACAATTTTCATTTTATTTTAGATTTCGAGAACGTGCTTCAGAGGGAGAGAGAGGGCCAGAGACATAAATATTTTCATATCAAATGAGCAGACCCATGTTTTGATAAAATGCTTGCAGTTTTTCCTCAGCTCTAACTGAAACCACAGGATGAGCGCCCATTTACGTTCATTTTCAAAACACATATGTTCTTCAGAAGCTGGTGTCCTTTGAAAAATATCACCTAGAAACTTCAGAGTTCACTGCTATGAAATGTCTTGCCTAAAAACCCCAGGACTGGCCTGAATTTGAGTCCTTTCTGCATTAATTGTTAAGAGATCTCTTTTGTAATATGGATATTGAAATTACCTTGTTTCTTGGTTTTGTTTTTTGTTTCCTCTTGCCTAGATACACAGTACTGTTTGACAGTTCATCACTTCACCAGCCACGGAAGAAGCACATCCATCACCAAAAAGTGTGCCTCCAGAAGTGAATGTCATTTTGTCGGTTGCCACCACAGCCGAGATTCTGAACATACGGTAAGGATCGTGTGTGTGTGTTATTGTCTAAACTTTCATCCTAGTAATGTAAGTCGTAGATCAAAGGAGAGGCAGGAAGGATAGTAATATGTGGACCATGTTTACATTTTGAGGAAAGACTCCATACAAAGATAAAATGGAGACCAAAGAACAGACTCCA
The DNA here is from genome assembly GCF_000001405.40 of Homo sapiens. Classification (NCBI taxonomy): domain Eukaryota; kingdom Metazoa; phylum Chordata; class Mammalia; order Primates; family Hominidae; genus Homo; species Homo sapiens. Next base: position 149,213,283 of record NC_000002.12, read on the forward strand.
TACAAAGGTAAAATGGAGACCAAAGAACAGAGACTCCATACAAAGATAAAATGGAGACCAAAGAACAGACTCCATACAAAGATAAAATGGAGACCAAAGAACAGAGACTCCGTACAAACATAAAATGGAGACCAAAGAAATGAAGGAACCCTTGTCTTATTCACTGCTTCTGCTTAGATGAGGAAGGGAGTCTGAAGGATTAGCCTCAGTTTAATATGATGAACTGTAGATACCTTTTAGATCAATTGATGGCTTTAACGTTCTCATTCTATCATTCTAAATGAGCATTTCACTCCTTTATATGCCTGGAATTCTGAAATGCTTAAGAAAGAATTACTTGAAAATATGTTCATTTCATGAGGTTTTAGAATTTGATTTACCCTGTAATAAGTACAGAAAATGATTCTCATATCAGTGGCTTTTAACTCTAGCTACACAAGAATCACCTGGGTAGCTTTTACAAGCTCTGCTTGTTGTTGAGGGATGCAGGCCGGCAGGCTCTCCAGACCAGTTGAAATGGAACCTCAGGGTAAGGTCCTGGGTGTCAGGATCTTTTTAAAAAGTTCCCCGAGGTGATTCTGATGTGCAGCCAGGGTTGAGAACCACTGATATGGATGCCTAGAGTTGATGCCTTTATCATACCTAGTCATCCTGGAAGCCTCTATGAATGGCTGGGTTTATCAGGTTGAGACATTGTACCTGGCACGGTTTGGTATTACCTGAAAACATCCCCTGAAAACACCAGTTAGGGACAAGCCTTTATTTTTTCTTACACCACTCAGCAACCATAATTAGTAAACCATTGTTGCTGTAATGATAAGAATCAGGTGTTAGCATAGACAATAGAGAGTCATTATTATCCCCTAACAAGTAGCACTGAGAAAGAAAATCAATGACTAATCCGAAAGGTTCCTAGCTTTCATTTTTGTCTGAGTGTTTTCCCTTACAAACCTTTAGAAGATTTGTGGACTCAATCAAGCACTCTTATGCAGTTTCTCTTCCTCTTTGCCTTGCTAATGCTTGGATTTGATGCAGATAAATCACAGTTAGGATAAAAGACTTTCAGCATGGTTTTTCCCTTCCATTCTATTGGCATTGGTGGGGGAAGGGTACCCAAGAGCCTAGATGATGCAAAATTGGATAACCAACTCCAATTGTCTGTCTTCAGATAGAGCTCAAGAAGCCTTTGTTTTATCTTTCTTTCTTTTGCCCCTTCCCTCTTCTATTATTCACTGTCATTTCCTCTCTCCTTTTTTGTAACAGGAGTGTAGGTCTTGCTGTGAAGGAATGATCTGCAATGTAGAATTACCCACCAATCACACTAATGCAGTGTTTGCCGTAATGCACGCTCAGAGAACATCTGGCAGCAGTGCCCCCACACTCTACCTACCAGTGCTTGCCTGGGTCTTTGTGCTTCCATTGCTGTGATGCCACCATTCCTAGGAGAGGCAGAGACCAGCCTCTAAAGCACAAGCCAAAAACTGTGTGAACGGTGAACTTTGGAGTGAAGATCAATCTTGCACTTGGTGAAGAGTGCACATTGGACCTCAAGGCGAAAGCCAGTGGTTTGCTTGGATAAAATGTTCCCGCATGAGGCCACAGGACTGAGGATGGGAATTTGGCAGGGCCTGAGAAGATGGTCTGACTTCCAGGCTTCCTGGTCAAAGAGAGCTACGTTTGGGCAGTTCTGCAGAGAGGATCCTGGCAACTAGTCCCACCTGACTAGGCCTTTAGCTGAAAGGATTTCTTGACCTCCTTGACTGCCTCAGAGGCTGCCAGGTCAAACCCTCTTGTTTATGTGATTAGCTCAGAGCATCTCTATGAAATCTAACCCTTCCCCTCATGAGAAAGCAGTTTTCCCCACCAACAGCATAGTCAATGAGAAAGGCAACTGTACGAAGAAAACTTCCAGTGGAACTAATATGAAATCTATTTGCAAATTATGGGGGGAAATAAAGCTTTTAAATTATACAATGTAAATGCATGCTTGTGTGTTTCTTGACTGATGTGGAGACCTCTGGTGAAACAGTTACCAGGGTCATAAAATAGACATTTGTGTCCATGAACCGTTGGTGATATGTGTTAAACTATAAAATTTGATGCTGAAGCTATTTAGCTTTTTTCTTTTGGGGGAGAGATGCATTTTAGGATGTTAATACAAACTTAGTGAATTGAGAATATCTGGGAAGCCTCCCTGATAAAGGAAGATGACACCTTGTCATATGATGCACCCTCAGCAGTAGTAGCTTCAAAAGTTCTAGTCACAGAAAGTGGCAAGGGGGGGTCCATTTTCCTCCTTCAGTCATATTCTCTATGCATGCCATGTCTACCAAGAGAACTTCTGTAAATACATGCTAAATGTTTGGTCCCATTCTCTTCTCTTTCCACTTACAGTGCAATCTCTGAATTTCAAATGAGCATCTTCTTCCTGTTTCTAGAATTCTGATTTCCTGCCTTCAGTCACACTTTGGGATGACTTTTAAACTCTCTGCCCTTGTATTTATAGTGATGAGCTAATGGAATGGGTTTTTCCCCCCAATTAAATATCCATCATTAGAATGCTGGGTGCCCTTGTAGGCTCTAGGTATTAATGATGCTATCCTTGCCATATGGGCTCACCTATGACATGAGTTGGCAAATTATGGCCCACAGGCCAAATACATTCCACCACCCATTTTTGTGAATAAGTTTTTATTAAAACACAGCCATGGCCACTTGTTTATGTATTGTGTGTGTCTCCTTTTGTGCTATAATGGCAGGGTTGCAGAGATGCAGCAGAGACTGCATAGTCTGCAAAGTCTAAAAGCTTTACTATCTTGCCCTTTTCAGGAAAAATTTGCTGACCCCTAACCTATGGGATGTCAAGACTGCTTAAGGAGAAAGCCACTTTCTTTGCAGGCACCATGTTGCTAATGGTGGTTACTCAGCCTGAGCAATGGTTGGCCAAATCACTTCCCTTGTTTTCTTTGTCTTCTGAGTCAGTGAATTTGTCTTCTGTTTTGATTGTTTCATGTATTTGATTCCATCTTGTAGTTATGTACTGATGTCAGGGGCTGAGCTGTATTTATGTTTCTTCTCATCCTTGACACACTGGGAGCATTTCATCTTAAGGCTCCTTAGCGTCCTATCAAACAGGGAGGGGGCAGACATCATTATCTCCCTGTCTCTGGCCCAAACTTAGACTCACTTGGTAGCATCAGTTTTGAAGCCTAATGTAGATTTATCCTATCTTTCACTCAGCATCTTGAAGTATTTGCATTTTCATAGCTTATACTTGTTTGAAAATAATTATATATGGCTTCACTTGGAAATTTTAATGGCATCTTTGGCATCTTTTTATTCCCCAGGGTTTCTTTTGACTGTGTAATTGACAAATTGTCTGGTAAAAAACCATTAGCAGACAGCACTTTTTTTTCTCTGATTTTGTTTCTGCTGTATAGATTAATGAAGTTTCTTTTGTGTGTGTTTTTTTCTTTCCTGAGGAAATATCTTAATTTTCTCTTCTTCACCCTGAACATCAAGTTCATATGGATTTCACGTCTCACCTCCATTCCCTTAAGCATTTAAAATCGGGGTATGTTGAGCAAAGGAGGGAGTGCAAAGGAAACAAACTTCTGGTAAAGGCAGCTGAGTGAACAGGGGATTATGAATAAAAATATGGGATTCCCCACCAAATTTGAATTTCAGATAAAATCAAATAATTTTTTGTGTAAGTTATTCATGAACTCACAAGATGGGCTTGTCTAAGGAAATGGTTTCAAATCCTTGTAATAAATCTGAATCTTCTGAGTAACTCCAAAACAAAACAAGTTCCCAGGACATTCTGGAGATGTTGATTCAGTAGCTCTGAGGTGAAGCTCAAGCCTACCCCAATAGCTGAAAGTTAAATTTAAACAAACAAAAGCTCTCGGGTGATGATAATGCTTATCCAGGTGTTACCTCTGATGTGAGAGGATCATTCCTTCTTCTGAAGCCTGCTCCTTGGCCACATAATAGGTATGCTAATAAGTAATAAACACATACACAAGCAACCACGGTTACAGGCATAGCTCTAAAAGTGTGGCCCCACAGCGTCACCTGGAAACTTGTTAGAAATGCAAATCTCAGACTCCATCTCAGACCTATTAAATCAGAAACTCTGCAGGTTCAACCGGTGATTTAACAAGGTCTCCAGGTGCTTCTGATGCATGTGAAAGTTTAAGAACCCCTGGACCAGATAGAAGTGCTCCCTAAAAGTCTTCAGTAAATGTGTCCCTGGTATCTGCATGATTGCTTGGGGGATATTGTAAAAAAAAAAAAAAAAAGAAAGAAAAAAATGAACCTGGGCCCCAACTTCAAAGTTAGATTCTCTGCGTTGAGTCAAAAAATGTGTAGTTTAAAAAAAATTCCTCAAATGATTCTGAAGCACAGCCACTTTGGGTGCCACCAAAGGAAATAATAAAAGATGGAAATGATGTTGGTGATCAGAAGGCCCAGACTCCAAAACCTGACCTTTGAGTTCTAATCTGAAAGCCCTATGTACTTTAAGTTAACTCTGTGGTATCTTCAATGTAATTTAAAAACTAGAATGCAAAAAATAAATTCAATCATTAGAGTCCACTGCATAGATATTTAAAGTCCATTGCATAGGGACCTGGGATGGCCAAGCATCCCAGGCCTCAGATTAATTTAATTTGCCCCTAGTGAGTAAGAAAATGAGAAATACTTTGGTGTCAAAATGTCCAATGAGAATCACAGTAGTGGAGTGAGGAAAGACGGGGAACATGTAGATTTGTTAGTATAAAAGAGACAAGGGGATTAGCTATGAATATGAGCAAGATCTGAGGGAATGGCCTGTCAAAGGTCCACTTTGAATAGATCTACATTCTAGAATAAACTTTGAATTCCATCCATCAATCATTCCTTGAAAAAAAAAGTTACCTAACACCTTTCCCCACCCACGTGTAAATGCTCCCTAAATTCAATTCTGAGTGAAAGCAGTCAGAAATTATCGGCATTACTTTCTATACAATCTGCATTCTGTCATGTCAATCACTGGGTAAAATATATTTCATAAGAAAAAGGAAGAAAATGAAGGTGGGTTGGTTTCTCTTTCTCACTGGAAAGGAACTTATGAAGCCATGCAAAGCATGAAATGAACAATGAGGACACGCATGGACATGGGAGATGAGGTGTGGCATGAAATCGGGAAACTATGTTTTACATTCGTGAAATCATCCCTAGGTGAAACTTGTGATATGTAGCTCACCAGTTACAAAGTTTGCTATGACCTTTGGATCTTGGACATTTTATTCTATTTTATTTTATTGCATCATTATGTGTTGTCAACTATAGGATTTGTAGAGGGTTACATGGTGATACTGATTGTGTCTGGGTGCAGATCATGCCAGAAGACAAAGGCTAACAAATGGGCAAAGGTGAAAGTCCAAGAAACTGAAAAACAGTTGTGATTTGAGTCCACCTTTAGTCACAGTTTCTCTACTGTGTATCTGAAACAGTGCAGCATCTTTCTGTTACTCTTCCCACTCCCCTCTCATCTTCACAATTCTGTCTCCTGCCCAGCCCCCCTCACTCCTTGCCTTGGCTTCTATTTCATCAGATGCTGAGACTGGAAGCTGAGCTGTCTTTAGGGTGATCCAGAGTTGAGATCATTCTGGTTGGGGCTGTGAAAAATAGGGCTTCTGCAGCTCAATGCCGGAAGTACTATTTAGCAGGTCTGAGAATCTTCATTTTTAACAAGCATCTGATTCTGATATTGATGATTCTCACCCTGGTAGTCTTAGGGCATCATTTTTTAGAAAAAAATAACCCAGGCCCTCAACATAAGGCTGCAGAGCTCTGTGTTGAGAGCTCACAGTCTCCTAAGCCACCACACAAGGACTTTTTTAGTTCAGGAAAATTGGTTCCAGCTAAGGGTCTGGGAGCACGTGGAGGACATTGTGGATTGGCAGAGCTGCCACGTTGAGAATGGCCCTGAATTGCCTAGGACAAATGGGAGCTCCAGGAAGGGATTCTGGGTCCCCTTCCAGGCAAGCAGGATGTCAAGGGCTCTGAGCACTGACTTGAATCCCTGGGCATCATAGCTGAGTGCGGCAGTAAGAAGCCATGCAAAGCAATGGGCAAGGTGAGCCCATCCACAGGGCCTAAGTGCAGACTCAAAATCAGTTCCAATGCAAATATTTTCCAAAAGAGGACAGGCAACACAGGGCAAGCAAGTCTTGAAGATAAACTCTGATTAGATTTGTGAGGATCCTCAGTCAGGGAGGGCATCTCTTTTAGAGGGCTGTAGCCATCAGATAACTTCAACTACAAATAACAGAGTCCCAAATTGGCATAAATGAATTTCTTGGCTTACATTACTGGAGGTTCAGAGAGAGAGGGCTTCAAGGTGGACTTAGTCCAGTGGTTCCAGCCCCATCCTGTGCTGTTCTATTGGTTCTCCCTTGCCTCATATCCTTTGGTAACTAGATGGCTATAGCAGGGCCATACTGCCTACCCAGTGTCCAGGGAAACAGGCAGGGGGATGCTTCTGGAAGCTCTCCAAGAAAAGGTCTAAAGGCCTTTACCCAGCTTTCCAGCAAATCACAAGCCAGAAAGCTGTGGTCACCCTTGGCTTACTTCAGCCAAAGGAAGCTCAGTGTCCCTGAGGCATGTGTGGTGCACGGTGGAGGCTAGATATCTGAACAAAGCAGGCACGAGAAAGGAGGCAGAAAGAAATGCATCTAGATAAGCAGCCAGAACTGTCTGCTACAGATTCCCACAATGTGAGGCTGTGTGGAGGCCATTGTTAAGATGGCTGAGGCAATGCTATCATGTCAGAGATAAGAGAGGGGGCCTTTGTCTTTGAGAGCTGCATGGACTTGCCTGAAGCACACAGCTAGCAAGAAGCAGACACAGACAGAGAAGCTCCCGTGACTACTGTAATTCCCATTGTGCTCTCTTGTGATTAATGTACATTGTAAATCTGCAAGAGCATGCAGCACTTCCCAAACTATTCCATGAGAGGAACATTGCTTCACCAAACATCTGGTTTCCACAGAATACACTTTTGTGTACACAACCTTACAAATGTAGAGAGGTATGAGGGGAAACCTGCAAAACATGGGGGTGGGTAAGACATTGACTCCTAAAACACATGGTATATCCTAGGTACTTAATAAATGCATGCTGAATGAATAAACCTTAAACATTCAGAAACACTCACTTCTCCAAGATCATAGGCTCCTACCTGTACAGACCTGTTGCCATCATCCTCAGGTGAGCAGAAGCAGAAAATGTAAAAACTGCCTTAAAAAGGGGAAGCTTCAAATACTTTTTCTTTGGTTTTGTCCTTATGTTTGTTCACTGTTCAGTGTCTAGAATGGATATTAATCCAACTCATGCCCACCACTCCGTAGGGCTCAACTGTAAGTCAATCAAGAAGTCAATGGTTCCTGAAGATGGTATGTTCTTGTTTCTTCTCTTTGAGTATGTCTTCTGAAGAATTCTCTGAAGTTGTCAGTCATTTGTTATTTCTGTATATTACTAGATTTACTATGCAATCAATCTTGAGTCAGAGATGAGTCCTGAATATTAAGATTTATCCTCATTGTAACTAATAAATTTAAACCAAAATTAATTCATTCATGGACTGAGAGAATGCCTTTTTGTCAGAGATCTGGACAGATCCTCAAGGAAAGTCCTTTTATATCTTATCCAACAAAGGAAATGAATATATAATTAAGTGGAAATGTAAAATAAGGAATAATGCAGTATTTTAACTAACATAGGTAAACTCACTGATATGATTTGGTTTGGCTCTGTGTCCCCACCCAAATCTCGTCTCGAATTGTAATCCCCACTTGTGGGGGGAGGGACCTGTAATCCCCAGGTGTCGAGGGAGGGAGGTGACTGGATTGTGAGGGTGGTTTTCGCTGTTCTCATGATACCGAGTGAGTTCTCACGAGATCTGATAGCTTTAAAAGCGGCAGTTTCCCCTGCTCTTTGCTCTCCTGCTGTCTTGAGAAGAAGATGCCTGCTTCCCCTTCCACCACGATTGTAAGTTTTCTGAGGCCTCCCCAGGCATGCCAAACTGTGAGCCAGCTAAACTTCTTTCCTTTATAAATTACCCAGTCTCGGATATTTCTTTTTAGCAGTGTGAAAACAGACGAGTACACCCGCATTTGTTTTGGTGGTAGTTTTTCTTACAATTAATCCTAAATTGAATGTCAAACATTGATTTTGGAGGATGTTTTTTTCAGCAGTATTTAGGATCTGGCACTTTTCTACTTTCCTGGCTTTAAGAATTCAGGAATTGAAGAAAGACAAGGGAAAGATTTTTTATTATAATTGTAATAATGTCTCATTTTTAAGTGTGTAAGGGCAAGGAACTATTATTTGACTGATAGAATAGATTAGTGGAATAATTCGACATGACTTCCGTATTTTTCTTTTTAATGTAAAGTTTCAAAATGAAAAGTGAGTTTAACTAAGTGGAAAGATAATCCATGATTAAATAAGATAATGAAGCAGATATTGCAAACAAATGAACATGGTTAAAAACTTAAAGCTCATGATTAGAGAGAAAACAGTCAAATAGTTTAAGGCAAAACTTTGACGGATTATTGAAGGAAAAAAAAAGCAAAAATGCTAGATTTTATCTACTTTTTGAGTGAGGCAAGGGATAAGGCTAATCTTCCCGGTTTCATTATCAGCTGCTCTGGAAATGCAATTACCTGAAGTGGTTTGATGTCCCTTGTCAGATGTGGGTAAGTGTTTGTGCTAACGATGCAAGGACAGCACTGTGGTATGTGGGATGCAGTTCCCAGGGCGCACGTGCAGAATCCTAATAAGCATTTAATTCTTTTACTCAGCGAAGCCCGCAGTGCCTTGAGGGGAAGTGTAATCGGAGATTTGCACAGATGAGAAAGAAAACCACACGGACGGAGGGGCTTGGCAATGCCTGCTCTCTTGAGATCTCTGCTAGGGTTCAGCAGTGCCTTAAATCTAGGGGTCAAGCCTGGCCCAGTAGTTTACCCTTAGGGAGCAAGCTTTGGCTCTTGCAGCTCTGTTCTGAGAGTTTATAAGTAGCTAGGGTTTGAATGACTGATGCCCTAACGTGCTAGATGCTTGGTTCAGAGTAGGTGTTTGGGATCAAGTAGTTGAATGAGAGTAGCTTACTACTTGTGTTTTTCTTGAATGGAGGAAGGGTGGATGGTGTTGTGTAGGTCAATAGGTGTGAAGGTGAGTAATTTATAAGATGTGAATAGGAAATGGTTTTGCAATCTCATGTATTATCCCATTTGAGAGGCAGGTTCTTCCCGCTCCCAGTTTTGCCCCATGTAACTGAAGTTCTGCCTTTTTATGATACATTTCTAAGACTCTGTAATTTTAGCCAACTTTTGACATATTCATCCTTTGTAGTTAGCAGTTAGAAACCAAACTCTGTGGAATCCTTAATAAAGATGAACAGGCAGAAGAACAGGAAGAACAGAGAAAGAAGCCTAGAGTCTAACAGTCATCAAATCCTGTAACTCAGTCCTTGAAGAAGTGAACATGGCTTGGGCATATGATGAGATATGACTATAAACAAAAAACTGGGCACAGAGGGTCTTTAGCTCCCTCTTCCTACCACCTCCCACCATGCCCAGCACTGGTTTCTGTACTAAGCCAACAGGCAAACCATGGCTTTGCCCCAAAATAAATATCTGTTTGAATTGAATCCATGAAATATTTTTTCACAAAGTACTTAACTCATCAGCATTTGATTTCCCATTTGTACTTATTATTTATTCTCCATCTCCCTCCTAGGCATTGCAGGAGGATCAAGTAATGACTATTTTAAGTATCTGGTAGTCAGCAAGTGCTGCAAAACAACTACAAACTTAAATTATTTCCATTTCATTTTAAATTGGTTATATTTTATTCACTACCTTTTATATATTCTGTGGTTTTGATGTCACTAAGATGCCCCTTCCACACTCCATTAAATTGACTTCATTTTCTTGACAATGAGATTTCCATTTAGTTTTCATCAACTGCTTAGATTTCCTCATCTTCAAATGCCTCATTTTCAAAAGCAATAGGAAGTCTATGCTTCATACTATATAATGTGCAAGGCTTCCATTTAATGAATTGTTTGGCTAATTTTTTTAGGCAAATAAGCACATTAATTTGTACAAGCTATTAATACCAATTATTAATGCTTTTCATTTTGTTGGTTTCAGCAATCTCTGCATGACACATACTGCAACAAAATGGAAATTGATTTCACCAAGTTTGGCAACTCTGCAGTGTCTTGTAACCTTTGCAACGATGCTTATTTGAAAGGCTGGGTTTAATTATCCTTCTTTTGCCTGCTTCTCAAGATGTTGATGGGTAACAGTTCTATTGCACTTGACAGTTAAAAGTAAATTCATCTGGAGTGTTCCTACACTGTCCTTGATGCTTGTTATATAAGGAGACTTTAATATGCCCACCAGAAAAGCATTAGCCCAGCTTATCTGAGTCTTAGTTTTTATATGTGGGGAAAAAAGAAAGCGAGTCTCTCAGCTACAAGGCAATGTAGAAACCAGGCCTCCTGGGCAGAACAGAATGTGGTTTAGCCAGTTCTCTCTGAGACTAGAACTAAAGGCCCACTGGGATTCAAGACCCTTATAAAGCAGAAGAGCTTGGATCTTCTCTCTACTGCAGTATCTTTAATGTGACTTTCCAATTATACTTCCTTTTGGTGTCTTCTCATTTTATCCCTCCTCCCAGGAACTGGCTCCCTGACCCTCTTTCTGTGATGTAGCTTCTGCTTATTCAGATGTTCAAATCCCTCATGACTCTGGCTTTTTTGGCACTTGTCACTTTTTTGTCTTACACTCTTTCTGCATTTGTTCCTACTGCATAATTTGATTTGCTCTGCACTTTCTTGTTTTGGAAGTCATTTCCACTCTAGGCTCCCACAGAGGACCCTGTCCAGCCTAGAAGCTGGCTGCCTCTGCTCCAGGAAACTGTGGTCCAATAGCAGGGATAATAGCATGGCTTACAGTCGAGGGGGTATGGGTCCCTGGTGTTGCCTACAGCAGCTAGGTGGGCAATTTCCTTTAAAAGTGGCTGTGGGCAGGTTAGGTATTGTGATTGGCCAGCACCCCAAATAATATGTGGGGACACACCCTTGAGGGACTTTTTAAAGCTAAATGTGGCAATGTGGAAACACCTTTCTCTCTTGATCTCTCTTTTCATTTCCATACTCAAACCTTTCCTATCTTCAAATTTATTCTATCAGCATTTGAATTTCAAGTAATAAGACCGTGACTTGCCAGCTATCAGATTTTCAGTGACTTGAAACTTTGAAGATAAGTACTGGTGGGGAATGCTCTTTGTTCCATTGCTCTGGCCTGTGGCCCTATCTTTATACAAGGGTAAAATCAACACCTAGTCATGAAATGGAGCAAGAGGCTGCAAGTCCGGGGTTACCCTGCCTGGGATAGAGAATTAGAACATGTGAGATTATTTATATGTACAGTGACTAATTAACTCTTGAGGCAGTGCAGTCCGTCTTGGATGCATTCGAGTCGTAACTCACTGCATATTTGCTGGGGTTTCTGTTATGCTGATGTAATATTAATTGGTTTTTCCAAGCCTTCATTGAACCAGCAGACAGATGTGGTTCCAGTTTTGGAGACTTATGATCTAAATATCCTAATGCAGCATTTCTAATTTCCTGCTGATCTTGCTGGAAGATCTGTCTAATGAAAAACTGGCTAGATTGCTTAAATTTGCTTTAAGAAAGAATATGAAAGTAAGGAATAAACAAGATAGCTTTTATGTGGTCAATATTCAATTAGATCTTTTGGTCTTTATCCTGAATTTTTTGATGGTAAGGTTGTATTTCTTTAATATTCAAGTAGAATTTATGTATCCTAGGGGCAAATTTCTGAGAAACATTTGAGACTGCAAGATAACCACATTTTAAAAAAAATCAAGCCACAGGGGTAAAGGTATTTAGTAAAATGATAGAAATAATAAAAGCCAAAACCTGATTAAAAATGCAAGTATGCTTTAGTGGAGCTTCAGGACAAGGTCCTGAGGAACAGCCTGGATTCTCAAAGCCAAGTTTGCACTGGAAATGCTCTCATCACCATTTCTTATTTCCAGAGGGCATGCTCTCTTTCTGCCCCCTACCATGATATTACAAGGTCTCCATGTCGTTAAACACTGGGCATGCCTGGCTGGGCTCCCTCATTCTCCCTGGCCCTGCTCTCCCTTGTAATAGATGAGGGTCCTCCCTGCCCTTTGGATTTGCCAATGGGTATGGAGTAGCTGGCAGTTCAAGTGGAGGTCTCACATAATCCTGGTTTTCTGGATCATTTGATTTATTTAAGTACCTATGATGCCAAGGTCCCTGGGCATTCTTCCAACCAACTGCTTATGTTACCATAAATAATGTCAGCTCTGGGACTCAACTGAATTAGGCCAAAGGCCGGCTACAGGGTTGTCTCTCATGTTTCTTGAAGGTCAAGATATTTGGATTATCAGTGTATAAGGGCTTCTTCAGAAATTGCCCTAATATAAAAATTTCAGAAACATAGTCTTATTCAATATTCAATTTTTAATGCATGTCAGTATTCTACATGTAGGTTTTGTTTTGGTTGGTGTAGAGAAGGGGGCCCTAGAAATCGATGTGGAGGAGAGCTAGAATTTAACATCCATGGATTAACCCTAATGGATTTACATTAAAAAGCAAAGTCCAACAGGCTGATGTCCAAGTGGCAGAAAAGCATTCAGAGATTGATGAATTACATTTTGAAATGTCAAAATCGAGGAGAAATTCAAGGTGTTTGAAAATTCAAATTCCATAAAATTTGCCCCTGGACCCTAATGATTAATGTAAACACATCAGTCTAGTTAAAATGAACAAATCATTAACCTTGGTCATTGCAATAAACTAGAACTGTAATCAATAAATGATATTTATTCTTTCCTGCCAAATAGTTGGGAGATGAGAAATGTCTGGGCAATATTTGCAATGCACTCTCAAGAGAAGGAGAGGTCACTTCTGGCTAGCCTGCTACCAAAGGAGTGTCTCGGGGAATCTGGTGCCATCATCACACAGAACAAATAGATTCCCGCTGTACATAACTGAAGACTTCCGTGAATGGTCAGCCACGACCACATTAAAAGGACCTGCGGACTAACAACCAAAAAGTGATTCTTGTCGTTTCTAAAAACTGTCCTGAAGTGCTGTTTTCTGTAGGAACTGGTTCCCTGGGTCTTTTTGCTCTGTTTTCTCCATTATTTAAACACACTGTCTTCTGTTCTCCTGCTGTTTGCTTCTGTTAACACCACTCAGGACTTAGAGAGCAGGGCATGGCCTCCCCTACATTAATCCTCTCTCTTAACCTCTGCTAGCTAAGACTGCACTGCAAAGTTTGAACACAACTTTACTGAAGCTTAGGTCATCTTGAAGAAGTAGAGCACAAAATAACTGACCACGGATTCATAAAGTGGTTGCACAGGGTCACTGTACAGAGCCCTGGCACCCCCGGCCTGCCTCCCTGTGCCAACAGCCAGCTAACAATTCCTACCCATTTGCCACTACTCCTCCCTTTAGGCTAAATTAACTTTAGCCTAAAACTGCCTCTTTACACATTGTAAAGGTTTCTTCATACATAGTGAACTGTAACCTAACTGGATATGTAAACAGACTGTAATCTACTCTTGTGCCAATCACTGAGTTTTGGCCAATCACAAGTGGCCAACTGTTCAAATCATGTTGAAGTAAGGCAAAGTCTGATTTGGCTAATCTGGCTGTTTCTGTACTTCACTTCCATTTTCTGAACATTGCTTTCCTTTTCCTGTGCATAAATCTTCTTCGACCACGCAGCAGGGCTGGTCTCTCCGAACTTGTTTCGGGAGGCTGTTCAACTCACAAATCGTTCTTGCTCAGTTAAACTCTGTTAAATTTAATTTGTCTAAGGGTTTTTTTTTTTTCACCCCTAACCACCAGGAATTTATTGAACATTTTAATGCTTTAATTATTTGAAGTTCCATCTGTATCTGACACAGAAAATAAAAGGAGTTTCTTCCCCTTTGGGTTTATAGCCTGTCTCTCAGGCCTCTGTTCCTACTCTAGAAGCTGCCTCATCTCAGTATGACTGCATTGGAATATCTACTTCATCCAAGAGACCCACCTCCCACCCTGAGGGTACATTATGGCCTCTTTACCTCAAAAATGATTATACAAAAAATAAGACTGAAAAACATACTGATGTTGGACCACACTTTGACCTATTAGAGATGTAGTTAATTTGGGATAGTGGTAGAAAAAGAAAGATACAAAAGTTAGCAGAAGAAGTAAGGGACAGAAATTATGTTTGGAGTTATTGTCTTTCAATACAGGTTATCAGATATTTTTCCATTCTGACAACAGCTAGTTGGTTCTCTAAGTTTGTTTCACCAGTCTGGATGGACTCTGTCAAATGTTTTTGTGTGGAATGAAAAGGCATTTTGCCTGAGCTGTGTTGTTTCCCTTCCTGGCATGCGTAGTATTGGTGTTGCCTTGCTGGGAGAAGTCTTGTGCATGTGTGTGCATGTATATATGGGTATGCAAGTATGGTTGCATGTATGTGCATGTGCGTGAGTGTGTGTGTCCTTGAGTGTGTGGTGGATAATTCTTCAGTGAATTCTTGGTAGGCCTAGCAAAAGACGCCCATTTTGCACTTAACATAGTGAGTTCATCTTTGCTTCTCACTATGCTAAAAGCAAAAATGGACTTTTTTTTAGAAGTAGATGCCATTCATTGGCTATAATAGTTGTCACCAGTTTGCTTTTACCCAATAAACTGAACACATTACTTATAGGATAGAAAATGTGGTAGCTTACACAGACATTTTCGGGTAGCTCATTCATTTGCTCAATAAATATTTCAAGACCTGATAGAGTTGAGTCTAGTAGGATGCCAGATGTGCAAATAGATTAAATAGAAGCATCCCTCTTCACAGTGTAGGCTTGTTTCAGTTTTGTTTCCCCCAAAGCAAACCCTGAGGCAAGGATTTGGGTACAAGTTATTTTTTTTTTGTCCCATCTCTGTCTCTCTTTGTTTGAGGGGAAAAAAGTCATAGGCAGTACCATGAGAGAGTGAGGAAGCAAGATAGGGTAGGGAAGAAAGGATATGGCAAATGAGTAGGTTACTGCCATGGGCATCTGAGGCTCAGTCTTCCTGGGATCTTTTGAGATACTGTGGACCACACCTACGAACTGTCTTCTTGAGAAGCAAGAAAGATGAAGCATTTATCCACCAATTCCCAAAGGGCTGAGGGTTGCTTCTGGGTTGTTAAATCCCAATTTTTCTGGGCTGCTGTTCACTGGCTGAACATGCTCCTATGGCTCCTTCTAGAGATAGAGTGAGAGAGAGAAAGAAAGAGAGAAAGATAAAGGGGATTGAGGGGAGAGACAGAAAGAGCTGCAGGCACTTTGGTGTGTGCTGAAACTGTCTGCATGTGACCTCTGGGTTGGCTAAGGGCAACAATTGCTTCACCTCAAGGCATAGAACAGCAGCTCCTTACTTTTAATATTCACATTAAATGTCATGGAGTCCCATTCTGTCTATCACAAATAATATCATTCTTCCCTCCTTGATATTCTCCTTCTTGGAATTTTTCTAAGAACTCCAGCAGTGTCCGCACCATCTTAGGATCTAGGCCTAATTTGATACCATCTTTTACTGACAGAAATCCAGGAAACCTTCTCAGTCAGCTAATAGTCCTCTTATTTTTTGGTAGTTGCTGCCTTTATGCTGCTGAAACACTGACTTTAGGCCATCAGGTGCCATGCCAGCCCGTGGACGGAAGCCCTGCAGTGATGTGACACTAAAGTCCAGTCGCTTGGCAGCGTGGGGTGACATACACTCACTAAAGAAGAAAATGTGGGTGATCTAGGACCACTGACCATATCAGTAGTCCTGGGTTTAAGGTGAAAGTCTTTATCTTCAATTATTTTGCTCATTTAAAGTCATTTCAAGCTTTCCCAGAATTGGACTTCCAAAGTTACTAGCTACTTTAGGTCTTAAATACAAACATTGCTCCAGGCATTTCTATGATGTGATGGCAGATAGATGAGTCTGAGGGGTTTCTAATCTTGGCTAAAGACTACATCTGGAAAGAGCCCTTCTTCTCCTACCTCTTTGTCTAAGCTCTTGAGATCAAATTTGGTCCCTGGCTCTCCAGTCTCAAGACCTGACATTGTTTTCTTGCCCCAGGTAAACGGCATAACTTTCAAGGTAAACCATAATCTTCTCACAGCTTTCTGTGTCTCACAGAGATGCATCAAAAAAGAAGTACAATGAAGTTAACTACATACCTTCCAAGACCAATTCTTACTATTCCTTCTGCATGGAATGTTTTTCCCTTTACCCAAGAAAGTTCCAAGACTATGAGAGAGCCTGGAAGTTACGGGTGAGGGTGGGAATGGGGGAATAAATGAGGAGACATATAAAGAGACATATAAATTAAGATAACTCCTTCAGAGACTAAATAAAGAGAAAGTTAAAAAGAGAGCTGGAGAGAGAGAGGCAGAAAGAAAGGCAGAGGCACAGAAGAAAAGGAAAGAAGTAAAGAGCATATTTTTTGTAAATCTTCACTGTAATGAGAAAAACAGAACTCATATATGAAAAATCTTAATGTCCACAAAGGAAATACATAAACCAGTACAAAGTACTATGGCTGCACAGGGCCATGCAGGGAATAGTTCAGGGATCACAGGTGTGTGGTAGGGCACAATAAGTGTATTTCCATTGCTACTATTTGGGCAGATTCATTATATCGTTTTTGGAGACAAAGTCTGGGTGTTTTCCTTTAAGAGGGCTTGTGCAGGGGAACTCCCCTTTGTAAAACCATCAGATCTCCTGAAACTTATTCACTATCATGAGGACAACACAGGAAAAACCTGCCCCCATGATTCAGTTGCCTCCCACCAGATCCTTCGCACGACAAGTGGGGATTATGGGAGTTACAATTCAAGATGAGATTTGGGTGGCGACACAGGGACACAGTCAAACCATATCAGTGTATGAGATTATCATCTTATTGTGTTACCTTTGTGTAATGGATTTTGCTCTAAAAATGATGCCACAGTTTGCTTGTTTAGCTTACAAGCATGAAGGAGGCTGGGATAATTTCCTAAGGAGCTGTGCTGGACATGCTGAGTTCAAGTTCTAACATCCATGTTCCTCTTCAATATTACTTCATTTGATCCAAAATCTGGAGAGTGTTGAAATTTCTCCAGACTACATTTGTAAACCACATTTGAGTGTAATAATCCCATTGCAAAAAGTACATGCTTCTGCTTTGTTCATGATCAAACTCAGATGCATGCTGATTGATAAAAAAAAGTTCTAAGATTAATTTCTTCTGTAAATTGAAAAATAATTTCCATCTATACATTTACACAAGTTATTATGTTGAGTTGATTTAGGTATAGTTGGTGAATACCAAAGCTAGATAGAAATATGACATGAATTTTGCAAAAAATATTTGGGCAGAGTAGATATTGCTATTGAGGTAGAGTTTATCATCAGCCTATCCACGCCTATGTCAGAGACCTTTGGGAGAACTGCATATGGTTTGTGCAAATCATTTTGAGCTGAAAGCAGCTAAATGTGCAATCCATTGTTCTAGAACTATATTCATACTCTCCAAGGAACCTTCAAAACTTCTACCATGTTTCATTCGTGTTTATTTCTGTTCTTCCGATAGTCCCACTCTTTTTTCCAGGTATCCATCATCACCTGGACTATTTTCTGCATTGATTGGTACATGTCCTATTTTCTCCCTGCTCCAAAGTTCTTCCTTTGGTATAAAGTGGTATCCGGTTTATCTTTAGATTCATAGACTTTCTCACCTTTCTGAGCACTATTGATGCCCTAACATCTCAGTTCCTTGACTGTCTCAGCCACAGACTTCTCCCAAAGTTCTAGCCAAAAGGAAAAGCTGCCAAATTAAAACTCTCAGTTTTGAACATCATACCCTTTGATAACTCTCAACTCTACAGAAAGCTCACTGGAACTAAAGGGTACAATAACTGAAATTAAAAACTGTGTCAACCCTTTTATAATAGCTGCAAATAATAATAATGATACTTAGAAATACACCTAACCAAGGAGTGGAAAGACCTCTACAAGGAAAACTACAAAACACTGCTGAAAGAAATCATAGATAACATAAACAAATGGAAACAGCCCATTCTCATGGATGGTTACAATCAATATTGTGAAAATGACCATACTGCCAAAAGCAATCTACAAATTCAATGCAATGCCCATCAAAATACCACCATCATTCTTCACAGAATTAGAAAAAACAGCTCTAAAATTTATATGGAGCTAAAGAAGAGCCCACATAGCCAAAGCAAGACTAAACTAAAAGAACAAATCTGGAGGCATCACACTACCTGATTTCAAACTATACATAAGTGCATAGTCACCAGAACAGCATGGTACTGGTTAAAAATAGGCACATAGACCAATGGAACAGAAGACAGAACCCAGAAATAAATCCAAATACTTACAGCCAACTGGTCTTTGACAAAGCAAACAAAAACATAAAGTGGGGAAAGGACACCCTTTTCAACAAATGGTGCTGGGATAATTGGCTAGCCACATGTAGGAAAATGAAACTGGATCCTCTTCTCTCACCTTATACAAAAATCAACTCAAGATGGACTAAGGACTTAAATCTAAGACCTGAAACTATAAAATTTCTAGAAGATAACATTGGAAAAACCCTTCTAGACATTGGCTTAGGCAATGATTTCATGACCAAGAACCCAAAAGCAAACGCAATAAAAACAAAGATAAATAGCTGGGACCTAATAAAACTAAAGAGCTTCTGCAAGGCAAAATGAACAGCAGAGTAAACAGACAACCCAAAGAGAGGGAGAAAATCTTCACAATCTATACATCTGATGAAGAACTAATATCCAGAATCTACAACAAACTTAAATCAGTAAGAAAAAAACAAACGATCCCTCAAAAAGTGGGCTAAAGACATGAATAGACAATTCTCAAAAGAAGATATACAAATGGCCAACAAACATGTGAAAAAATGCTCAACATCACTAATGATCTGGGAAATCAAATCAAAACCACAATGTGATACCACCTCACTCCTGCAAGAATGGCCATAAAGAAATAAAAAAGCAGTAGATGTTGTCATGGATGCGGTGAGCAGTGAACTGTACAGCCACTATGGAAAACAGTGTGGAGATTCCTTAAAGAACTAAAAGTAGAATTACCACTTGATCCAGCAATCCCACTACTGAGATTCTACCCGGAGGAAAAGAAGTCATTATTCAAAAAAGATCCTTGCACACACATGTTTATAGCAGCACCATTCACAATAGGAAAATCGTGGAACTAACTCAAATGCCCATCAATGTCAGTGGATAAAGAAACTGTGATATATATATATATATATATATATATATATATATATATATATATATAGATGGAATACTACACAGCCATAAAAAGGAATGAATTAACAGCATTTGCAGTGACCTGGATGAGATTGGAGACTATTATTCGAAGTGAAGTAACTCAGGAATGGAAAACCAAACATTGTATGTTCTCACTGATACATGAGAGCTAAGCTATGAAGAGAAGACACAAAGGCATAAAGAATGATACAATGGACTTTGGGAACTTGGGGGGAAGTGTGGGAGGAGGCAATGGATAAAAGACTACATATATGGTGCAATGTATACTGCTCGGGTGACGAGTCCACCAAAATCTCACAAATCACCACTAAATAACTTATGTAACCAAATACCACCTGTACCCCAATAACTTATGGAAAAAAAAAGAAATTTCATGATTAAACAACAACAAAAAAGAAAGTGCTGAGAGAGAGAGAGAAACCAAACTTCTCTATTCAGTATTCTATATCTAGTGGATGAAATAAAGACATTTTCATACAAGTTAAAGGTGAGAGAACTTGTAGCCAGCAGAACTGTACCATAAGAAAAGCTAAAAGCTTCAGACTAGGAGAAATGAAACTGTATGGAAATTTGAATCTATACAAAGGAATGAGAAGTACATAATGACAAATGCATAAAATGTATAAATATACAGGTATGGTTGATGGGACCTAATTAACTAAAAAACTTCTGCACAGCAAAATAAATAATCAGCAGAGTCAACAGATAAGCCACAGAATGGGAGAAAATATTCACAAAGTATGCATCTAACTAGTATCCAGAATCTACATAACACTCAAACAAATCAGCCAGTTAAAAACAAATAATGCCGTCAAAAAGTAGGCAAAGGACATGAATAGACAATTCTCAAAAGATATGCAAACAGCCAACAAATACATGAAAAAGTGCTCAACATCATTAATCATCAGGGAAATGCAAATTAAAACCACAATGAGATACCACCTTACTCCTGCAAGAATGGTCGTAATTAAAAAGTCAAAAAAACAATAGATGTTGGCATGGATGTGGTGAAAGGGGAACATTTTTACACTGCTGGTGGAAATGTAAATTAGTACAACCACTGTGGAAAACAGTATGGAGATTCCTTAAAGAACTAGAAGTAGAACTACTACTTGATCCAGCAATTCCACTATTGGGTATCTACCCAAAGAAACAAAAATTATTTTGTGAAAAAGACACATGCACATGCATGTTTATAGGAACACAATTTGCACTTGCAAAGAAATGGAGCCAACCTAAGTGTCCATTAACCAATGAGTGGATAAAGAAAATATGGTATATATTCACCATGGAATGCTACTCAGCCATGAAAATGAATGAAATAATGTCTTTTGCAGCAACTTGGATGGAGCTGGAGGCCATTATTCTAAGTGAAGTAACTCATACATGGAAAATCAAAAATCATATGTTCTCACTTATAAGTGGGAGTTAAGCTATGAGGACACAAAGGCATAAGAATGATACACTGGACTTTGGGGGCTTGACGGGGAAGGTTGGGAGTTAAGGGATAAAAGACTACATATTGGATACAGTGTATACTGACTCAGTGATAGGTGCACTGAAATCTCAGAAATCACCACTAAATAACTTTTCCATGTAACCATGAAACACCTGTTTCCCCAAAAATGATTGAAATAAAAAAGCTAAAAATAAGTCTTGCTGAGATTTTGATAGAAATTGCAATAAACCTGAATATCTAACTGGGGGGGAAAACAAAAAGAAATTAAACATTCTAGTGTTTCTGGATCAAAAATATATAATGTTGAGGTTTTGAAGAATATGCTTCCTATACAATTTTCTAAATATATATGGATTCTGTTATAATTGAGATAATATTATAGATTTTATTCTATAACCTTTCCTCAATTACTATAATAGGAAAGGATTATATTCAATATCACTGACTTTACTTACACAATGGGTTTAGTGGCTGTGTAGTATTTTGTTCTATGGATATTGAACAATATACATAATCTATCACCTAAACAAAAGAATATGATTTTCCCTTCTAATTTTCTGAAAAGACATCTGACTATTTAAAAGCAAAAACAGGCTGGGCACAGTGGCTCACACCTGTGATCCCAGAACTTTGAGAGGCTGAGATGGGTAGATCACTTGAGGTCAGGAGTTCGAGACCAGCCTGGCTAACATGGTGAAACCCTGTTTCTACTAAAAATACAAAAATAAATTAGCTGAGTGTGGTGGTGAGCACCTGTAATCCCAGCTACTATGGAGGCTGAGGCAGGAGAATCACTTGAACTCGGGAGGTGGAGGTTGCAGTGAGCCGAGATCATGCCACTGCACTCCAGCCTGTGAGACAGAGCAAGACTCTGTCTCAAAAGTAAAAAAATAAATTAATTAACTAAAAGCAAAAAAGTAACATTTTAAGGTGGGGTTTATAATGAATATAGAAGGAAAAGAGAGGACACTTCCCCCCAAGTTCCCAGTGGCACATAGGATGAATGGGAAGGCCAGTAGAATTACACTGTGGTAAACTTTTCCGTTTGTGAATGGGAAACAGAAGTGTGAAGTAAGGACTGTGAGGAAGGAAATGCCAGGTAAGGAGTGTGAAGTGTCAGAGATGAAGTGTAAAGGGATACAGTATAAACTCTAAAGAGCAGCCAGCGTTGAAAAGCTGCTCTCCCCTAGGTGGTTGGATCTACTTCCAAGGCTTTACAAGTTATCTCTATGTTGCTATGCTTTTAAATACATCATTTTAAAAGTGAACGCACACTTTCAAAGTGAATTAATGAATAGGCTGAGCCCACACAGAATAATGTCATATCCTTCTCTTCCTTGGCATGGCATTTTCCCTCTATTACAGTCTCCTCCTCTAGCCTCTGAGAGCATGAGAGCATCCTAAAACAAATACCCTTGAAGTTTTCTCTAAAAGCAAAACAAAACAAGGTGACATGGAAACCAAACCCAAATACAGTAGTGGGGAAAGGTAGATGATGATCCTTTTAGGAATGCCTCAGATTTTTATTTGTTCAGGATTTATGAATTTGTAATTATTTCTATGATTGCACAAAGGCTTATACTTATAACCCTTGAATCCAATTAAAAGTTGAGACTATTTAGAATATCAGATATATATATTTGTAAGTTTAACCATAAGAAAAACTCTTATTAAAATTTCACTATATAGAACCTGGCTTCTAGGTTTTCCTTTTATGCTTCTAAGATAATAAATGTGGCAATGGTTTATTCATTCAATAAATATTTATTGAATGCTTACTATATTCCAGGCAGTGCTCTCAGGTGCTGAGCATACAGCAATGAACAAGTCAAAGTCCTTGCTTTATGGAATTTATCTTCTAGTACCGGGAGACAGTAAGCAAGCAGACAATTCAGGAAGAAATATTGCCAGGAAGAAAAAGCAATATGAAGGGAATGAAGAGGAGGGAAGTGTGTGTTGAGTGATCGAGGGGACCTGTTTTAGAGAGGGGTTCAGCAAAGGCCTCTTTGAAGATGTGACATTTGATCAGAGGCCATTAAGGTATTTTGCCTTGAAGTCTACTTGTCTTATATTTTATTTCCAAGCAGTCATAGATTGGATTTTCTGGAAGCAGAAGCTGAAACAGACTTCGAGGTGCACAGTGTTAACTAGGGATCAACTCCTGTGAGAGGAAGGGCAGGGGGAGCAGGATTGGGCAGAGGAAGATGTCGAAGGGTCATGCCTTGGCTAATCTGTGTCTGTCACACAGGTCTGATTTAAAAAACATTTTCCTGGTAATAGCCTTGTTCATCTAAAAGTTCAAGTAATCAATTATACTGTTAAGTAAGTTTGAATAAATACTTAATAAATATTAACTATGTACTAAGCACTCTGATAAGAACTGGGCAGGAAGGAGAAGGAGAAATTCTGTCCTCACGGAGCCCTCATGTCCAGAGTGATAAGGTGTATGCAAATGATTTCAATTCAATGTGGAAACTGTATTTAAAGGGGCTCACCATGCATGAGAGGGCATGCTTAAATGATTTACCTGGAAGTAAGTTTTGTAGCTAACTGACCTGGTAGGCTCATTGGTATGCAGTCTTCCTCAAAAATCAAGTATTCCACTGGCACAATCTTAAGGTTATATTTTGGAAGCAGCAGAAAGTTGATAGACCTTGCTCTCAGAATAGCCCAGATCGAGGACATCTCTTCCACACTTTATCAGTCAGGACTCTGGGACTTCAGCTGATGGGTTTTGGGAACATTTGAACATTTAATGGATAAATAAAACTTTCTTTCAAGTAAGAGAATAGGCCTGTATTATTTTTCCACTTAAGCCCTCATAGTTACAGCTGTATACAGTGCATAGAAAAATAATTTCCCTACCTTCAAGAGATTTTTCTGTAAAGGAGCAATACATAGATACTTGGAAGATATTTATATGTTACAACATAGTATATATAATTTATTTGTATTCAACTAATGTCTAAACATTCTGTTAAAGAGGATCAAAGAGAGAACCCTTTCCAATGTAAGATAAAAGAAAACTGGAAAGTCTAATGAAATGAAAAAAAGTGAAGACAAAAGTTGAATAGGAAATAAACCTACTGAAGAGAACCCCATAACATTTTCATTTAGAAAAATACAGATGTTTTATTTCAGAATAAGAATATATCAACAATATAATTATTGTGACTATTAGATTTTATGCATTTATTTTTCTTTATGCAAATAACATACTTGTTGAAGAACCCTAGGAATAGTTGAAAAGGAGAAAGAAATATTAGTACTACCTACAGTACTAATATTCACACCTCAAGAATACTATTGCCGTATTTCTGTGTATCGTATTTTTTTCCATTTAACTTTAAAAACTTAGCATCTTTTCATATCACTATATAATACTGGGGTGAAAGGGGATCTCACGTTCTAGGACAGGAGAGTCACATAGAAGCAGAGAAGCTTTATTTCAGTAGCTTTGAGTGTGAAGGATGATTTTGCTATGAAGTTCTTAAATTAAATGTTAGTGTTGCTAGCTCAGAGCACCCCAATCTATAGGAGAGACTTATTTTATATCCAGAAGAGGACAGAGTGAGCTTGTATACTGAGAACAATTTTAGTTTTTTAGGGAATTTATTTCTTGTTATTGGAGTTATTTTACTTTCCAATCCTTTCCCCTTGGGTGATGACTTAGGTGTGCCTTTCCTGAGAATCACCATTGAGGCCTGGGAAGTGTGGGGCAAATCATCCATTGTCTGACGGAATTTGTCCTCTGACTAAAATTATCTGCCCATTTGCTAAGTAATTTACAATTTTAGGCTACACAAATGAGGCATGTTAAAAGCAAACAAGCAAAACATGTCCCTGTGGCTTTTTGAGGCCATTGCTGAATAAGAAAAATTGTACCTGCATCTGTTTGACTGTTTGTCAATCCTCTAATATGCTTGGACAGGATCCTAACTGCATTTCACTTTGGTGCTTTTCCTGGGATGGCATGTTTGATACGCAATCTCTGCATGAGAAACTGCAAAGCAAAGAAATCAGCTAAGCCTTCCAAGGTGGAAGGTGGACTTTGTGATACTCATAGGGTTCAACCTGAGATCTTAGTAGGAGACTGTACCAAATTCACTTTGCAATATACTGAAGGAAAATTCTTTTGTCTAACAGGTACAAAACAGCCCCTTTCCTTTCCCCCCACCCCATCATTATGGCAATAATTTAAATTCAGAAAGCTGCTATTCCTGAAAAGCACTTCTCTATTTAGTATCTTCTTCATTACATCATTTCTTGTTGTTGCGTGAAAAAAAAAATGAGCCATGAAGGAGACCACTGCTAAGGCATGAATTTTGTTTAATTCATGAGAAATATGATGTTTTTTAATGTTTGAATTGACTTCTTTTTTGTTTTTAACTAATTCAATGTGGCTGAAAATAATAGTGAAATACTAGTGCTCATGTGAAAAAAATGAACTAGACTGATTAGGAGAGAATATACACAACCGTCAGGAAGCATGTTCACGAGAGTACCAATTTTCCTTGGTAAACGCCCACAGAAGCCAAAGTAGAGTTGGGGCTCTCTGTTTTCTGAGGCGCATTATACATTTATGGAAAGAGAGGTGTTGGCCAGGTGCAGTGGCTCCTTCTGGTAATCCCAGCACATTGGGAGACTGAGGCAGGAGGATCACATGGGTCAGAAGTTTGAGACTAGCCTGGGCAA
Source organism: Homo sapiens (assembly GCF_000001405.40). Lineage (NCBI taxonomy): Eukaryota > Metazoa > Chordata > Mammalia > Primates > Hominidae > Homo > Homo sapiens. Next base: position 149,238,898 of record NC_000002.12, read on the forward strand.
CATAATGAGATCCCATCTCTACAAAAAATACAAAAATTAGCTGGGTATAGTAGCACGTGCCTGTAGTCCAAGCTACTTGGGAGGCTGAGGCAGGAGGATCCCTTCAGCCCAGGAGTTCGAGTTTGCAGTGAGCCATGATCGTGCCGCTGCACTCCAGTCCGGGTGACAGAGCGAGACCCAATCTCAAAAAAATGCAAATGAGTAAGAAAGAATGGTGCCTCTTTACCACACACTAAAAACTAAGTAGAAGTCATCTGTTTAGAATGATGGGGTTATGATTATTTTAAAAATGGAGAACTTGTCTGGTTTCTATTGCCTTCTACTTAATTAGAAGTTTTCTGTATTTCACAAGCTGAGAGGATCAGTAGTTGACATATAGGTTAACTTCTTGTTTTCAGGGATCTTGGAACTGATGCTCTTAGAGGTGTGGCGATTAAGTCAGAGTTCTTCCTGAGTGACCAGCATCATCCCTGAACATGTACGCATGCAAGTAAATGCATCCTACAGCATTCTCTTTGTGACCATTTTCTCTAGCCAATGGTCTTTGTAATCTCAACTTCCCTTCTTATGTCAGGCCTCAGACTTAAGTAAATGTAAAAATGTTTCTCTTCATTGCCAATCATTCCAGATAGGAATGAAGATTTAATAATAGAAATCTAAGCGTTAATAGTATTATTTTAATCCTGAATATAAAAGCCTTGGCTTTTGGACCTTAACCACCATACTTTATAAATGTGAAGGGAAGTCAAGATCTGACAGCAAGTATTTCCCTTTGGTTGTGAACATATTGAAGTCGAATTGGTTCAGTGCCCTCAGCATTTAGTTTTTAAGGCATGTTATATACATGTTCACACCATAAGAAACAAAGTCTTAGAACAGAATGTTGATTTTATGTTTTCAGATGGCATAGATGCCATCAGAAAAGGACAACAAAGATGTTAATTGCACATCTGTTTGACTGCTTCCAACCTTTTCAATAACCTTTTGGGACTTTGATGCTTTTTGGTTTAAAGTTGCATCAAATGATTTTTTTAAATGGGATGGTTAGAGGTTATATAAGAGGCAATATTTTATTGTTATGACTTGGAGAATGACACTAGAATAAAATCTTAAAATATTTATTCTGTAATTCTCAACTTTGAGACTATAAATGCCATTCAACCTGACAGTGAGAGGGAAATGTGTCTCTGCTTGCCTGCATGTGCATACAGGTGCTTTGGGCTACGGAATGAATGTCCACTTGGAACAGGAATTAAAAGAAATTAAAGAATGTATAAGCAAAAACTCAGTTGTATGTAAGAAAACCCAATTCCCCCTGAAGAAGAGAAAGAACTGGAGTCCTTTAAAATTAACTGCCTGTTTTTCTGTGGCTAGTGAGCCTTATCTTTCCCTGTCTCAGGCATTGTGAAGACTCTGTTTCTCTAGCTGTGCAGCTGCAAAGTCGCTAAACAGATAATCTCAATTCATAAAGCATGTTGTTCCTTAAAAAGTAAGAAATAATGTAATGCATGTCTTAATTGAATAACTGTCTTCGTTTCTTGCTTCTGTAATACGCTTCCCCCTGCACAAATCTCCCCCCGCCCCACAAAATGCTTAAAAGGTAGCTTGACTCTTTGTTCGGGGCTCAGTCCTTTGGATGTTAATTCGACTGGGTCGGTGCACCTAAATAATTAAATAATTCCTCCTCAACCCCTTGGTCTCTCTGATTCCATAATTATCCCGCTGCACACTCACTGAAAAGCCAAGTGCAGGCATTGCCAAAGATAGGGTACTGCTCTTCACACTCTGAGAATACTAACTCAAATGGGACAGTAGAGGGTTTTGTGTCTAATAATGGGATATGGGAGGATTTAAGCCAGGAGGAAGGATGGTTACCACCATCAAAGATCTATCTCTCCCTCCTACAGCTTTGTTCTCAGAAAAGCAGGCAACCTTTTTTATTTCTAAGACTTGAAGAACAAATTCAGTTCATTATCATAGACCCGGACTGAGAGCTGGGATTATGGTGTATACAGTTTGTTGCCTACTCAACAGCAAATCCATCTTCTTCCTTGCTGACAGAAGCCTATATAGGTGACAAAGTGCTCGGAGAAGGAGTGCCCCCTTCAAACTCCCAGGGATTCTGGGAAATGCTTTTGTCCCTAATAAGTAGGGCGAGCATATATCCCAATTTTCCTGGGATAGCACTGGTTTATGTGTATTGTTCTGGTATAATTATGAATAGTGCTTCATTCACTTTTAAATATATTCTAGCTTGTGTTGGTGTGGAGGTGATGAAAAGGGAACACTTTTACACTGCTGGTAGGAATGCCACTATGGAAAAGAGTATAGAGATTGCTTAAAGAACTGAAAGTTGGCCGGGCGCGGTGGCTCACGCCTGTAATCCCAGCACTTTGGGAGGCCGAGGCGGGCGGATCACGAGGTCAGGAGATCGAGACCATCCTGGCTAACACGGTGAAACCCCGTCTCTACTAAAAATACAAAAAAATTAGCCGGGCGTGGTAGCGGGCACCTGTAGTCCCAGCTACTCGGGAGGCTGAGGCAGGAGAATGGCGTGAACCCGGGAGGCGGAGCTTGCAGTGAGCCAAGATCGCGCCACTGCACTCCAGCCTGGGCGACAGAGCGAGACTCCGTCTCAAAAAAAAAAAAAAAAGGACTGAAAGTAGAACTACCATTCAATCCAGCAATCCCACTACTGGGTATCTACCCAGAGGAAAAGAAGTCATTATGTCAAAAAGACACATACAAATGCTTATTTATAGCAGTTCACAATTGCAAAGATATGAAATCAATCTATGTGCCCATCAACCAACAAGTGGATAAAGAAAATGTAGTATATACACACCATGGAATGCCACTCAGCCACAAAAAGGAAAGAAATAATGTCTTTTGCAGCAACTTGGATGGAGCTAGAGGCCATTATTCTAAGTGAAGTAAATCAGGAATGGAAAACCAAACATAATATGTTCTCACTTATAAGTGGGAGCTAAGCAATGAGGATATAAGAATGCATAAGAATGATATAATGGGCTCTGTGGACTCAGTGGGGATGGTTGGGGATGGGGGATAAAAGACTACATATTGGGTACAGTGTACATTGCCTGGGTGAGGGGTGCACTAAAATCTCAGAAGTCACCACTAAAGAATTTATCCAAGTAACCAAAACCCACCTGTACCCCAGAAACTATTGAAATGAGAAATTAAATAAAATAGATAAAATAAAAATAGTCTAGTTTGAATGACAAATCGTATGATTTTCTCTGCCTCCAGTAATGTAAAGTGATTGTATGATGATTGGAGCTCAATCATTGAACTATTGTATGACTATGAAGATAAGTGCCAATAAAGAATCAGATCTAGAGCCAACTGATTCTGGAAGTTCAGTGGCTCTGGATTTGATGGTGAAAGTAAAGACTTGTTTTTCTCATTTACTTTCAGAAGAACATTCTGTTACTTGTAGGAAGGGTAGGAAGGAAAGGAGAAACAGGAATAAGGCCTTTCCATGAACTTTTACTCAGCAGTAGACAGACCATGGTTCTTCTATTTTTTTACCATTCTCGTTCAACCAAATGTAATTTCCAGAATTCCTAAAGAGGAAACATGGAGAAAATAATAAAAAATATAAATCAGAAATCTTACCCAAAATGATTCAAAATCTGCCATTACTCCTGCAAAGTGATGAGTCAGTATCACCCCTGCCCCTGTTGTCACCAGATGGGTCTGGGGACTCAATAATTTGACTTTTATATCACTGAAAGTGGCTGGGTTCAAAATTCACATTTTCTTTATAGATATGACATTCGTGGTGTGCTATTTCAGTCGTGGATATTTTGTTTAAAAACTCTGAAAATTATTCTTGATTCTCTTTAAATTATATTGAAAAGAGAATACATTTCCATTTACTTTCTTGAAATCACTTTAGAAAAACGATGAGTGAAACAGAGAATTTCCAGATGGTTTTTGTTGAAAAAATGACTTGTTATCTAACTAATCTATGTTCAGCCAAAGCAAATGAAAATCCATTTAAAATTATTTTAGTATTGATACCAAACACCAAATTGTTCATGTCTCTTCCAGTATATATATTGATAAAAATCTATTATAACTTATGAAGCAGACCTACTGCCTTTCAAGAAAGAAACATACACAGGGAGAGGATCAACACATACATAGCTATGTCTGGCACATTATTCAATGAGGCACTTCCTTTTTGACTTTCTTCATTACAGTGTTATTAGATAATGATGTAGTTCTATGGGGTTTTGGTTTGATAGGAACTGGACACTTACAAGGTAGTTTTATTTCCATTGCTTTGGATAGTGCATCTTTTCTGGCTTTGTCTCTTTAGAAAAACAATGTTCTTTTTCTTGCTCCTTCTCCAAAAGTCCATAGAAGGTACTGTACTTATGGCCAATTGAAGAGTGCTAGGTCCATCCTTGGGTCATTGATTTGTCTGAATTAGTTCAATGCTGTTATATATCTGTAGTAATCTGCATCAGGGAAAGAATTAGCTTCCAAGTACAACTTCTTCTCTTCCTTCTGTTGGGTCCTATGACCATCTTGGGCTTACCTCTGTGGCAGAAGCATGGACATTGTAGTTGACAGCTCTACCAAGACTATGTGGTGTGAAGAGAATACTTAACACCTGACACTCCTACTAGCAACATATAAAAGTGCTCATCTCCCTGTACACTTGCAACAGTGATTATTGCTTTTTTGCATCCCAATGGCAAAGATTTTAAAAAATTGGTATCTCATTTCTGTTTTAATTTTATTTCTTTAATGCAGAGGGTGTATTTTTTGCTATTTCTCTTCTTTTTAAAAATGGCCCATTCCTATCTTTTCCCTTTCCACCAGAGTGTATTTTTTTTTTCAGCTTGAATTTCTTTGCAACAAAAACTTGTGTATGTGTGTGTGTGCTTAAGACAGTGGTCCTAATTTGGGCTTGGGGTTGAGGAAATAATGTCAGAATCATCTCACCTCCATGTCAATATGGCTGATGAGGAAAAGGAAGCCGAATATTAATATTTTGAAAAAACAGGATATTCTGGTACCCTAGCTAATTAATTAACTCAACCATTCACTCATTTGTGCAGTCATTTCACAAATACTTATTGAGTGCCTACTGTTTTAGGCACTGTTCTAGGACCTGGAGCCACAGCTGCAGTGAGACAACACCGCTGCCTGCATGGAGCTTGCATTGCAGTGGAGAAAATATGTGACAACCAGCACATGACAATGAGCACTGTGAAAAAAATATAGCAGAGTAAAAGAATAAAATGTGACAGTGGTGGGAAATTTAAATACCACGGTCTTAGCCTCACCATAAATGTTAGATAGCCTTTTGGACAAAGAAGGAATAGTTATCCTTTGGCAACCCTTCCCTTCTTCTTTTCCTCCCTCCCTTCTGCTTTTCCCTCCTCCCTCTTTCTTCCCTTTGCAACTGCAGTTAGGACAAGTAAGGCAGATGCAGTGAAAAGATCTAAGGTTTTTTTGTTTTTTTTTTTCTTTTTCTTCGTGGAAAAGCCTATTCCTGGTGAATATTTTATCATTCCCTTCAAGGAGACAGTTCAACCTTGGTGAAATTGGCTTATACTTGAGATGAATAGATGTCTTTTAGGTCCCATCAGCTCTCTTTCTTCATTGCCCAATTCTCAAAGGTGACTGAGGTATGCACAGAGTATTCCATGACCTCAGAACTTTCGCATTAACACGCTTGGCTAACAAGCTTTTTCTTGGCCTGTGTGTGTTGGCTTATCTCCATTTTTGAATAGAGGAGTAATTAATTTTCAAGCGTTCTTGATTCAGTCACAGAGCTAATGATGTTGAGCATAAAAATACTTCTTCTAAAATGAAATTTATGCCAGTTCACTTCTGTCCAGCAGTTCTTCACTATCAAGCTTCTTTTTTCAGCTTGTTTCAAATTAAGCCTTTTAAACTCTCCTTGTCCTCATTTGAGCCTGTTTTAGAGGAGCAGTCTTGGAGCAACATTGTCATAGTGACCCTCACTTATCTTACCAATTCAGTTCAAAGCTTCTAATTTAGTGGACTCTGTTTATGAGTATTTGTATACATTAGCATAATGTTCTCGGTGACTCCTTGGCCCTTAACTTTTCCTCTGAAAATTTAAGTACCTCTTTCTTGAGATTTCTGTAGACCAGTATCTGGGCATTTGTAATGGTCCTTTAAAATTAAAGTACAATTCATATATTAACATTAAATAAGTGGCTGGCACACTAATCCCATTGTCTTTTTACTTGAGAAGAGAGAATAATAGTGAAAAAATAAAGTAACAAATATAAAGACATCGAATATGCCTGCCTACATATTTGCTTGCTAGCAATATCTTCAGTGCAATAGAATCACATGCTCATGCAGCAGGGAAGTGGGACAAAAGGAGGGATTCCTTCTGTTCCTTTCTTTGTACCAAAACTTTAGGTCAAGTGTTTTTTCCAATTACTCTTTTAATTGTAATTATTTACATTCAAATGTTGATTACCAATGCTAAGGGTGGCAGATTATTTAGGAGTGTCCCTAATCCAAAATTGACTTCAATTTAGCTTTGAAATGCACTTTGGTGCTTTAATTTTAAGATGGGATCATGAAGATTCATAATATTTCACACAACATGTGGTATCTATTTCAATTACTTAAGGAAGTAAGTAAGCTGAAAAGCGGGTAGTAATGTGTTCAGAGTGTGGACAGCATCAGACATACCAGAATTCTCATCAAGACTATGCCATTGTAGAAAAAAAAGTGACCTCAGGAATGGTGATAGTACTTATCTCATCAGATATTTGAAAGGATTAAAAGAGAGAAAAGCATGTAATCACTTAGCAAGGGGCTCAGTACATGATAAGCTTCCAATGTGAATTATTATTATTGTACTATTTGAATGCATCAACTATTGGATGTATGTATTGGATTTTTGAAATGTCAGACAAGGTTTCATGTCAAAATCTTTTAAAAATGTATTATCATAGGCTTTGGAAAATATGTTATCAAGGATAAGAAACCAGACGAATGCCAGTAAATGTAAACTAAGAACTACATAAGTACTTCTCTGGATCAGCAAGGCCAAATGTGAGGTCGTGTAGGAGCTGGTGCTGGGCCTATACATTTTTATGTCTTTTATAATTGTTTTGAAGGCAGGAGAACAGAAGTTGCCAACTTTGCAAAAATACTCAAGAAACTCTAGGAATGTCTAGTAGCTATTTTTTTTTTTTTTTTTTTTTTTTTTTTAGAAAGCTAACATAAGGATCTGTTCTGGAGTGTTTCAAAATGAGGCAGATGAGCTTCAATGTGGCAAATACAAATAATGCATTTTTTATAACATGTATGAAAGGTGAGCTAACAGCTTTGGTGCAGGCCAACCAGACTGGTTGCTGTCTTCCTTAAAGCTGCCAAAAAGGCCTAGGAAAGGCTGGGCAAGAGATGGAGGGAGGCTCCTCAATGCAGAGTTTCCCCCCCTCCTATGTAATCACTGCACATTGTGAACTTAGGAAAAACATAATGAATGTGGACCCAGTCCAAAGAAGGCAGCAAAACTGATCAGGAAGCCGGAAGAACATGTATAAAAAGAAACTCCAATGCTGGCGTTTCATCAGCAGCGTCTGAAACCTTAGAAATGTTGAAGCTGGGAATATTCAGAGAGAATATACCAAACACATTAACACAATTATTAAATATGAAAATGAATTTGTTGATTAAATTTTGGCCTATTAAGATAGGTGGGATACTCCTCAAGGTTTAAAAGAGATTGTTAGTACATATGAAAAAAAGAAATAGTTTCAGAGCAATAATGAATATATGAAACTTATCAAATCAAATAAATAAAAATAATGTAACTTAAAGATGGTAATAATGAATTATTAGATTAGAGCTTCAGATCATGTTATTTGGACAAAAGAAGGAAGTTTAACTTAATGATAATGCCCCAGTTGGCAACTTCAACACATGGTTTCATTTTCTTCGTTTCATTATAGGAAAATTAGATTGAATTGTTCATCAGTCCTATACAGTAAGGCAATGTCTCCTTTTTTTAATGTGTTAGTCAATTTGATAAATGTATTGTATTCTTTTATGAGATGGTCAGTCGGGTGTGGCCATAAGAAGAGATATAGGAGAAGCTCAGGAAAACAAAGTCTGTTATGCTTACAGATCCTGAAGACAAGAGGAACGTCATGCCACACCACACAAGGCCACGTGAGAAAGACACCAGGTGGTCAGAAGGAAGAAGAGTTTAGGCCACTGCCTTTATTGTGGTTCCCCAGAAAAAGGCAAGGCAGGGCCAGGTAAATAGTTTTGGACTGGCTAGCTTGAATAATTTCCTCAGGCTTTGGACTTAGGTGTGGTGCCTAGTTATCTGGCACCTGGCCTGGGGATGATCAGACAAAAGAATATTACCCGCTGGGGTGTATGGCCAGATAGAGGAGGTGTGGCTCCGGATTGGTTAGTTTGCACATATATGTGACACAGGCTGGGCCCTTTGCTACCTGTAAGAACTGACCAGCCCCAAGAAGGGCAGCTTCTCACTAGCCAGGAAGATTTTTTAAGATGTCAAAACATAAAATACAGAAAATTAAAAAAGAAATTTGCAATAAGGTAAAAAATCTATTTTGATAAAAATTTTAATTGAAATATAATATGCATATAGAAATATGCACGAATCAAAGTGTTTGATGAATTAGCACAAAGTTAACACACTCACATACTACCATCTAGATCAGGAAATTGAACATTCCCAGCATCCCAAAACGTCACTGACACCTTCCCAATCCCTATACCCTTCTTCCCCCTGCCCTTTCCCCAGCCAAAGGTGACCACTGTCATAACCTCCCATACCATAGATTAAGCTGCCCTATTTTTGAGCTTCTTACAAAAGCAATTATATGGTATATATTCTTTATTTGTCTGACTTTATTCAAAATTATGTTTGGGAGATTCATTTATATTGTATACTGTGGTAGTTTATTCATTTTTATTGCTGGTTATTATTCCTTTATATGAATATACCATAATTTATCCATTCCAATAGTGGACATTTGGGTCATTTCCACCTTGGGGCCATTAGGAACGAAGCTACCATTGCTATCTTGTATGTGTGTTTTGGTGCACATTTAAAGACTGTCGAGTATACACCTAGGAGATGGATTCAGAGAGCACAGGGTATGCCTGTAATGAACAAATTTTGGAAAAAAGATAGAAAAATTCTGCAAGTTCCTTTCTCTACATCAACTCCTCAATGTTTTCTGCATGTTGGAAACTATCTTTTCTGCCAAACGAAGCAAGGAACTGACCTTTACTTCTGGGTCAATACTAAAAGGAGAAACACGCATTCTGAAGCTGCTGGGTGTCATGGCTTATTGGGCAGTTTCAGACCCTTAGAATTTAGTAACTCTGTGAATCTCCATGAAAGGTGCTGCTTTCATGGCACCTGCCTTCCTCAGGCTGCAGAATTTGCTTTCACATGTGGATAAAGCTTCTTCGCATTAACAACTCTGTAACATCTGGAAGTGGACTTTGATATTTTCCTTTGCTAATAGATACTGTCTAATGAAGGATGAATTGCAACCTGACGTTTTCTGAGACTTCAGGTGGGGCTGCCTGGTACATTGCTTTATTAATGTTAGATGATTGGAATTTTTGGATCTGCACCTAGGGGACACTCAAGGGTTTAGAGTAGAAGGTATGGGTGCTATCCTTTCACTGACTGTTTGAATGCAAACAAAGTGCTGCTTTTGTAAAACATTTAACATCCCAAAGAAAGGATTCAGTCAGCACCCCTTCATTGAGTACGTCTGATTCCCGCAAGATTGATATGACTTGCGTATTCCGCAGAGACCTCATTTAGCCTTTACATTGTGTTTGGTTACGTATGGAAACATAGTGCCAAACTTAATTTCGTATCTGCAATTTTTGAGCACTTGCTGAGTGTTTTATGTGTATGACCTCATTGGCTTTTCCAAACAACCCTATGAGTAAGATGCTACTATTTTCTTATAAATGGAACAATGAAGACTTATAACAGTGAAGTACCAATGGTAAGTTAAGTGGCCCTCATTGGAGGCAGATTCAGAACTCAAATGCAAGTTTTCATGAATTCTACTACTGAAATTGTGGGCCATTTTGTATACATTCTCCTTGCTCCCTACTGGACTGTTTTGGTCTTTGATTTGTGATCAATCTAGTGTTACTTCTTGGTTAGTAAGTTGGCAGGCTTCAGGTCTCTGTCCTGTAGGAGTATTTTCATCATTACTGTCTTCCTTCAGTTATGGCCTCAGAATTCTCTCAGCCAAGGAGGTGGGTACTGTCTCTGCTCCCAAGCCCATTAGATTATATTCTGGCACTTTTGCGCAAGGGTATACCCAGCACATAGATTTTCCTCTAAAGCTTTCTGTTTATTGGTTGATATTTGAATACCAATGCTCGTTCAGGAACCATGCTGCAAACTATGGCATGTTGATGGTTTGCAATGCCATAGTTATTTTACATGGCATGTTAATACCTGAGAATGGTGTATAATGTTAAATGGAAAAGACAGAATATAAAGTGGCATGCTACAGCTAATTCTAATTAAAGATTTGTGCCTGTACATTAATAAAGACTGGAAGATAGTTTTCATAAGGCTGGTATTAATCATTTACTATAGTCTTCATTGTGTGCTAAGTTGCTTAAGTTAAAAGAACTAATAAATAATAGACTGATTTGGAAAAGTGATGTAAAAATAATTGAAAGAGAACATAAACCAAGGATCATAAGTGGTAATTATACTAATTCCTTCTTTGAAATCACATTTACAGTTTATAAAGTATATGCACATACATTTTCTTATTGGAGGCTCCTAACAATGAAATAGGGGAAAAGGTATCTGCCCTATTTTATAGAGGAAGGATTTGAGATTTAGAGAAGTTGTTTGATTTGCCCTGGGTCACAAGTGGTAGGACAAGGATTTAGGCCCAGAATTTTTGTATTTTTGAGAGGGAGTCTCACTCTGTCACCCAAGCTGGAGTGCAATGGTGCGATCTTGGCTCACGGCAACCTCTGCCTCCCAGGTTCAAGCGATTCTCCTGCCTCTGCCTCCCAAGTAGCTGGGATTACAGGTGTGTGCCACCACGCCTGGCTAATTTTTGTATTTTTAGTAGAGACGGAGTTTCACCATGTTGGCCAGGCTGGTTTTGAACCCCTGACCTCAGGTGATCTGCTCACCTCTGCCTCCCAAAATGCTGGGATTACAGGCATGAACCACTGCACCCAGGCTGGCCCAGATTTTATCATATCATGTTGCTTTCTTTTTTACCAGAGGACAGAGCTACTAGCATTGGCTGCATAGCAGTAAACTTATATGCCATATGATAGCCATTAAAATTTAAAACCAAATCAGCATTTGCAAACCACATCTTCAAAGCCATCTTCATCTAAGAAATTCTGGCCAGTTACACACCTCTAACCAAACCTCAATCCAATAAATTACTTAAGCTGTGAAGAAGAAAAAATATAATGTGACCTAAATCCAATCTTCCTTAATCCATTCTTTTGGGCAATAAAATAAATTCTCAAGTGTATGGTAGGTTTCACTTTCTTCCCTTTAAAAACTTTTTAAATTTTTTAAAAATTGTGGTAAAATCCAAGTAACATAAAAATTTTCCTTCTTACCAATTTTTAAGCGTATAATCTAATGATACATTAAGTGCATTCACATTGTTGTGCCACCAATGTCTAGAACTCTCTTCATCTTTAAAAGGGGAAGTTGGTACCCATTAAATCACTACTGCCCATTTGTTTTCCCTTCCCTGCAGGCCCTTGCAACTACCATTCTTTCTGTCTCTATGACTTTGACTACCCTAGGTGCCTAATATAAGTGAAATCATATGCTATTTTTCTTTTGTGACTAGCTTATTTCATTTAGCATAATGTCCTCATGTTTAATCCATTGTATCATGTATCAGGATTGCCTTCCTTTTTAAGGCTACACAATATGCCATTGTATGCATGTACCATATTTTGTTTATTCATTCATCTGTTGATGGACATTTGCATTGCTTCCACCTTTTGGGCATTCTGACTAATGCTGCTATGAACATGAATATACAAATATCTTTTTGAGATCCTGCTTTCAACTCTTTGGGGGTGTATATGCAGAAGTGCAATTGCCAGATCATGTGGTCATTCTATTTTCAGTTTTTGGAGGAACTGCTATATATACAGTTTTTCATAGTGCCTGCACCATTTCCACCGACAGGAAATGAGGTTTCCAATCTTTTCTTATCCTTGCCAACATTTGTTATTTTGTATATTTTTATAGTGATCATCCTATGGCTATGAGGTGATATTTCATTTGCTTTTGATTTGCATTTTCCTAATGATTAGTGATTTTTTTTGCAAGTGGTAAAACTATTTGAAATCTTTTTCTTTTTTTTTTAAATTATACTTTAAGTTCTGGGATACATGTGCAGAATGTGCAGGTTTGTTCCATAGGTATATGTGCACCATGCTGGTTTGCTGCACCCATCAACCCATCATCTACATTAGGTATTTCTCCTAATGCTATCCCTCCCCTTGTCTCCCACCCTCTGACAGGCCCCAGTGTGTGATGTTCCCCTCCCTGTGCCCATATGTTCTCATTGTTCAGCTCCCACGTATGAGTGAGAACATGCAGTGTTTGGTTTTCTGTTCTTGTGGTAGTTTGCTGAGAATGATGGTTTCCAGTTTCATCCATGTCCTTGCAAAGGACATGAACCCATTCTTTTTTATGGCTGCATAGTATTCCATGTGGATATGTGCCACATTTTCTTTATCCAGTCTAACATTGATGGGCATTTGGGTTGGTTCCAAGTCTTTGCTATTGTGAACAGCGCTGCAATAAACATACCTGTGCGTGTGTTTTTATAGTAGAATGATTTATAATCCTTTGGTTATATACCCAGTAATGGGATTACTGGGTCAAATGGTATTTCTAGTTCTAGATCCTTGAGGAATCACCACACTGTCTTCCATAAGGGTTGAAGTAATTTACACTCCCACCAACAATGTAAAAGTGTTCCTATTTCTCCACATCCTCACCAGCATCTGTTGTTTCCTGACTTTTTAATGATGGCCGTTCTAACTGGTGTGAGATGGTATCTCAATGTGGTTTGATTTGCATTTCTCTAATGACCAGTGATGATGAGCTTTGTTTCATATGTTTGTTGCCCACATAAATGTCTTCTTTTAAGAAGTGTCTGTTCATATCCTTTGCCACTTTTTGATAGGGTTGTTCATTTTTTCTTGTAAATTTGTTTAAGTTCTTTGTAGATTCTGGATATTAGCCCTTTGTCAGATGGATAGATTGCAAAAATTTTCTCCTTTTCTGAAGGTTGCCTGTTCACTCTGATGATAGTTTCTTTTGCTGTGCAGAAGCTCTTTAGTTAAATTAGATCCCATTTGTCAATTTTGGCTTTTGTTGCTATTGCTTTTTGTATTTTAGTCATGAAGTCTTTGCCCATGCCTATGTCCTGAATAGTATTGCCTAGGTTTTCTTCTAGGGCTTTTATGGTTTTAGGTCTTACAGTTAAATCTTTAATCCATGCTGGGTTAAATTTTGTGCAAGTTGTAAGGAAGGGGTCCAGTTTCAGTTTTCTGCATATGGCTAGCCAGTTTTCCCAATACCATTTATTAAATAGGGAATCCTTTTCCCATTGCTTGTTTTTGTCAGGTTTGTCAAACATCAAGTGGTTGTAGATGTGTGGTGTTATTTCTGAGGCCTCTGTTCTGTTCCATTGGTCTATATATTTGTTTTGGTATCAGTACCATGCTGTTTTGGTTACTGTAGCCTGGTAGTGTAGTTTGAAGTCAGGTACCTGGATGCCTCCAGCTTTGTTCTTTTTGCTTAGGATTGCCTTGGCTATATGGGCTGTTTTTTGGTTCCATATGAAATTTAAAGTAGTTTTTATCTAATTTTGTGAAGAAAATCCATGGTAGCTTCATGGGCATAGTATTAAATCTATAAATTACTTTGGGTAGTATGGCCATTTTCATGATATTGATTCTTTCTATCCATGAGCATGGAATGTTTTTCTGTTTGTTTGTGTCCTCTCTTATTTCCCTGAGCAGTGGTTTGTAGTTCTCCTTGAAGTGGTCCTTCACATCCCTTGTAAGTTGTATTCCTAAGTATTTTATTCTCTTTGTAGCAATTGTGAATGGGAGTTTGCTCATGATTTGGCTCTCTGTTTGTCTATTATTGGTGTATAGGAACACTTGTGACTTTTGAACATTGATTTTGTATCCTGAGAATTTGCTGAAGTTGCTCATCAGCTTAAGGAGTTTTTGGGCTGAGATGATGGGGTTATCTGCAAACAGAGATAATTTGACTTCCTCTCTTCCTGTTTGAATACGTCTTATTTCCTTCTCTTACCTGATTTCCCTGGCCAGAATTTCCAATACTATATTGAATAGGAGTGGTGAGAGAGGGCATCCTTGTCTTGTGCCGGTTTTCAAAGGGAATGCTTCCAGCTTTTGCCCATTCAGTATGACATTGGCTGTGGGTTTGTCATAAATAGCTCTTGTTATTTTGAGATATGTTCCATCAATATCTAGTTTATTGAGTGTTTTTAGCATGAAGGGGTGTTGAATTTTATTGAAGGCCTTTTCTGCATCTATTGAGATAATCATGTGGTTTTTGTCATTGGTTCTGTTTATGTGATGGATTATGTTTATTGATTTGCATATGTTGAACCAGCCTTGCATCCCAGAGATGAAGCCGACTTGATGGTGGTGGATAAGCTTTTTAATGTGCTGCTGGATTTGGTTTGCCAGACTTTTATTGAGGATTTTTGCATTGATGTTCATTGGGGATATTGGCCCGAAATTTTCTTTTTTGTTGTGTCTCTGCCAGGTTTTGGTATCAGGATGATGCTGGCCTCATAAAATGAGTTAGGGAGGGGTCCCTCTTTTTCTGTTGTTTGGAATGTTTCAGAAGGAATGGTACCAGCTCCTCTTTGTACCTCTGGTAGAAGTCAGCTGTGAATTCGTCTGTCCTGGACTTTTTTGGTTTGGTAGGCTATTAATTACTGCCTCAATTTCAGAACTTGTTATTGGTCTATTCAGGGGTTCGACTTCTTCCTGGTTTAGTCTTGGGAGGGTGTATGTGTCCAGGAATTTGTCCATTTCTTCTAAATTTTCTAGTTTATTTGCATAGAGATGTTTATAGTATTCTCTGATGGTAGTTTGTATTTCTGTGGGATCAGTTGTGATATCCCCTTTATCATTTTTTATTGTGCTATTTGATTCTTCTCTCTTTTCTTCTTTATTAGTCTGGCTAGCGGTCCATCTATTTTGTTAAAAGATTACCAAAATAGCTCCTGGATTCATTGATTTTATGAAGGGTTTTTTGTGTGTCTATTTCCTTCAGTTCTGCTCTGATCTTAGTTATTTCTTGCCTTCTGCTAGCTTTTGAATGTGTTTACTCTTGCTTCTCTAGTTCTTTTAATTGTGATGTTAGTCTTGGGAGGGTGTATGTGTCCAGGAATTGCCCATTTCTTCTAGATTTTCTAGTTTATTTGCATAGAGGTGTTTATAGTGTTCTTTGATGGTAGTTTGTATTTCTGTGGGATCAGTTATGGTATTCCCTTTATCATTTTTTATTGTGCAATTTGATTCTTCTCTCTTTTCTTCTTTATTAGTCTGGCTAGTGGTCCATCTATTTTGTTAATCTTTTTGAAAAAACAGCTCCTGGATTCATTGATTTTGTGAAGGGTTTTTTGTGTCTCTATTTCCTTCAGTTCTGCTCTGATCTTAGTTATTTCTTGCCTTCTGCTAGCTTTCGAATGTGTTTGCTCTTGCTTCTCTAGTTCTTTTAATTGTGATGTTAGGGTGTCGATTTAGATCTTTCCCACTTTCTAATGTGGGTATTTAGTGCTATAAATTTCCCTCTACACACTGCTTTAGCTGTGTCCCAGAGATTCTGGTATGTTGTGTCTTTGTTCTCATTGGTTTCAAAGAACTTATTTATTTCTGCCTTAATTTCATTATTTACCCAGTAGTCACGCAGGAGCAGGTTGCTCAGTTTCCATGTAGTTGTGAGGTTTTGAGTGATTTTCTTAATCCTGAGTTCTAATTTTATTGCACTGTGGTTTGGGAGATTGTTTCTTATGAAATCCCTTTTTTTTTTTTTTTTTTTTTTTGCCTTTGCTGAGGAGTGTTTTACTTCCAATTGTATGGTTGATTTTATATTTTAGAATAAGTGCTATGTCATGCTAAGAACAATGTATATTCTGTTGATTTAGGGTGGAGAGTTCTGTAGATGTCTATTAAGTCCACTTGGTCCAGAGCTGAGTTCAAGTCCTGGATATCCTTGTAAATTTTCTGTCTGGTTGATCTGTCTAATATTGACAGCGGGGTGTTAAAGTCTCCCACTATTATTGTGTGGAAGTCTAAGTCTCCTTGTAGGTCTCTAAGAACTTGCTTTATGAATCTGGATGCTCCTGTATTGACTTTATATATATTTAGGATAGTTAGCCCTTCTTGTTGCATTCATCCCTCTACCATTATGTAATGCCTTTCTTTGCCTGTTTTGATCTTTGTTGGTTTAAAGTCTGTTTTGTCAGAGACTAGGATTGCAATCCTCCTTTTTTTTTTTCTTTCCATTTGCTTGGTAAATCTTCCTCCATCCCTTTATTTTGAGCCCATGTGTGTCTTTGCACCTGAGATGGGTCTCCTGAATACAGCACACCAATGGGTCTTGACTCTTTATCCAGTTTGCTGGTATGTGCCTTTTAATTGGGGCATTAGCCCATTTACCTTTAAGGTTAATATTGTTATATGTGAATTTGATCCTGTCATTATGATGGTAGCTGGTTATTTTGCGCATTAGTTGATGCAGTTTCTTCATCGTGTTGAAGGTCTTTACATTTTGATTTGTTTTGCCGTGGCTGGTACCAGTTTTTCCCTTCCATATTTAGTGCTTCTTTCAGGAGTTTTGTAAGGCAGGCCTGGTAGTGACAAAATCCCTCAGCATCTGCTTTTCTGGAAATGATTTTATTTCTCCTTCACTTATGAAGCTTAGTTTGGCTGGATATGAAATTCTGGGTTGAAAATTCTTTTCTTTAAGAATACTGAATGTTGGCCCCCACTCTCTTCTGATTTGTAGGGTTTCTGCAGAGAGGTAAACTGACCTTTCTATCTGGCTGCCCTTAACATTTTTTCCTTCATTTCAACCTTAGTGAATCTGACGATTATGTGTCTTGTGGTTGCCCTTCTCGAGGAGTATCTTTGTGGTGTTCTCTGTAGTTCCTGAATTGGAATGTTGGCCTATCTTGCTAGGTTGGGGAAGTTCTCCTGGATAATATCCTGAAGTGTGTTTTCCAACTTGCTTCCATTCTCCCTGCCATTTTCAGGTACACCAATCAAATGTAGGTTTGGTCATTTCACATAGTCCCATATTTCTTGGAGGCTTTGTTTGTTTCTTTTCATTCTTTTTTCTCTAATCTTTTCTTCATGCTTTATTTCATTAATTTAATCTTCAGTTTCTGATATCCTTACTTCTGCTTGATCGATTTGGCTATTGATACTTGTGTATGCTTCCAACGTTCTCGTGCTGTGTTTTTCAGCTCCATCAGGTCACTTATGTTCTTCTCTAAACTGGTTATTTGAATTAGCAATTCCTCTAACCTTTTATCAAAGTTCTTAGCTTCCTTGCATTGGGTTAGAACATGCTCCTTTAGCTCAGAGGAGTTTGTTATTACCCACCTTCTGAAACCTACTTCTGTCAATTCATCAAACTCATTCTCTGTACAGTTTTGTTCCCTTGTTGGTGAGGAGTTGTGATCCTTTGGAGGAGAAGAGGCATTCTGGCTTTTGGAATTTTCAGCCTTTTTGTGCTTTTTTTTTTTTTTCCATCTTGGTGGATTTATCTACCTTTGGTCTTTGCTGTCAGTGACCTTTGCATTGAGTTTTTGTGTGGTTATCCTTTTTGTTAATGTTGATGCTACTGCTTTCTGTTGGCTAGTTTTTCTTCTAACTGTCCGGCACCTCTTTTGCAGGTCTGCTGGAGTTTTCTGGGGGTCCACTCCAGACCCTGTTTGCCTGGTTATCACCAGTGGAGGTTGCAGAACAGCAAAGATTGCTGCCTGCTCCTTCCTCTGGAAGATTCATCCCAGAGAGGCACCAGCCAGAGGCCATTCGGAGCTGTCCTGTATGAGGTGTCTGTCGACCTCTGCTGGGAGGTGTCTCCCAGTCAGGAGGCATGGGGGTCAGGGACCCACTTGAGGAGGCAGTCTGTCCCTTAGCAGAGCTTGAGTGCTGTGCTGGGAGATCTACTGCTATCTTCAGAGCTGGCAGGCAGGAATGTTTAAGTCTGCTGAAGCTGTGCCCACAGCCACCCCTTCCCCCAGGTGCTCTGTCTCAGGGGGATGGGAGTTTTATCTATTAGCCCCTGACTGGGGCTGCTGCTTTTTTTTTCAGAGATCCCTTGCCCAGAGAGGAGGAATCTAGAGAAGCAGTCTGGCTACAGGGGCTTTAGGGGGCTGTGGTGGGCTCCACCCAGTCTGAATTTCCAGGAGGCTTTGTTTACACTGTGAGGGGAAAACCACCTACTCAAGTCTCAGTAATGGCAGATGTCCCTCCCCTTACCAAACTTGAGAGTCCCAGGTTGACTTCAGACTGCTGTGCTGTCAGTGAAAATTTCAAGCCAGTGGATCTTAGCTAGCTAGGTTCTGTGGGGGTGGGATCTGCTGAGCAAGACTACTTGGCTCCCTGGCTTCAGCCCCCTTTCCAGGGGAGTGAACAGTTCTGTCTCACTGACATTCCAGGCGCCACTGGTATACAAAAAAACCCTGCAGCTAGCTCGGTGTCTGCCTGAACAGCCACCCCGTTTTGTGCTTGAAACCCAGGACCCTGGTGGTGTAGGCACCCGAGGGAATCTCCTGGTCTGTGGGTTGCGAAGACCTTGGGAAAAGTGTAGTATTTGGGCCAGAAAGCACCATCCCTATGGCAGAGTCCCTCATGGCTTCCCTTGGCTAGGGGAGGGAGTTCCCCAACCTCTTGTACTTCCTGAGTGAGGTGATGCCCCACCCTGCTTCTGCTCACTCTCCATGGGCTGTACCCAGTGTCTAGCCAGTCCCAGTGAGATGAACCGGGTACCTCAGTTAGAAATGCAGAAATCACCCACCTTCTGTGTTGGTCTCGCTGGGAGCTACAGACTAAAGCTGTTCCTATTTGGCCATCTTGCCCAGGAATAGTTAGTGACGATAAGCATCTTTTCATGTGCTTGTTGGTCATTTGTATATATTTTTGGAGAAACATCTATTCACATTCTTTGCTCATTTTTTAGTCTAGTTGGGTTTTTTGTTATTGAGTTATAGGGGTTCTTTATATATTCTGGGTATGAATCCCTTATCAGAATATACAATTTGCAAATATTTTCTCCCATTTCATAAGTTGCCTTTTCACTCTGTTGATTGTGTCCTTTGATGCTCTGAAGTTTTAAGTTTTGATGTGGTTACATTTTTCTTCGCTAGTTTTTGGCTTACATTCCCTTTGAGAAATTAATAAAATAAATAGACCATCTCCCAAGAAAAATAAAACAGATACATTTGAATGAAATCTCATATGCTAGCTCATGATGTTTTCTGATTCCCTGGCATCTATCCAGCGGGCTCTAGGGAAGTTTTTGTTGTTTGTCTGCTGAGTTTACAATGACTTGGCTGGAGTTAGGCACAGATGCTGGGTGCTGGAGAGACAGCACCTATTCTTCTGTGCTCTGAATCCAGACCTGCTTGATTCCAGACTCTGCCCTTGTATTTCCTCTAGTGGAGAAAAGGTAGGTCTGCAGTTCTTGTAATGACAGGAATTGAACTAGAGTGGCAAAAAGGAAGGTGTAGATTTGTGTAGGTGGTGGCTGAGTATGTGTGTGGGTGTGGAGTGGGAGTGTTAGAGGAGTGGAGGTAGGCAGGAATGGTATTGCCTGTTAGGAAAGTGGCTGTTCCTAAGGAGTGGTGTTAAGGTCAAGGTCCAACCAGAATAATGGAAACCATTGTGAGCACTTAAAACAGAGGGAATTTGATTCAGGGGATTGATTTCACAAAAGATGGAAGAGGCTGAAAAACCAACCAGGGAGTGGACTGCCAAGCCAGAGTTCTGTCTAAAGCAGAAGAGTAGAGGGGAAAGAGTCCAAAGCAGATAGGAAAGGGGAGAAACATACTGGCATCTCCTTCCTCCAGACAGTAGTGTCTTCTATTGGCCAACCCAGCCAGAAGCCAACTGACCTGGGAACCAGGGAAACAGAACAGAGTGGGGAAAGGGCAAGGAATCAATCTAAGGCAAACAGAACCAGAATGGCAACGTGTACTCGGTACCGCTGTGCTATGGGATACCAACAATACTCTCCTGCTTTATTTGGAGGATCCTACCTGTTTTTGTGCATGCCATCTGCTGGCCTTGGCAGTATCTCTTGAAATCTGCTGACTAAGCTTTATGGCTTAGGCTGCTATCAGTTGGAAGGGATATGACTGTCCTCCTTAGGTTCCACCAAGGCTGTGAAAATTTGGAACTAGGGTAGATAGGGCAGCTGGAAGACAAAGGAGTGGTAAGCAGCCGAATGGCCAAACTCATGACCTTGGCTGAACAATGCAATTAAGTGATTTATGGGAATAAGTCTGGCCAGTTAGTTTAAGAAGGTTAAGAAAAGGATGCCTTTCATAATGCACCCAAGGAAGCCAAGGTGGGGAATCTTAAAACTAGTAATTTTGAAATGACGCCTTCCTCTTTTGCACACAATGAAAACAAAGGCTTATTTTTCACTTTACTTTCTTGTGTGTATGTTTTCTTACATATAGCCCTTAAGTGGAGTGAGACACAATGGCTTACAAAAAACACTTCAAAAATAAATGTACTTTAGTACATTTTAGAGAATGGAGAGAAGTGATAAGATGGGAAATGGAAGAGAAAGGGAAAACAGCCAAGAAAAGGAGCAAAGAGAGCAACATAAAAGTATATTTTTTTAAAGGAAAGAGGTAACGGGAGAGTCAAGGTATTACATGGAAGATAAATATGGAGAAAAATGAGAGAGTCGAGAGAAAGGGGGAGATGGGTTACAGAGAAGCAGAGGCATTTTGAAGGAATCTTTAGTTGTGGTTCACTATCAGGTACATTAAACAAGGCATTTAAAGTTTTGATTCTGTGGATATTCAAATTTCACAAGTCTAGCTCTCTTCTGTAATCTGTGAGCCACTTGCTTCTTAGATTCAGCCGGGATGAAGTGGTATAGTTGTAGCAGCTGCTGTAATATTGAGTTCTTAGATGGTCTTAGCCCAGAGGTACACGTGCCCACCCAGCCCTTTTTGCTCCTGATGTCTCAGCCCCTTCTCAGGAACCAAACTCCTCACTGTCAATGACCAAAGGGTTAATCCCTGGACCAGCAGAGTATTCAGATCCCTGCTTCAGGGATCCATGATGATTGGTTGGCAAACATTTTGAATGTCACCCCTGTGTTAATGGGGTTGTCACTACACCCAGCACTGAAGGATTATTCTCTAGGTTTCAGCTGTACTGATAAAAATTTTGTCATCTGGTTGGCTGGAAGAAATGAGGACAAGGATTAGATGTGGTTTGAAGGCCAGCCTTCCTGACTCTAGCTTAAATGAAAGAGAAAAATTAACTCAATGATGCAGATATTTCCCAGATGTCAGTATAACTTTGGGATTAGATTGCTATGTGTGTCTGGGGCACCCTGCCTAGTAAGTAGCTAAGGTGAAAAATAATACTTCAGTTGAGCATAGAACTTTGGCAGTGTCGTATCTGAACAACAACTTGACCCCATCTTATGTGGTGATTTGATCTCTTTAAAAGATTCAAGCTATTGATCAAAACTCTTAAACAGAAATTTGCTCAACAGAGTTCCAAATCTGGGATAAGCATACATTAAGAGTTGGATCACAGGTTGTCGGTATGCCTTGAAAACCCCATACCAAATTCAGATATGGCTTAGTGTGTGGGGGGTGTGGGGCGGGGGGTGAGGGGGTGCTTGGCCACCAGTTACCTTTTCCCTCTGCTGCTAGCTGTGTATTATGAGTAAAAACTTACAGTTATTAGTATTTCAGTAGACTCAAACCCCAGCACTTTCATATAGTCACAACTCCCTAGTACTAGGATGTTTGGGATCTTAAATTTACACTCTCAGTTTTTTATTTATGTATTTTTTTCCCAGAAGTTATCACTTTTTTTACTTGATGCCCCAAATTTACTTTAAGAGTTTAATTGCTAGTTTTGCTAAGATATTTTATCCTTTCTCTGAGAAGCACCTGGGTTATTTATTTCCTTACTGCTTCCTTTTTCTTCAATGAAATATTTTTTCCCTAGTCAAGTAGTTCTGTTTTCTGTCCATGCTGTGATAATGGGAGAGAAATCTTGAACTATGTTCTTTTGAACAGAAGTGACTTTCTTCTGGGATGTGAGCTACAATTGGCCTTTTCCCTGCAGCATGGGAGCACAAGCCTTAGGACAGCTTTCTCTGGGCGTTCAACATCCTTTCTGGTGAATCCTGGCAGCAGCAGCAACAGCAGTAGTTTGGGGATATTTCCCACCCACTATTGAGTGGGTTATATTAGCACCAATAAAAAGGAAATTCCAAGAGCACAGTTGGATCACATTGCACCATTTCTTTGTTATTTACTTGACGGCCTTCTCTCTTAATCCTATTGGCCAATCTTCATGAACATTTGCCCAGCCTTCCCTTAGAGAATGAGCTGTTTGAAAACTCACCTTGTTCTGTTCTTCTGGAAGGGGATTTTTGGGAAGATAAAAATGAGGGACACTAAACTACAAACTTAGCCTCTCTACAAACTGAGCCTGACACCTGCCTCATGCACTGTTCTTTCTGGCAGGAAATTGAGAAGGCTGTGGTAGCCCGAAAACGGTGAGACACTGAGAGACACTGGGAGACCTCACTGTGGAAATGCCTCTGACTGTGTTTAGCTGTGCAGGTCACAGATTAGCAGGTTGCAGTGGTTTCTAGGAGGCCTGGGCTTTCTGCAGAGGAGGCCCTGCTGAGAGAACAGCTGAAGTTTGCCCCCAAGATCAGAGAGCAAGCTTGTTTAGGTTAAGGCTTCAAAGTACCAGCTTTTATTACATTTTAATGATCAGAGTCATATTTTATTCATAGGGCTCAAGCTGAGCACCCCGGAGTTAGTAAAGCACAAGGTTTCTATTTCATACTCAGGCCAGTCTACGAAAAAGTTTGAAATAGAAGGAAGCTTGGGGATTTGGCCTCATTATTTAAAAATGAACATAAAGGATTTGCTGAACACTGACAATAAAATATCCAGGATAACAGACTTATTATGTAGCTTTCCATGGTTTATGTTGAAGACGTAAATAAGTCACATCTTGTTTGCTAGAGAACTAACCTTTCATTAACTTGTATTTCCACACCTTCACAATACACCTCTAGCAGAAATGCAACTCTTGCTGGAATTCCTCTCCAAGTATGAAAATTTGAGAACATTCTCTGTGTTTTACTTTTGCTTTCTGAAAAAAAAAAAGAAAAGTAAAAAAGAGAAGCATTGGATTGTGCTCCATTTTTACACATAATATGGAGAAGATTGAGTGAGGTTCTAATACATTTTGTAGGAGAGAATGAAGAAGAATTTAATTTCCTTTTTACCCTGCTGCTAGATGCGAGTAATGATACAGGGTGATTAACTTTTATGTTGCTGGAGCATTTTCACATGAAAGTCATTTTCAAAGAAACAGCAAGTAAGCCTGGTAATTGAGAGAGAGTTTAAAGCACTTTCAAAGTGACCTCTGTGTTTTGGGGGATATTAGGATGACACCAATGGTGGGTGAGACTCAGAGGTATAATTGAAATCAGTTGTGAAAGATTTATCTGTAAATCCACCTTCAACCCTCTGACCAAAAGATAAAGCCCTAATTGTGGCCAATGTTGACTTTTCTCTTTTTCACTTTTTGCAGCTGTATTTGGAGATAAAAGGACACTTCTAGAAGAAACTTCGGGTTAATCATGATAACAGTTGTTCAACATCAATTCAGCATCGTCAGTTTTCCATGATCTGCCTTAATTCAGGGTCATATTCCTGCATATTTGGCAGATTCCCTACAATTATGGAATGAATATATAAATGAGTAAAGAGAAGGGAACATGAGCAAAATACTTCCTAATAGCAGATAATCCAAAAGCCATTTTTCTTGGACGTTGCAAAACATTATACGGCTTTCTTTTTTCTGGTGTAGATTTACTTCCTTAATTACATTTTGTTTGGGTTAATACTAAAGTTCATGTTTTTATTTTTGCACTTTCACACTAATTTTGTGAATTTACAAATGTACAGGGTGCTGAATAGCAAGAAAACATCAAGAGTAGACTAAAAATGTCCCAGTAATAATTCTTAAGGGGGTAATCCAGTTAATTTTTCTAAATGACAACAATATGTTATTTATGTATTTTACCATCCCTGGTCCCCCTAAAAATTGGGACTTCAACAGTAAGAGCTATTTCATATGCATATTATCAATATTTTGCCTGAAAAAAAGGTACATTTAATGTACATGTTTTTAAACTGTTTTTTGTAGATTTCTTGAGTCTTGAAACACTGTAGTTTTGGAGATTCATCTGTTTAGATGACAATAGGTCCCACTCTTAAGTTTCAGGTTTCTTAAAAAGTATTTTTTATGGGTACATAGTAGGTATATATATATTTTGGGAGTAGGTAGATATTTTGATACAGGCATACGATGTGTAATAATCACATCAGGGTAAATGAGGTATTCATCACACAAGCATTCATCATTTCTTTGTGTTATGGACATTCCAGCTGAATTTCAAGCTTCAGTTTTCTTATTTGTGAAATGGAAATACTAAGGAGGTTGTTGCGAGGATTAAAGGAGGTAATCTACACAAGATATTTAGACAGTTGTGGCCTCACTATAAATGGTCAACACTATTGGGTATTTTTCATTATTACTATTGCTATGTGCTCTGCATTGTAAATTAGCATCAACTTCTGCTTTCTTATAAAACTGTTAGTGGCTGGGATATCTTCATCAATGCTAAGCACACAGGCTAATGGTTCACAAACATTTCACCACTAAAGAGCTCTCCATATCTCATAACACAATAAATGAACTCTTTTTATTAATTTTGAAACATTAATCAAAGATGTTTAACTGCTAATTGGAGCTTCTGACTGATGTGACATAGTCAGTGTTACAACAGATTGATATAATTCCTGCTATTTGGCAAACTAATACATACTTTCTTTTAGGCTTTAAACACTTCAACTTATAGATCAAAGACCTAATTATTACATGCTGTAGATACAACCATATTTAAAGACCCTGATTTTTCTGTTCTTTTGCATTTCTCTAGGGCGTAACATTGGACTGAAAAGGGTATATAGCAATAAATAGTTCAACAACTTTAACAGATGGGGACACTGAGGCCCAAAATGGTCATGTGGTTAGAGGCAGAGTCGAGACTAGGATAAGATCTCCTGATCCCAGGTACTACACTTTTCCCAAGATGCCACATAAATCTCCACATAAAGGCAACCTAAATCATCCTGTGATATCTTAGCATGTTTTTTATTCAGAAGGTAGAGAATTAAGGTTCTTTGCCCGTAACAAGGATAATAGCCAATAGTTGAGTAGTTCCTATGTTATCAGTTAATACGCTAAGTGCTTTATAAACATGATCTCATTAAATGTTCATAGGAAATTTAGAAGGTAGTTAATAATAGTATCCCTATATTACAGTTAAGGTAAGGCTCAGGGAGAATAGGAGCTCAGATTGCAAATTGGGAGCCTGGATTCAAAATGAGGTAGCCATGACTCTAGAATAGTGTAGGCCCTGCTGTTTGACCACTCCACTGAACTGCCTCCACATCCTTATCTGTGCAGCAACGACATGGAAGACAATGTTTGGTGTCTATAGCTGTTTGTCTTAGTGAGTTTGGGCTGCTATAACAAATTATCATAGACTGGGTGACTTAAACTGCAGATATTTATTTCTCATCATTCTGGAGGCTGGGAGTCTGAAACCAGGGCGCCAGCATGGCCAGGTTCTGGTGAGGGCTTGCTTTTTGGATTGCAAATCGCCATCTTCTTGTGTCCTTACAGAGTGGAAAGAAGACCAGAGAGATCTCTGGCATCCCTTTTAAAAGGATGCAAATTCCATCATGAAGGCTCCATCCTCATGACTTAATTACCTCCCAAGGCCCTTACTCCTAATACCATAACATAGGGGGTTATGATTTCAACATAAAAATGGTATATAAATACATTCAGTCCATAGCACTGTTTATTTCAAGGAACTTAGGCCAATTGCATAAATGAGGACAAAGCCATGGATTCCAGGCTGTAAACACCAAGGAACTTTTATCTACTCCATGTTCATGGTCTGCATTCTTAGCTTAAGCTACTTGTCTTATAAGTGTAGTCTTGGGTTAATGGAAACCCAGTGAAAATACTGCTTCATCAATAAAAATCTTTCTCTACTTCTGTACTTTTAACTGGCAAATTTAACCATTCAGGGGCCAAGAAGGGGGCTAGGAAGACTATAACATTACCTAGATAGTAGTCATAAATCCCATGTCCACGTGCCTCTTTATTTAGGAGAGTCTCTCTAATACCCACTCTTGGCAGACATATTTCCTTCATGCATTGCCTTTGCGTGTTCTTTGTCCATTTTTCATTTGGATGATTTTTATATCGAATTTTTAAGCATACTAAACTCGTTAATCCTTAGGCTGCCATAAACGTATAGCTATTTTTCTGTTTATTGCCTTATAATTTTATTCATCCTAAACAGATAAAATTGTTACATTTTTATGTTATAAATCAATTATCTTTTTCTTTATTTCTGCTTGAGTATGATAGAAAGTACACCTCCATCCCAATAATATATTAATAGTCACCTATATTGTTCTATTATTTTTATGGTGTCTTTTTTGGTACATTTAAAACTTTAATCAACTTGGAATTCATTTTGGTATAAATAGGGAGACGTCTTTATTTTTCCTAAATTATCAATCTTTTAACCCTACCTATGTAGTAAATAATCCACCCCCTTTGCACTTATTTAAAATATTTAAAATTCTTATATATGCATTTTCTTCTTCAATTTCTATGCTGTATTAATGAATACATTTCTTCATCAATATTATACTAGTTTCAATTATTGTTGAATATGCACTTAATTTACACAATGCTTGACTGGGTTTCTAGTTTCCTGGCCCTTAGCAAATTATAGGAAGTAACCCCAAGGGTCTTGGAAGCATGAATATATCAAGAAATGATTTCGTGGAATATTATTCAGTCTTAGAAAAAAACAAGGAAATCCTGCCATTTGTGACAACATAGATGTACATGGAAGACGTTATGCCAAGTGAAATAAGCCTGACACAGAAAGACAAATATCTCAAGATCTCACTTATGTGTGGAATTTAAAAATGTCAAACTCTTAGAATCAAGAGAGTAATAGTAGAGTTACCAGGTTCTGGGGGTGAAAGGAACAGGGAGATATTGGTCAAAGGGGGCCAAAATTTCAGTTATGCAAGATGATGAAGTTGTAGAGATCCAATGTATGGCATGGTAATTATAGTTAACAACACTGTACTATATGCTTGAAATTTGCTAAGAGGGTAGATCTTCAATGTTCTCTACACACACACAAAAGGTAACTATGTGAGGTGATGATATGTTAATTAGCTTGTTTGTGGTAATCATGTCAAAATGTATATATCTACTAAAACATCATGTTGTACATTCTAAATATATACAATTTTTATCTACCAATTATATCTTGATAAAGCTGGAAAAATAGAAATAATTGTGATCAGCTTGACTACAAGGTGAGAGACAGAAAACATAACAACATAGTCTTGGAAATTCAATAAAAATTATTTGGGATTACTTAATAAAAGTCAAACTTCTTTAAAGAGCTCCAAAACCTCTGAGACTTTCACTAAGTTATTGATATTCATAAAGAATTCAGTCTATAAAAAATAAGCATTCACATATTCTTAGAATCAGAGCCTGTCTCTCAGACTGAACTGGGTTATTGTGAAGAATGGAGAAAACCCAGACCCTGTTCTACCAGCTGGATGTTATGTAGTAAATTTCAGCCCTTACTTGTGATCTGTTCAAAATATAGAAGAACTAAAAAGGAATACAAATTTAAATCAGCTCGCAAAATAACTGAGCCAATTACTTAGGAAGTGTGCATTCTTCTCTTTGGAAAACTGCTTGTGGAACATGCAAATTTTGTAATATTGTTCTTCATCATGCATAACTACCTAAATCAGGTTATACCTTAGGTACAACTGAGAAAGGTAAAATCTTGGAAGAAATAGCTCTGACGTATCTATAAACACTAATTCTGCCTTTTCTATAAATTCTTCCCTCTCACCCCCAACATCTCGAGATCTAAGAAGAAGTAACAGTACCTAAGAGGGCTTAGGAGGCTCACACTCTGCTTGTGGGTTCTCTCGATTGCTTTGAGGAGAATCCTGTGATAGCACAGGAGAATAGGGAGGAAAACTGCTTATGTGGAAGACAGGGAGGACGACTTTGACCAGCTGTACAGAGTAGATTTATTTTAAAATCAAATTACTTTTTATTCAATAAGACATAATAGAATTTTAACAGCTTGATGAGTTTTAATAAGTGTGTATACCCATATAAGTAACACCCAAACCAAGATAGAGAACGTTTCTGTAACCTCAAAGCATTCTCTCATGTTATTTCCTGTCAACCCTATCTAACTAAAGAGGTAATAATCACGCTCCTGATTTTCTAACATTAGAAGTTAGTTTTCTCTGTTTTTATAATTCATACGAATGGAATCTTATTATAGTATGTACTTTTTTTGGCCTGACTTCTTTCAGTCAGCAAAATGTTTTTAATATGCATCCATATTGTTACATGAGTCAATAATTTGTTCCTTTGTATTGGTGAGTATAATTTCATTGTATGAATATTTCACACTTGTTTTATCCATGAACATATTCATGCACATTTGGGTTATTTCTAGAGTCTGGCATCTTTCCTAACATTTGGTATTAACAGCCAACATTTAATTTTAGCTATACTATGAAGCACAAAAACCATATGTTTATTTCAATTGATGCTGAAAAAGCATTTTATAAAATTCAACATCCTTGTATGATAAAATTCCTTAACAAACTGGGTATAAAAAGAACACACCTCAACACAATAAAAGCCATATACAACTGACCCACAGCTAGTATCATACTGAATAGGGAAAAACTGAAAGCCTTTTATCTAAGATCTGGAACAAGACAAGGATGCCCACTTTCACCACTATTATTCAACGTAGTACTAGAATTCTTAGCTACAGCAATCAGACAAGAGAAAGATATAAAGGGCACCCAGTTAGAAAGGAAGAAGTCAAATTATTTTTGTTTGCAGGTGATATAATCTTATATTTGAAAAAA
Organism: Homo sapiens; assembly: GCF_000001405.40. Taxonomy (NCBI): domain Eukaryota; kingdom Metazoa; phylum Chordata; class Mammalia; order Primates; family Hominidae; genus Homo; species Homo sapiens. Next base: position 149,268,342 of record NC_000002.12, read on the forward strand.
ACTTAATACGTCACTGAAAAATTATTAGAACAGATAAACAAATTCAGTGAAGTTGCAGGTAAAAAAATCAACATACAAAAATCAGCAGCATTTCTATCTGCAAGAAGTGAACAATCTGAAAAAGGAATCAAGATGGTCAGGTGCGATGGCTCATGCCTATAATCCCAGCACTTTGGGAGGCCGAGGTGGGCAGATCACTTGAGGTCAGGAGTTCAAGACTAGCCTGGCCAACATGGTGAAACCCCATCTCTACTAAAAATACAAAATTAGCTGGGTGTGATAGCGTGTGCCTGTGGTCTCAGCTACTCAGGAGGCTGAGGCAGGAGAATCACCTGAACCTGGGAGGCAGAGGCTTCAGTGAGCCAAGATTGTGCCACTGCACTCCAGCCTGGGCAACAGAGTGAGACTCCATCACAGAAAGAAAGAAAGAAAAGAAAGAAAGAAATTCCACTTATGATAGCTACAAATAAAATAAAATACCTAGGAATAAATGTAACCAAATAAGTGAAAGATTTCTACAATGAAAACTGTAAAACATTAATATAATAAATTGAGGAAGACAGAAAAATGGAAAGATATCCCATGTTCAGGAATTAGAAGAATCAATGTTGTTAAAATGTCCATATTACTCAAAGCAGCCTACAGATTCAATGCAATCACTATCAAAATACCAATGATATTCTTCACAAAAATAGAAAAAATAATCTTGAAATTTATATGGAATTACAAGAGACCCAAAATAGCCAAAGCCATCCCAAGCAAAAAGAACAAAACTGGAGGAATTACATCATCTGACTTCAAATTATATTACAGAGCTACAGTAACCAAAACAGCATGGTAATGACATAAAAGTAGACACATACACCAATGGAAAAGAAGTAGAAACCCAGAAATCATATACTTACAGTAAACTAATTTTCAACAAAGTTGCCAAGAACATACATTGGAGAAATGACAGTCTCTTCAATAAATAGTGCTGAGAAAACTGGTTATCCATATGCAGAAAAATAAAGCTAAATCTCTATCATATATAAAAATTAAATCAAAATGGGTTAAAGACTTAAATCTAAGACCTGAAACTATGAAACTACTAAAAGAAAACATCAGGGAAGCTCTCCAAGATATTGGTTTTAGCAAATATTTTTGAGTAATACCCCAAAAGCACAGGCAACCGATGCAAAAATGAACAGATAGGATTACAAGTTAACAAGCTTCTGCACAGCAAAGGAAACAATCATCAAAGTGAAGAGACAACTCACAGAATGGGAGAAAATATTTGCTAACTATCCGTCTGACACTGAATTAATAACCAGAACATATAAGGACCTCAAACAACTCAATAGGAAAAAATCTAATAATCCAATTTAAAAATGGGCAAAAGATCTGAATAGATATTTCTCAAAAGAAGACACACAAATGGTGAAAAGCTATATGAAAAGATGCTGAACATTATTGCCCATCAGAGAAATGTAAATCAAAACTACAATGAATTTCATCTCACCCCAGTAAAAATGATTTTTATCCAAAAGATAGGCAATAACAAATACTGGCAAGGATGTGGAGAAAATAGAACCCTCATACACTGTTCGTGGGAATGACAATTAGTAAAACTACTATGGAGAACAGGATGGAGGTTCTTCAAAACACTAAAAATTGAACTACCATATGATCCAGCAACCCCACTGGATATATCCAGAAGAAAAGAAATCAGTGTATCAAAGTGATATCTGCACTCCCACATTTATTATTTATGCCCACTGGATATATCCGAAAGAAAAGAAATCCGTATATCGAAGTGATATCTGCACTCTCACATTTATTGCAGCACTATTAGGAATAGCCAAGATTTGGAATCAACCTAAGCATCCATCAACAGACAAATGGATAAAGAAAATGTGGTACATATACACAATGGAGTATTATTCAGCCATAAAAAGAATCAGACCTGGTCATTTGCAACAACATAGGTGGAACTGGAGGAGATTATGTTAAGTGAGATAAGCCAGGCACAGAAAGACAAAGTTGGCATGTTCTAACTCATTTGTGGGAGTTCAAACTTAGAACAATTGAACTCATGGAGAAAGAATAAAATGATGGTTACCAGAGTCTAGGAAGAGTAGTTGGGAATGGGAGATGAGGATGGCTAATGGGCACAAAAATATAGTATAGTCAGATACAGTAAACAAGATCTAGTATCTGATAGCACAACAGGGTGACTACAGTCAGCAAAAATTTGTTGTACATTTTAGAATAACTGGGAGTACAATTGGAATGTTTGTAACACAAACGATGAATGCTTAAGGTGATGGATGCCCCATTTACTTTGATGTGATTATTTACACATTGTATGCCTATATCAAGATATCTTATATACACCATGTACCCATAAATGTTAAAAATTAACTGTTTTAAAAAAGTTTGATTATAGCTATTCTAATGGGTTTGAAGTAGTAACTCATGGGTGTTATAATTGCACTTTCTTGATGACGAATGATGCTGAGCACATTTTTTGGTGCTTATTGATTATTTTTATATCTTTTTAAATGAAGTGACTATTCAAGAGTTCTGTACAAAAATGTGGTTGTCATTTTATTATTGATTTTTAAGAGATCTCTATATATTTTGGAGGCATGCTGTTTATCAGATATGTTGAAAATATTTTGTCATTCTGAGACTTAATTTTTTAGAAGAACATTAAAATTCTGACGAAATTTGAGTTGTGAATTTTCCACACTACACTTGGTGTTTCTTTTGGTGTCCAGTCTAATAAATCTGCCTACTTCAAGGTGGTGCAGGTATTCTCCCATGTTTCTTCTAAAAGTTTTTAATTTTAGTCTTCTACAATTAGATGTATAATCCATTTCAAATTAATGTATATGTGTGGTGTTAGGTAGGAACCCAAGTTTACTTTTTTCTACGTAAACTTCTGCTGGAAGTGGTTCCAGCAGAAACTATTGAAAATATCATTTCCCTATTTAATTATTTTAATTATTTGTTAAAAATGGTTATTAATGTGAGGGGTTGTTTCTGGATTTTTCTGCAAAACTCCAGACTCATATCCAAATGCCCTACTTGACATTGTCCGTTGTGTCTAATAGATATCTCAAGTTAAACATATTCCCAGACTGTGCTCCTTCCTCCCCTTAAAATTTCTTCTACATGTGGTCTTCTCCATCTCAATTTATCATATTTCCGTTCTTCCAATCATTCAAGCTAAAAATCTTGGCGTCATTATGGATACTCTTTCTTGCATCCTACACCAATTCCATCAGCAAGTCTACTTTCAAAATACATCGAGAATGTAATCACTTCCCTGGCCACACCATCTCCCACCCAGATGACTATACTGATCTCTGTCCCCACCCTTTACCCCAGAGTCTATTTTCAGCAGCTGGAGTTTCAAGACCTTTTGAAAACTTAAGTCAAATTATTCTTCCGCTCAAAACACTGGAGGGACTTTCCCTTGGTTCAGAGGAAAGGTCAAGGTCCTGAAAATAACCTTCATATCCTACAAACCTTTTCTGACCTCATTTCCTACCACTCCCTTCCATCTTATTCATCACAATCCCCTTCCCTGCTGCTGTTCCTTGATGGCAGGTGAGGTTCTACCTACCTCAGGGCCTTTATGGTGCTGTTTCCTCTGCCTGGAATGGGCTTTCTCCATTATTCTATATTCCTTCTCCTGCATTTCCTTCATGTCTTTGATTGCTGTGATCTTTTCTAATTGGGTCTTGAGATCTCTCTCTTGAGAGTCGCCATAAGCCCAGATAGTCACTCTCCGGGACAGACTGTTGGGGAGGGGACTAGGTTCCCGTGTGTGTGTGTCGGGTGAAATGCAATGAGGTGGTGAAACAAAAGGCATGAAACAGAATAAATTTATTATGCACATCACTCAGAGAGGTTAGGGATGCTGATGTGAGGAATCCAACGGTGGTAGGGAGTGCAGCTGGGGTGAGAGAGAGAGAGAACCTGTGGAACTATGCCTTTCTCAAGGTCCATGGTATTATTCCTTAGGCTTTCCTTCATGTGTTGTGGATTGGTTAGTTTAAGGAAAACATGCGCAAGGCGGGAACTTATTGACATGACTCTGGCGTTGGCCATTAGGTTTTTATCACGATCAGCAGCTTTGGGTAGTGTTGAGTTTTGGGTCAGTGAAATGATGAATAAGTGGGCTGTCCAAAAACAACCACATGGGGAGGGGAAGTTTTAACCAGGGCAAGGGTGACAGGGTACACCTGGAATTCAACAACTTATATCAGGCCTAAAATTGGATACCCAGGCAACAACTATATTAAACAAATGTATGACATTAATCAAACGTCACTTTACCAGCGAGGGTTTGCCTGACTACTTACTGAAAAGTATACCCCCACCAAGCCACCCAGTACTTGTTACCTTTTACTATCTTACATAAAGCATTTTGTTTGTTTGTTTATCTGAATGTAAGCCTCTACTACAATATAAGCTTTATGAGAACAGGGATGTTTTTCCTGTTTTATGTCCTGCTATTTACTCAGCATCTAGAACAATTCCTGGCACAAAGTAGGCACCCATAGATATTTGTTAAATAAACAGGCTAATTCCTTCCCTTCAGGGCTTGAGAGGTGTTTTGGGAGGATGAAAATAAAGACTAAGATGGAAACAAATTTGTTATTAGTCTTGAAATTCTTAGCCCTTGTCAGCATCACTTTGGGGTCTAATTTTTTAAAAACATGCAACAACTGAAAATCCAGAAAGTACAATATCCTTCCACAAAGCCCCCTCTGCCCCTTTCCTAGAAGAAACCTTACTTATGTAATTAAGAAGAATACACATGTATGAAACACATTTTAGAAATACTTTCAACTAAAAAAATTGACATCTTAAAGTTTTAATACAGAATTAGGCTTAGGTACTTATGAAATACATTGTATTTCCAAACAATGAGCAAAAAAAGGGGCTATTGTATGCATTCAATAAATTTAGATAGCTTCTCATAATAAAACACTTGCCATGTCCCAGAAGATGTGCTCAGGTTTTTACATGTATGATCTCATTCAATTCCCACAACAATATTATTAGACCATAGTACTATAATTCTATGCATTTTATTGTTGAGGAATCTGGGACTTAAAGAGTTTAAGTAATTTGACAGAACTCACCAGCTATGCCTATACATTTCCTCAAGAGCATCACACTGGAAAATAAACCTTTTGCTTTATTCCCAATGCTGACTGCATAATTAAGAGCCTCTTTAAAACTCCTGTCCTAAGTTAGAATACAGCCAGTCCTAGACTGGTTAAGGCTATTGTTAGAGATTTTGTATTTGTTGACAAACTTCTGGACCCCACTTTCCCCTACCAGAGAAGATGTTGTGTAATAACACGAATAGCAACTTTAGGATTATTTTGTTACCATCCAAATACTCCAAAACGAAATTCCCCTTGGCACTCTGAAGCTCTAGAAAGATTAATTTCTACCCACAGATCTCCAGATTCATATACAGTTGAATAAAAAGATTCACGAGTTTCAAGAGGGAAAAAAATTTCAAAGACCTGGTTTTGGCCTAGCTCTGCAGCTTTAAGATTTGTATTAAAGACCATCCCCCTGCAATCACACACTTACATAAGCAAAAACATGTTTCACATAAGCCTAGAAACAGTCCTGGTGTTACAGGGAAGCTATTGGGCATTGTGAGACTGAGCAAACGTGCCCTCTGTGAAAGCGGGAATTAGTCTCGTGTTGTGGTCCTCTTTAAAGCTGCTGAATCGCCCTTGGGAATTTCAATGCTGTAACCCTCTACTTGGTACCCTGATATTATCATTTTCTGATCTTTGCAGCCTTGAGTCACCTTGCCCACAGGTACGGGTAAGTCTCTCTTGAGAATCTAAACTCTCTGCTTCTACACAAGGAGAATAGAAACTTTTCCAGTTAGTTCATTGACACCTGATGATCTCCCGTTAGTTCCTAAAGTCCAGAAATTACTCATGCTTTACTTCTTCAAGACCCTTGTTCCAGTAAGGGTAACACTGGTTTAACCCCTTTTCCATAAGTTTCCTCCCTTCTTTCCCCTTCCTTCTCCTCCTCATCCCTCTTAGGTCCATTACTGACACTCAGTTTCCTGGCAGGACAGCTTCCTCTACCTTCTCCAGGCTACCTGGTGTCTTTGATCTTTAGGCTCTGGCTGTCTATCAGCAGTTCATTCGATCATATGCACATCCAGTTATACAACAGGAGTAGGATGTGGAGAAGGCTTTAAATCAAGGCAGCCACATGGCATTGGCTCAGATCTGGGACTTAGGCTATATAGCAAAGACTCATATGGAACCCAAAGAGAGAACCAACCTAATCAGAGTGAAGGTTTTGTGCTGAGGAACAGTGAGAAAGGAGTGTGATGGGAGCGGGGCATGATTTCTGAGAGCTCAGCAGTTAGAGGAATTTCATATTTGATGAAACAGGTAGAAATTGGAAATGCTTGTTCAAGGGGGTAAAAGGATGAAAGCAAAGCTTTAAAAAGATTACAGTGGTTATTTTGGTATGTCGGATGAATTAGACGCAGAGAGAGGAAGGTTTTACAGCAATAAAAGAATAAAAATCCGTGGACCAAGTTTGTGGGAATGGACTGAAGGAGGCAAAACCAAAAAAAAAAAAAATCTATAAAGGAAGAACAAATAAGAGATAATGACAGGCAGAATTTTTTTTTTTTTTTTTTTTTTTGAGACGGAGTCTCGCTCTGTTGCCCAGGCTGGAGTGCAGTGGCGCGATCTCGGCTCACTGCAAGCTCCGCCTCCCGAGTTCACGCCATTCTCCTGCCTCAGCCTCCCGAGTAGCTGGGACTACAGGCACCTGCCACCACGCCCGGCTAATATTTTTTTTTTTTTTTAGTAGAGATGGGGTTTCACCGTGTTAGCCAGGATGGTCTCGATCTCCTGACCTCGTGATCCGCCCGCCTCGGCCTCCCAAAGTGCTGGGAATACAGGCATGAGCCACCACGCCCGGCCGACAGGCAGAATTTATGTGCTTAACAGCTGGGAGAAAATGAAGACATGTAGTCGAAAATCCAGATGCTTTCAAATATATATTCAATTATTTAACGTTAGATGAATCATAGAGATAAATTTTAAAAGTTTTTTTAAATTTTCTAATGGTTGATGCTTATTTTGTAGATACAAATATGCTATATATACTCAGAGTCAACAATGTTTAAGAACAAGCTAATAGTTTTTGGCTTGGTTCAAGGAGCTAGGTGTTGGTGATACTAAGTTATAAGAATAGTATGAATAGAGATCTAAATAAACTTTAGGAATTAAAGGTAACAAATGATTTTATAAGAAGTTTTTCTAGCATGAACACTTACAGAATGACTTGCTTGCCCCAGCTCGCCTGGGAATAATATATGGTGAGCCATTACCAAAAAGTGTGAATTGTATTTATTATTCTGGCTTGGGGAGAAGGTTGGTTGGTAGGTCTTGTTCTTTTGTTTCTTGAAAGGTAGAATTGGTTTAGAGACAGAATAATATATTGTAGACAAAGCAGCTATTCTGAAGTCAGGCTGGCGTGGGCACTAATTCCATCTGCTATTTAGCAGCTATGTAATTTGTGCAAAGTCGCTTCACCTGTGAGGTGGTCGATTTCCTATTTGCAAAATAGGAATAATAGTACATACTTCATGAGTCTGTTTGCAGTAATTAAATGAGTTAATGTGGTATAATGACAGATGCAGGGAAGGCACTCAGTAAATGCTAGTTCCCTTCACTGGAAAACATCAAGAAAGGTTCATTTGCTCAGCCAAGAACTAGAAAGTTATCTTGATTAAACCTTAGGGAACTCGTGTAGAATTTATTGGGTGTCAGAAAAATGTGTGTGTAACCAGTGCTACCTGACTTTTGTCAAATTACTGTAACGTGTTGACTCTAGTAGACAAGCAAGGACAAAGAGATGACATAAAATATCCGTTACTCTTAAAGAAAAGTAGGAAACTAATCAAGGAAGTCAACTGAAAGAATAAATTATAATTCCATCCCAAGTTTGGGCAGATTTATTTCCATTTTTGAAGGAAAGTAGTTGTATCAGTGAATAGATGGAAGGGTCAACAATACAAAGATGAAGAAGGGACCAAATCATAGTAATGGGGCAATAAATCCAGAGCATCTGAGAAAGCCAGAAACAAAAATATAAAAATCTACAAAAGTCATATGTCTGACTTTGTTTTTGAAGCAGATGTTATTGTGGATAGATGGCAAATCCTCAGCACAACGTGAATAATTGTGTCTTTTGCTGCATAGGAAATGCTGATTTATTATTTGGGAGATTTTTATTAAGAAATTTAATCTAAGTTTGGTAGAAAACAAGGACAAGTGATTAATAATCAAACTGAAGGATGAAAAAAGGGACAAAGCAAGTTTAAATAAAGGAGTAAAAATAAGGCAGAAACTTATTTAAGGAATCCAGGCTAAATTATGACCTTCAAGCCTGCATAAGTAGCTCTAAACAAGAATAGCAATTAGTGAGGTAATGGCCTAATATTTAGGAAACCAATAACTTTTCTTCTGTATGTATTCTGGGGGTATACATACCAGCACAATGATATAAAATAATTAGTTGTTAAAACTGAATGAGTTTTACCTTAAAGTCAGGACAAAAATAAGCCAAACAGCTCATGCATATACGTATAGTTTGTGTCATTTAATTTGTACATGAATCCAGCTTGGAAAAAAAAAGGAGCAACACTAAATGACTACGGGAAGTCTGTAGGAAACTACAGAAGCAGAACATAATAGGAATGGTGAAGACAGTAAAGAAATTTAAGAAGGAACAATTCCTGGAAGACATTTTAAGTCTGAGATGTGATCCCTGATGTTGTATACATCAAGGGAGGAAGTCAATGTTACCCTCTGAGAAAGGCAGATGAGGGCCAAGGAATGGAAGATAATGATTTGTGAAGATTTTATGGAAAATAGTACAATTGAATGTTCTTTGAGAGCAGAGATCATCAACAGTATGTGCTTGGTGTCTCATTTGGTGTTTTTTGAATAATCCTAATTCTAGAAATTAAAACTGAAAGGAGATGGTATGGAGTAGAAAAAAAACTGTAGTTCTCTATTATTTAAATAATTTTTTTTTATGATGCCACCTACATGTTTAAACCAAGTCTTGGGAACTCAACTCTCTGATATTTCCAGATTCTTGCTTTATGCTATTGGTATGTTTCTTTTTCTACTTTTTGTCCACATGAGACTGAAAAATTGATTAAGAGAATCACTGTTTAGACAAATACTTGTGGAGTTGTTCACAAATGTGGTGCCACGCCTGTGACAAGGTTTGCTTTTAGAATTTAAGCATGCAATTAGTAAGGGAAGAATATGGAAGGTGCTGAGGAGTTAATCATAAATGGGCTTAGTGAACACCAAATGAGTGGCTCTCAATATCTGCCTTCGTCATGCCATGTGAAGGACGTTGAGCTACAGGCACTTACACCAACCTCTGGTACCTTCACTTCTCATCCCCCCACCATCTAATCTTTTAACGTTTCATGCACTGACCCACAGGCAGGGTAGGAAGTCATGGGGAGCCACAGGTAAACCCCTCCCAGGTAAGAGAAAATTGACTTTAACAATCAGAGTCAACTTCTAGCTCACAAAGTTTATGGACATTAACCTAGTTCAAGACCAAACCCTCAAAAGAGTTTAGTTGAAACCACCTCATACAACTTTTAAGAGAAGTTGGGAAGCCAGGTCTGAAGAGATTTCATGATGGATGATAAAACAGTGCCTTACACAGCCCTAAGGAAAGCAAGTGAAATATCTGACATGAGAACCATCACTGTGTGCACTTAAAAGGGAGCAATGAAAATCACCCCACAAACTCCAGGAGATGCGGTTGTGGTTTAATGGCTTGTTTATGATGTTACACGGTCAGTCACGTTGACTCTGCCCACAGTTATCGTCATTATACAGAGAAACTCAGCAAATGAATTCTTCTCAGTGGAGAAACAAACTCTTTTGCCAAATGGGGTAGTAGTTTATCTGTCATCGAGTTGCTGAAACCAATCATTATTTTTAGGACTGCTGAAATTATTTAGGAATTCCTTGTTCCTGGGTAGACAGACCTGAAACTTTCAGCTGACCTTCACCACTTCTACTATTAGGACCGTAAATCTCCCCTGAAGGCAGACAGCACTTGGGTAATTTCAGAGAGGGCAAAGGAACAGAATTATAGGTTGTCTGGGAAGGGTTGAAAGATTAGACCTCTGGAGAAAAAAATAAAATGAATCACGTTGAAGAGTAACTATTTCTTAGGGTCAAAGTTTAAATGTCTGTAATCAGTGTTTTAGTTTCACTTGCTGCTAAGATAATTAATGCTCTCAGGTCTTGGATTAATTGAAAATAAAGCATTACATTTAGAACAGATAATATTTATTTCAAAAAACAAAGAGAACACTCATTAAAAAAAAACCCTGCCTATGAGTCATTAAAAACATGAAGACACAAATGATCTAACTTTACTTTTCTGAAATGAGTAATTTTCCTTTTCTTTAATTAATTATAAAATCACACAATAGATTTCTTTAAAACAAGAATGGTAAACTAATATTAGGGTAGCTCCTCAACTTCTTTTTTTTAAATGCCTCTTTCTGCATGTAGCTTAATTTGTATTCTGTCTAAAGCTTTCATTTAAAGAGCCACAGAAGATTTTGGAAGAAATTATAGGCTTCTGATCCTACTGTCTAGGAAGGTAGTTGTAGGCCCTGTGCTTAAGGCAACTTTGAAGGAATGTATGTCATGTGTGATCTTGTGTACACATGACTTAATCAACTGAATGGTGTGTTAAAATTGCTTTTGTACTCAGCAGCAAGTATGCCAGCATTGCATGTTTAACAATTCACTTAAATATTAAATATTTCTGATTTAAAAAAAATTAACACAATGTGCAATAATTGGGGAGAAAGCATATAAAATATTTTGTTATATCAGAAATTCTTGTTATAGACAGATGTTTCTGTAGTCTGCCTACAATATGGGTATTTGAATCCTAGTTTTCTCTTTTCATCTGATTCAGTTATACTGGGAAGAAGATAGCGTGAACATTAGGGCTTGGGAATGGGAAAATTTTAAAATTCAAATCTTCCAGATATCACATCAAGAATTCTGTAAGTACTTGAAAGCAGTTTGATATTGCACATAAAAAAAGTATAAAGTGGAAATGAAGTAGAAATCCATGACAAAGGAAGACACCGGTGAATCAGAGAGAGATGCAAAAACATGATTATTTTCAGGTGCTTGCTGAGAGTCAGTTTCACTGAAGAACAGTGGGCGTCTTCGTGGCTGGCTCATCCCAATCACTTCTATTGACAAGCAGGCTCTATTGCACCTGGGAGAGGTGGCTCTATCTGTTTCTCTGATAGAGAAATAGTTCTTCAACTGGCAAGTAATTCTTTAACTTTGACTCAGTTTCCTCATTATTCAACTTCTCAGAGCAATTGCGCCTTCAAATGTCATGTGGGAAATTGCAGTGAAAATAAAATCTCTCGTTCTTACTATTGGTCTCTAAAGTGCTGTTAATCACTCCTTCTAAGCCAGGAAAGCTTAGGGAATGGTGGCCTTGATCAGAATCAAGTTAGCTGCTCCTGTAACAACGCTGGTTTTTTTTTTTTTGTTGTTGTTGTTGTTTGTTTGTTTGTTTTTGAGATGGAATCTCCTGCTATCATCCAGACAGGAATGCAGTGGCATGATCTTGGCTTACTGCAACCTCCGCCTCCCGGGTTCAAGAGATTCTCCTACCTCAGCCTCCAGAATAGCTGTGATTACAGGCACGTGCCACCACGCCTGGCTAATTTTTGATATTTTTAGTAGAGACGGGGTTTCACTATGTTGGCCAGGCTGGTCTTGAACTCCTGACCTCAGGTAATCAGCCCGCCTCGGCCTCCCAAATGTGCTGGGATTATAGGCGTGAGCCACCGCACGCAGCCCAACCTTGGGTTCTAACGAGATCTTTCAGGACCCTAAGAAGGGCCCTGACATCTAGTGTATCACCACCAAGACCAGGTAGATCAGAAGCAATTATGTGGATAAAGCTAAAACACAACCCAAAACAACAAACAAAAACAAAAACACACTACATTCCAAACAAAAAACAAAAACAAAAACCTTCATTTCTGCTAATTTTATCAGCTATCTTGAAAGAAACAATCTTTTTTCCATTATTGTTATATCACTTGGGTTCTTTGCCTTGCTTATGTTCACATTTTTCTTAAAAATGAGCTCTCTGGCATCTTAATTTTAAGGACTAGTGGCCAAAGTAGAAGTTTTGGGAGGCCCCAGAGCAGAGCTATTTCCTTGTGTGAAGACCCACCTCCGGGGAAAGACTGCCCACACAGTGACCCAAACCCAGCCATAATGAAATAGCCAGATGTCTGCAATGATCTCAGCCCATCCACAGGTTTAAATTGTTGCTTGAATGTGTTCGGGTTTGGTTGGCTGGGCTCGTCATGTGTTTCTTGTTCTACTCTAACTCTTACTTCATCTTGTTATTATAATAATCTTCCAAAGAGCATTGTACTTCCAAGAATCTAGGTTAGATCTCTGGCTCTGAGTGACTTGATCAACACGCAAGTTATGTTTGTTTGAAAATTGCAGAGTTAAGCTCTCTATGCTTGTTAGAGCTAATTGTACATGGATACTTTTTTTTTTCTTTTTTTTTGAGACAGAGTCTTGCTCTGTTGCCCAGGCTGGAGTGCAGTGGCACGATCTCGGCTCACTGCAACCTCTGCCTCCTGGGTTCAAGCTCCCACCTCAGCCTCCCGATGGCTGGGACTACAGGTGCCACACCACCGTGCCCAGCTAATTTTTGTATTTTTCAGTAGAGACAGGGTTTCACCATGTTGGCCAGACTGGTCTCGAACTCCTGACCTCAGGTGATCCGCCCACCTCGGCCTCCAAAGTGCTGGGATTACAGGCATGAGCCACTGTGCCCGGCCCATGGATACTTTTTGTGTGTGGTGCCTGAAGCCCCATGCTAGGCATGGGATGATATTTAAATCTTTTGATAGCATGATTACTGAAGATTTAAAAGTGATTAGAAAGACTGCCCATGACCATCAGTTCATCGACAACACTGAAGGAAGCTTGCTTTCTTAAAGGCATAGAACCGTGTGGCAAGAACTCGCAACTACTGATGTTTAGAGATCTGCTGGAATGGGTAAACTGTCTCCCTTCCCAGAGCGGTGGATAATGTCATTTGTCTGCCTGTGGGTCTTTAATTATGGAGAGGCTGCTCAGTGCACCCCAATGGCCTTACTGCCTGCTCTTTCCAATTAATTTTGAAGTTATAACCCAAGTCAAGGGCTATTTCAGTGTGACCCTGAGGTTACTTTAGTTTCCCATTTGTATTTAAGTAAATAACTGTGATCAGTAATTTCCCTCTGGAACTGTTAGAGTATGGCAATTACATGAAATTTGCTTGGCTGTTGCATGCATGCCTAGAGTTAGAAGTAAGTGCATAAGGCACTTGGAATGATAATTTTTAAGATACGCATGAGCCCCTCAATAGTTCTGTGTTCTCTCTCTGGCTCATCAACAGTCCCATTGTCACTTTTAACTGCATAGACTCAAGAAGATACTGTACATGGAGTGTATATTCTTTTAACCCACAGAGAAGAAATGGTTTCTATTTTCTCCCACTTAGTTGAAACCATATATTTTCTCTGTGTACAAAAGCTAACACTTGGGCAATATTTTCTTGCTTGACTTTTTTTTTCTTTGCTGAAACAATATATTGATATTTCTAAAGTAAACTATGTTGTAGTTGGCTAGGAGACAGGCTGAATTTTGGAAATGAATTAAATAAAGTGTTATGTCTGAGTAACCACTTAGAAAAGTATTCACATTCTCAACAGCTCTTAAGGAAAGGCAATACATAATCAATAATGATGTACCGTTTGGTTCTTCTGAAAACCAAACCCTCCGTGTAGGGAATGCACTGATTTCTGAGAAATCAATGGACATTAATTTTATAGAACCACAAGTCAAATTTATAACAAGTGGAGAGAAATAAAAATCTTGACACATCAACTTCCTAGAAATAGGATAAATGTTTGATTATGCAGTCTGTTTTGTTATACCATAGAAATTCTAGAAGGTCCTGTGTTCTAGAATACAAATAGTGCTACAGAGTTTCATGACGACTAAATGATACACTGATGTTATAAGGTCTAACAAGTTAAGAAATGATAAAATACGACAAAGTAGATAAAATAGGCAATAAAGTAGAAAGGTTCAAAATTTGCTAATAAAAAAGCTGTCAAATTTTCACTATGCAACTTAATCACTATTAGACATTGACAAGTCCCTTAATATTCCTGAACTTCAGTTTTTTCATTTATAAAATAGAGATCCCAATACTTTACTCCAGTCACAAGGTTACTGGGAGGATGAATAAAATATTCATGATAGTGTATTATAAATCATAATATGCAATGCAAATGCTTATATATTCTAACAACATTTAATATGTGGCAAAGGTTCTTTAAGGATTGTAACCTTTGCTATCACTTTAAAGAGTTTACTGGAGTGCTGGTCTTGGAAGCTCACATTTTAAATTTTCTTCATAGATATTTATGTCTATAATTTGCATCAATGGTCAACAGAAGAATTGTGACAAATAATCTAAATAGCTCAGCTTCTCATAAATGTGGATAACAGATGTGGATAATAGCTTCTCATAGATATGGAGAAGAGCTAGTTCAATAAGCTTTTCTGCACATATATTCTTTTTGAAGAGAAATCAAAATAGAAAGCTATTAAATGAGCAAATGTGCTAGATCTCCATGGGGCAAATGGAAAGACCAGTGAGCACAGTATAAAGAGGCTGATGGTGTCTTTCATGTCCTGGCATTACCTTGCTGTGTGACTTTTTCCAAATCTCTTCTGATTCCAGTTTCCTGTGGAGCCTGATGAAAACAGGGGACCACAACTACGGAGAGGCTATTTGGGAATAATTTACCAGGGAAGGAGTGAAGGGGAAAGAGTCAGCAAGGATATGGCCTAGGAAAAGTGGACCCTTGGCCTGATTCACTGGCACCTCTGGCATAAAACACTCAAGAGCACTTTCCCCTTGGAAGAGGGGAGGGCAGAAGAGACTGGAGAAGGGGCAGCTGTGAGCTCTTAGGAGGCAATAGCAAGCGATACTCACAGCTGGGGTGGCGTGCACAGGCCCAGTAAAGAGAATGGAGGTGGGGCACCAAATCACATCTATGACAAACAGGCCATACATTTTTTTGTGAAGAGCTTTCTAACAAAAAGACATGTAAATGTGCATTATGAACAAATGACCCCAGACAGTTGCTTTCTCCATCTTTGTTGAACCCCTGTGGACTTTACTTTGCACAGCAAAAGAAACTACCATCAGAGTGAACAGGCAACCTACAGAATGGGAGAAAATTTTTGCAACCTACTCGTCTGACAAAGGGCTAATATCCAGAATCTACAATGAACTCAAACAAATTTACAAGAAAAAAACAAACAACCCCATCAAAAAGTGGGCGAAGAATATGAACAGACATTTCTCAAAAGAAGACATTTATGCAGCCAAAAAACACATGAGAAAATGCTCACCATCACTGGCCATCAGAGAAATGCAAATCCAAACCACAATGAGATACCATCTCACACCAGTTAGAATGGCGATCATTAAAAAGTCAGGAAACAACAGGTGCTGGAGAGGATGTGGAGAAATAGGAACACTTTTACACTGTTGGTGAGACTGTAAACTAGTTCAACCATTGTGGAAGACAGTGTGGCTATTCCTCAAGGATCTAGAACTAGAAATACCATTTGACCCATCCATCCCATTACTGGGTGTATACACAAAGGATTATAAATCATGCTGCTATAAAGACACATGCACATGTATGTTTATTGCAGCACTATTCACAATAGCAAAGACTTGGAACCAACCCAAATGTCCAACAATGACAGACTGGATTAAGAAAATGTGGCACATATACACCATGGAATACTATGCAGCCATAAAAAAGGATGATTTCATGTCCTTTGTAGAGACATGGATGAAGCTGGAAACCATCATTCTCAGCAAACTATTGCAAGGACAAAAAACCAAACACTGCATGTTCTCACTCATAGGTGGGAATTGAACAATGAGAACACATGGACACAGGAAGGGGAACATCGTGCTCTGGGGACTGTTGTGGGGTGGGGGAAGTGGGGAGGGATAGCTTTAGGAGATATACCTAATGCTAAATGACAAGTTAATGGCTGCAGCACACCAACATGGCACATGTATACATATGTAACAAACCTGCACATTGTGCACATGTACCCTAAAACTTAGAGTATAATAATAATAAAATTAAAAAAAAGAAAATATGAAACAAAGAAATAAACACTGTAAACCCCCCCCACCAAAAAAAAATCGGGTGGTAGGTTTACCTTCTTCATGCACATCCACCCTAATGGTAACTTTAGTAATAATATCACCTTGCCTTACAGGATAGACTCCAAGGAAAAGTCTACATTGCAAAAAAAATGCTAAGTTGATTTAAATGGCTTTCACAACTAAGATTCTCCTTTTTTTGTGTTCTCCCTTTTTTGCTTCTCCTTTTTGTGTTACCTTCCCATTCCCCATTTTCCATAAATATCAGGTTTGCTCTTTGACTGTCTAGGGCCAGCAGGATGAAAAGCTGTTATCAAAAACTAAGTATCGAGCATTTAATCATGTAAATTCCAGACCAAAATATGTAACCAATAGTTGATAAAAACTTAGAGTGGCCTTTCTCAAAGAGAGTCTTTCACTCTCCAAAAGATTTCCAGAAACAAAGATTTATGAAGCTAAATAATGTATGAGATATGCTGCACATTTCATTCCCATTGGGAGCTTCATCAGACACTTTGTAATTATTTAGTTTTTGGTTTACTGCTTATTGTCTGCCCGCCACTTGTTTGTGAGTACTGCAAGTGTGGGTGTCTGTCCTATTCATCATATCACTAGCCAGGTCCAGAACCTGGCTCATCACATAACTCTCAATAATTATTTGTTAAAAAAATTGTGTACATACTACAGTTTTGAAAATTTCTTGAGTAAAGAGTTCTGTTTGGTGTGTTGATCCAGAGTTTAATATGTTAATCCAGTGTTTCCCAAATGAATGTATGCACAAGAAATTCTCCTCTCCCCAAACACGCCCCCCTGCACACAGAGCACCCATCTGGAATATATTTGGGGAAATACTATCTTAGAGCCAGAAAAGACAGTTCAATAGAGGGTGGCATTTTGTGTTAGTCTAGATGGTGATTGTGTTGGTCATTCACCTTTTGCCCTTCCTCAAATCCATTCTCTACCCTCCTCTATCCTGACCTCCACAGGCTCCATCATCTGGGTTCCATTGCCCTCTCGTTTCCGGTTGGACTTGGCCAATGGGAAACAATGCAAGAGATGGAAGAGCAGGAAGACAGAGGTCAGAGTATGTCTTCCCTGCTCCCTTTGCTTGGAACTGCAGCCCTAGCGGTAGCTGCATCCCTCCCTGATGATCGTGCCTCCCCAGCAAACCCCCTTACTCTCTTTCGGCTCTCCCAGGATCCAATGACATGCATCTTCCCTCACTCTGTCAGGGCTTAGGTCTCAGGGTGGTAATGACTTGCCCTGGTACCATCCTTGGAATCCTCAGCTTTGCCTGTAGGTTTCCTTGATCACACCCAAGCCTCTGCAAAAATTTCTTTCATTACAGTCTCTTCAGAAACCCCATCAGAGCATGCCTTCTATTTTCTGTGGGTCCCAACTAACACAGGGATAGCTTCTTCAGTCTGAAATGAAATACCAAGAGGAAACTGAACATCTTCCTGGCAGAAACAGAGCTTCATATAGTGGTTTTGTTATTTTGATTAAAGTTTTATGAATTCTCAAAATCTCATCCACACCTCTACAAGTTAGTAAAGAAATAAACCCCAGAATCAGATATAATACTCTTATGAGTTATCCATCTTATTAGTTCACAGCTGGGAGGTAAACTATGTATGAGATAGTTTTAATCTATTCCTCACACAGATTTTGAGCTTTAAAGAAAATAGGAACTTATTCCACAGAGCCATCAATCATCATTTTTAATATAGTTCAGGACACTGTGGGCACTCACTGCACGTTAATTCAATTCTTATATTCATTTAGATGATGGTCACAGCTGCTGAGAGTAGACGAAGTGGAGGCACATCCATTAGCTTCAGACAAAAGGATAACATTTGGCAGCACTGTGAACAAAGGCAAAGAGGAACACATTTGTGAAAAGAAGTGACCAGTTCACAGGTGTAATGTTTAGCATTTTTTATGTGATAAGAAGCCTGAAATAATGTACTTAACGTTTTATTATTGTAAACTTGGCAATAATTAAGATCTATCCAGTGGTGGTAGAATAATACCTAATATTACCTAGTAATACCTAAGAGCATATGCCCTATAAATAGGGGTGGTTTTTGTAACTGCGTGAAGTGTTGGTTTTCTAATGAGCTTTAGTAGGTTTATTTGCCTTGGAAATCAATGGAGATGGGACACTGAAAATCAAATGATGTCATAAAACAAAATTCCCTAAGAGGCATGGAGAGAAAACTCCGCATTCTGATGATGGGAGTGTAGAAATCCATTGCCTTGCACAGGCCCCTAATGGATCCTATGAGCAGTAGGAGGGGGTTATGACTAGAGAAGATGCAGACATAGGCCTGTCCCTGCAAGTTAGTTCCCTGAGCTGGTCAGTAATAACCTACTATAACCTCAAAGAGCCTCCAGCAGCATCAGTATAAATACTTGACTGTCCATGGAGAGTTGGTCTTTTCCATCAAACATTTTGAGAGGAGTAAAGCCAATATAACCACTGCTTTTTTTTCTGAGCTCTTTTGCTCATTCCTCTATCCTTGATCTTAGTCCATTTCTTCTTGGCATAGTTTCTATCATCTTGGAAATTATTTTGCAGGATGAAACAGTTGCTTTTTAGTTGTGTGGGTCTTTGATAAGGGTTGTGTGTTTCCCTTCTGTGGAACTGGTTCATAGGATTGCAGGCTAAACCTGCTTAGGCAGCTAAACTTCTGATGAAAATAATGATAACTCAGTTCTGTTTTTTTCTTATAATTATTTGTTTTAATAATCACTGCTCATATGCTTATCTTCTTCTCAAAGTATTATGTCCTTGAAAACCTGTCTACAATCTCTGTCTTGTCCTAGGAGCTGACTCTTCCCAGGATGACTGAGAGTGGAAACAACCAGTCCCCCAGGGAAGGCCCAACCCTGACTTTTTATCTCCACTGAAAAATGATATCAGAATACATAGGTGTGGCCAGGTGCTCATGTCTGTAATCCCAGCACTTTGGGAGGCTGAGGCGGGTGGATTGCTTCGAGCCCAGACAACATGCTGAAACCCCATCTCTGCAAAAAATACAAAACTTAGCTGGGCGTGGTGGCCTGCACCTGTAGTCCCAGGTACGAGGTTGGGGTGGGGGTGGGAGGGTTGCTAAGGCAACGGGAGAATCACCTGAGCTTGGCGAA
This sequence comes from Homo sapiens, assembly GCF_000001405.40. NCBI lineage: Eukaryota > Metazoa > Chordata > Mammalia > Primates > Hominidae > Homo > Homo sapiens. The sequence goes on from NC_000002.12 coordinate 149,287,860, forward strand.
GTTGAGGCTGCAGTGAGCCCTGATCTCATCATGCTACTGCACTCCATCCTAGGCGACAAAGTGAGACCCTGTCTAAAAAAAAAAAAAAAAAAACAACTGTATTTCTCTAAGTCTGAGTTATTCAGTCTAAATACCATGTGTAATATATACAGTCAAGGTTAAGTTTTATCCAGCCTGGTCCAGAACTGACCACAGCTACTTCTCATGAATGAGTTTAGGACCTAGGCTTGCACCACCACTCTTGCTTCATACTTTGAGGTTCCAGCCCCTTACCTCGCCAGTTTTTGCTGCTTCTCACGTAGGTAAGTTTTGAACCATTTAACGATGTATAGCCAGAACATTTCACAACCCTTATATTTCTAGTAATGGTATCTATCATTTACGTAAATCAATGGTTGGTTCTTTTAGTTTCCCCAGATCAAACCATCTAAGTGGATCCAAGTCTCCAACTCTTCCCTGGTGAAAGCAGCTGTGTTTATTCATTCCTAGTATCTCCATTAAGATGTCAAAGATTCTGTAGACAAGCTTCAGAGTATAAACCCAGGGTACTGCATTTAATGTGCCAACCTAGCCCTTGAAAAAAATCCAGGTAGATCATGGCAAATTATGATTGACCACTGTAAGCTTAATCAAGTAGTAGCCTCAATCACAGCAGCTGTGCTGAATGCAGTGTCATATCAGTGTTGATATGTTCTAGAACATATCTACATAGCATCTCACACTTGGGAACTTGGTATGTGACTATTTATTTGGCATATATACCCTTCAGGTTGCACCAGGAATTAGGATCAAAAGCAGCTTCCAGTCACCTGGGATGAACAGTCGTACTCAGTCAGAGCCTCACCCCAGGGTGATGTTTACTGCTCTTTGACAGAATATAATCCAAAGGATCTTGGTTATCTTGACATTCCACAGAACATCATACTAATCCACTGCTTCCTAGGCATTTTGGTGCCTCCTGCCAGAGGTCTAGCAGGCAGAGAAAGGAGTTCTTAAAGTCACTTGCTGACACTGACATTTTGAGGGGTTAGGGTGTCTGCTACAGCATGGGAGCTGGGAAGAGGCCATCTGACATATAAGAGGTTCCCCGGGGAAACTCTTAGTACTTCCCTACAATAAGACATCATGGAAGGACGCCCCTCCCATGCTCCTGGGACCTCAATATGCCCTTACATTTCCACAGCTTTCTATTGCAAGACCTGCAAGACTTTCTTCTGGCTGAGTGTTTTTTGTTCTTGCCAGGGGTGGGGTGGGGTGGTGGGGGGCTGAAATCATTCTTGGTCAATGCATGGGTCAGGCCAATATGCCAGGGAGCCCATGCTCCCCGAAGCAGCTCTCAACCTGTGCTAGATTGGAGTTAGTGGGCAAATACCCCAACTTCTTCTCCCTTGGACTGGAACCAAATGGTGCTATGGAAAAGCAACTGCTACAGAAGGTTAGAATGGGAATAATCACAATGACTAGATAGGAAAGGCTTCACAGAAGAGGTGAAACTTTATCTTTTTTTAAAAAGACCAGATTTTGACAGGCAGCTAAGAGAAGGGAGTACATTAGATAAAAGGGAAGATACAGGCAAAGGTCTAGGACTATAATAGCTTTATTTTATACCAAGCAGAATAAACTAATATTTATTATTCTCCCTTCTATGTACCAAGCACTGTCTAGGTCATTAACCTACTTTTTTAGGGGGAAAGAAGAACAATTTTGAGTAGAGGAGCTTTCAAAATATATTAGAAATATGGCCAGCAAATTTGGATTCCAGCAACAAGAGTTTGAAGAATATTGGTGGGATTTGAATAGTGGAAGTGAAATATACAACCTCTTAGAGGTTAATTTGACAGCATGAGTAGCAAAGACTGGAGTAAAAAGATATTGGAGAGTGGAAAACTAATTGGGAGACCTTTGCAATAAACCAGATAAGTTATAACATGATGAGAGCCTCACTAGGACAAAGGCCATGTGAGATGGATAAGAATGTTCAGACATGAGACTGTCAAAAATATGCAAAGGGAAGAGGGAGAAATTAAGGATGTCCTGCTTGGTGGTGGAGGGAGGGGTGGAGGGAGAGACATTAAATGACAGAGAAAGAATCAGTAGTCTGGAAGGTAGAAGAAATTATTAACTTACTTCTCCACACCTCTCTTCCTTTTGCTGTAAACCTTTCCAGCTGGGAGCTTGTGAAACCTAATGCCAAAATCAGTGTTTGTGTACTGGATTCACCAGGGGAGAAAATGTTGAATCAGATTCTCAGCCTGCCTGAGCCTCCTACCTTTTGTATTCTTCATGTATCATAATATTTAATAAAAGGGAAACTGTAGTCTTTAATTCTCATTCCAATTTGCTGTCCTCGTGGAGAATCTTATTTTCACAACAGCAGGGATTGTACACATCCTAAATTTGGAATTTCTCGACTCTCATCAGGATAAGTCATATCTTTAATGGTTCTTAAGTATAGTGTTTGGGAATTTAATTATATTATGCAAAATTAGTAAACAGCTATTTCAAGACAGGGCTGATTAAAATGAATCTGCAAGGTATGGTATTTATTAGTATATTTTCAAAACTAAGTGATACAGTTTCCGAGCTCTTGAAGTTGAAAAATGAGTGGCGCCTACAAAACAATATAACGGGTATGATGGCTGGTGTTTAAGTTTCAGTGAAACAGTTGTTTTGACAATTTCCTATGGAACCGATTAGCTCCTTGAGGGGCTGGCTGAGATAGACACCTGCACTCTACCTTTTCCCCGCGTCACTTACATAGCCCTGTGTGTGTTTCTCACCTATTCTGGACTTTTTGTTCCTTTTCACATCGTTAGATGTCTTGTCTGCTGAAAGAGATTCCCAGCACTATGAGGATGGCTATGGTCAAAGGACTGGGGCACTGTGGAGGAAAGATGATAACCACAAGTGCTAAAAATAAGACGGATCTTTCATCAGCAGGCTGATGGCTCAACTGTCTGCTGGTCCTTTGGCTAAAGACATGGGGATCACCCCTCTGTGATGAGGTCACTATGTGCTAAAGGAGGCCCTTGGCTACTGTGTGCCTTACAGAATTCCATACATTCCTCTCTTAAGTTTCTTTGTTTGTGAAAATAAGGTGCCAGGTGCAATATATTCTAAAATCCTTTTCTCATTCTCCCTCTGTTTGTATGTTGTCCCTATCTTTATGTTCTTTCCTGTTTTTAAGGGATTCTGAAGCAAAGTCACTTATATGCTTAATACCAGATCATGTATAGCCTATGAAATCTGCCTTGATCTCCAAGATTGATTTTTAACAGGATTCCACAGTCAGGCTGCTGTTCCAGAGACCAACTGGCTGAGATATCAGCTGGACCTGATTACAAACTTTTGGAGTCAGATGATATCTCAAGATCATCACCAACAGTACTTTCTTTCTGTCTTTGGCCACCCTGAATATTACACGCAAACACTCATGTCACTTTGATCATATGTAGATCCTCTGGTATTCTGCTTTAGGGAAAGTAGTCGCTGTTAGCTCAGAACTCATTCATATTTAAAAATATGGATCCTCTGGATAGAAATTTAATTTAGAAGAAATAATAGAGGACAAACTGAAAATCTGTGATTTTTTTTTTATGGACACCTTTTCCCCCTTGCATTTTAAATTCTAGTCTGTGACTAGCCTTTGTTTCTCCCTTGGCACTGAAGGGAATGACATCGTCTTAGGTTGTATCTCTCAGGGCCTCAGCTCTAGGAATTATTTCTGTATCTTGCAGAAACCATGGACACTTCTATTATTTATGGTATATTTTCAATTGTGTGCCAGCTCCTCGGTTATTTTGGAATCAACACATTTTAACCTTGTTTCTGCTTCTTGTCATCCCTTTTCTTCTTTTAATAAGGGACATACACTTCTTTTTTGGCAGTTCAACATGATTTTCCTTCAGGACCTACCTGCGTAGAGGGGCTGTCTAATTGCATTATCTCCCCTCCTCTGGTACCCAGCTCAGGTTGGCCAAAATACCCCATCTCGTTAGCCTGAACCCTGATTGGTTCAGGTGAGGGTATGTGACCTAAATCAAACCACTCCTAAAGCCTCTCTGGGATTTTTCTTGGAGGTTTTAGGAAAGTGGCCCTTTCTTATACTTCATCTGGAATTGCTAGCTGTAAAGAGACTAAAACTTAAGACTTGCAAGGACCCATCTTTGCCACAACATGGGAGAATCTGCCTAAGAAAAAAGCCAGCACAAAGAATAACAAAGCCAGGAGAGAGGGGTGGGGAAGCTGCATGGAGTGCTTGAGATATTTGAGCCCCAGGCTTCTAGCTTTTCTAGGCCAATGGGCCAAAAAAATTCCCATTCCTGCATAAGCTAGTTAAGTTGGATTTCTGCCACAGCATCTTAAGGGTTTCTGACAAAAATACAAACACAAAATGCCAGTTATAGTAAAAAATGTCACCTTAAACAAGAAAAGTTCTCACTAGCCTATAACCAGAAATATAATTCCACAGATATTAAGTAATGAATGAATGAGAGAGGCTAGATTCTTGTTATATCCAGAAGGTGGGGACATGAAACCAAAGTATCTCCAATTTCTAGTTTCTCCAGTCTAAGGCCCACCTCCCCAAACATTACTTCCTTTTCTAGAAGCAGCCTATTTCTGAGACAGTGAACAGTGGAAATGGCTTCTCCTGTGGAAGACGCCCACCCCATCCACAAGAACAAGGTGTTGCTCACTGGTCCCAGCAGGCTGATGGCTCAGCACATACTGGTTAATAATGCATTCAGCCTTTAACAACATCTTGTGTAGGACAGTGCCCGACCAGTCCAGTCCAGTTGAGTTGCTTTTGTTAGTGTCTCTCTTCCAGCAAGAGATGAAGATCACTCCTTAACCTATGACATTCCTTAACTTATGGCACTTAATGCTGCCTAGTTAACACACCCCTTAACAGTGACTAGAATTCAGCTGAAAGTCTGGCTCTGCTGCTAAGCAGCTATTTGATTGGTGCAAAAGTAGCTATTGGGTTGACGCCATTACTTTTAATTTCAAAAACTGCAGTTACTTTTGTACCAACCTAATAAATCACATTTTAAGAGTAACTCAGCCACCAGAGTGAGACACTGTCTAAAAAAAAAGAAAAAAGAGTAGCTCAGCCACTCTGAGTTTTGTTTTATTCAAATATAAAATGGGGCAAACAGAGTACTTACCTCACAGACATGTCAAAAGATGAACTGAGACACTAACTATCAGGTTCTTAGCCTAGTGCCTGACTTGTAATAAGTTCTCTACATAATATAACTAGATAATGGTAGCCTCTGCTATTGACTTTCTACAGTCCTCATTGCCTCAGTGAGCTTCTATTTACAAAAGAATGTACCCAGGCCTTTTGAAGAACAAGAGACAATTGCAGGCAAAGTACAATATACCACCTACCTGATAAAATACTTGTGCCCTAACCCATAAAAAAGAGTGAGGAAAATTGTTTGCAAAGACATCCCTCTGCTTTAATTATTCTTAATGGTTCAGATTACCTGGAGCACTTAGCATCCTGACTAAAGTATGTATATTTAGCTCAATGAGGACTTCAAAGTTTTCCCAAACAAAACTTGGTAAGAACCTGATTTACTTATGTGAGAGCAAAGGTCCTCTTCTAATAGTTCTCCCAAATTGAGAAAACTGCCTTCCCCAAGATTAAAACAATCTACTACCCTTTGAGAAACAGAACACTTTTTTTTGCAATCATTAAGACATTTTCTTTAACTTCTATCCATCCCAGTTTCAAAAGTCTTTGCTAGGGCACTCTGTCCCGTGACATTTAAATCATTATCAGTTTAAATCACAATGATAAGCAATATGTTGTTGTTGTTGTTGTTGGAAGGATGGAGATAGTTGGATGGGTGAGCTTGTTTATTATCCACTGGCACAGCGGGAGGTACCAGATTTACATTTTATTTGGGAATAAAGAAGGTGCCATCTCTGCACTCATGAAGCTTACAGTCTAGTGGGTGGGTAAGTAAGCAAATATGTACATATGAAGTGCTGGAAAGTAAACAGTGTACAGTGATAGAGAGTAAAGGGAATGGGGGACAGTATTTAAACATGGTGGTCAAGACATGGTTCCCTAAGGAGGAGACATTTAAGTTGGTCCCTGAAGGATTAGAAGGAGCAGGGAAGAGAAAACAGAATGTTTCTGGACATAGAAAAGACTCAGCATTTTCAAGGAAGTGAAGGGAAGCAAGGTATAGAGGGAGAAGGGGAGAGTAGCGAGAGGCAGGAGTCAAATATGCAGACACTTGCAGATGCTTGAATTCTATTCTAAATACAATTAGAAGACATTGGAGTCTTCTTTTACACTGCCATTTACACAGTTCAGGTACTTTTAATCAGAGTTATGATTTTAAAAGACTATTTAGGATTCCATATGAGAGTTGATTGGAGGAGGCAAAATTATAAAGAAGGGAGAACAGAGGAGAGGCTTTTGTAGTGGTTCAAGTGAAAGATGGTGGTAACTTGGTCGGGTGGTAAAATGTAGAGACCAAGAGATGTAGACCATTTGAGACGTGTCTTGAAGGTAAAATAGTTCTTAGTGGTTGATATGTTGCAGGGTGTGAGGGACAGAGGGATGAAGAATAACTCCTAAGTCTCTGCCTTACGCCACTGGGGGCCTGGCATGCCTTCTATTGAGATAGAGAAGACTGGGGAAGGAAAAGTTTTTGAGAGGAGGGAGTGGGAAATAAAGTGAGTTCAGTTTTAAACATGACAACTTTCAGATACTAACAAGATATTCACATAGAGGTTGTCATGTAGCAGGTTAATATTCCAGTAAGGAATTCAGGGCTTGGAGACAGACATTTGAGAAACATCATCAGATTGGTATTTAAAGTCCTGTAGCTGGATGAGATCACCTGGGGACAAGGTAGAGAAGGATCAAGGATCAAGCAGATCAAGGATCAAGCCTTGGGAACCCTCATAATTAATGGAGAGGTAAAGGAAGAGAAGTTGGCCAAAGAGACTGCAGAGGAGCCACCAAGGAGGAAGGAAGAAAACCTAGAAAATGCAGGCTTATAAAGGCCAAGGCAAGAATATATACAGAAGAAGAAGTACTCAACTGTGAGAGATCTGGAAGAAAAATCTCAAAGAAGGGATGGTTTGCTATGTGGGGGAGAATAAGTAATATCTTTTCTCCACCCATCACTAGGTTCGTGGTTAAGACCCCTGTAATAAAAGACAGATTAATAAGAGGAAAGCATACACATTTATTTAAGATAAGTGTTACATAATATGGGATCCTTCAGAAATGTAGACTCAACGAAACAGTGAAATTGCGTATTTTTAATGCTTCAGTTTGATGAAGAGTACACAGTCACGCAGACATATGATTGAACCAAAGGGGTATGATCTAATGGTACTAAACTGGAAGAACTTGGCAAGGCCTGTTTCCTCAGATTCTTCTGTGTCCTCATGTCTTCCTTCATGGATAAGAATGTTAACAAAGGTCTTAAGACCTACTTTGTGGAAGAAGGGAGAGAGAAGGTCAGAGAGTGACCTTCCTGCTTCTGTGATTTTCTCAATATCTTTCAGCTTCAAATATTCAGTATGCCCAGGCACCACAATTTGGGGTAGCATGTTCTGAGCCCTGTTAACTACATGAAGATGAGAAATGACCTGGACAAGGTTGTTTTGGTGGAGTAGAAGGGACAGATAGCATGCTGGGTTATAAGTGAGTGGGAGATGAGAAAGTGGAGACAGCACACTCAGAAAATATCTCAGGGACTTGGTAAAGGGAATTAGGAAAAGGGAGTAGTCATTGGAAATGAGTGTTTGGTTTTCTTAGATAGAAAGTATCAGACACTATTAGTTTACTGATAGGAATCAATTATTGTATTACTAGGGGAAAAGCAAATGACGACTTAGAAGAACGAGGATGACCAAAGGCATGATGTTCTTAAGAAGGAATAAGTCAAGAGTAGTGCTTTCAAGTGTTTGTGTACATAAACACAGAAAACACCTGGGGAGCTTGTTAAATGGCAGATTGTGAGGCTGTAGGTGTATGATGGGGCCTGAGAGTCTGCATTTCTTGCATTTTTCCCAGGTGATGGTGATGCTGGTGCTGCCAGTCCACAGACCACTTTGAGTAGCAAGGGTAGTGCATAAAGGGTTATGCCTTTAATTGAAGAAATGACATTTCTTCAGTTGCCAGAGGAGGGAAGTCAGAGAAGATGGGTAGCTGTGGAGGTGGCAGGGATGGGGGCAGTTACCTGATAGTTTCTAGTTGCTAAGTAAACTCTGAGAGTGAAGGAGGGGGAAGTTGAATAAGACATTTGAGAAGATAAAGGCATAAAAGCTCTCTTAGAGAATACAAATGTAAGCCCTAAAGAAACATAACTAGATTTGGGGGCAAAGTTCAGGACCCATTTGAGGTTTTCCACTATGACTTAACATGAAACCAATCTACAATATTTAGCAGCTTGGGTGCCTACAAGAAGAGGATGGTTGGATCTCTCACTATTATTGAGGTTTTACCAATTGATTGTGAAAGAGGGAGTGAGGGGTTAAAGAGGGGAAGGGGGTCTTTTCAAAAATTATTATAACAATGACCATGGAATCTAAACTTAACTAGAATGGAAGTGCCCTTATTGTTCTTGCCACATGTGTGTCAGTTGAGATAGGAACATTAATTTCTGTGTAGAGACATGTCAAAGTTATTCTGGAAAAAAATACTGGCTCATTATACAAGACATGCTATTATCTTAAAAACAAAAGCACTAATTCTAATCGAGAAATGAGAGGTATCAGATAGCTTTGGTTTTTCTGTTATTCCTGTGTATTTGTTAAGAATATATTTAGGTATAAGAGCAGATTTCTCAACAAATATTAGCCTCAGAGCATCTAACATAACAAAAAATCTAGAACCATTGCTGTTGTTCTTTTAAATAGTTAATAACACCATGCTGGATCCAATCTCTTTGTGTACTTTTTGTCCTCCTAGTCATTACCTCCTGCTTTCAAGATGGCTGCTGCTGCTCCAGACAGCCCTCCTGTGTTCAAGTCAAATTAAAGGAGGAGAGGATGATGCTAACTGTGATTGTCTCTTTTTATCAGAGCTATAAAAGCTTTTCCAGAAAGCCCCAGCAGATTTCCACTTACATTTCATTGGCTGGTCATCATTATGCAAGGGAGGTGGGTGAAATGAATATTTAACTTTTCTACTCTCTATGATAGAGGTTGACAGGGGGAAAAAGTGTTGCGAATGGGTGTGAATCAGCCCACCTACAATATCTGTTTGATTCAGGGCTGGCTGGAGAGTTTAAGTATCTCTGTTTTAGAGCAATCACTCCACCAATAATATCCAATTATATTAAATACACTGTGCTTAATAATAAATAAAGAACTGCCTTCTCTTCCACTTGGCTTTTCTGCTCTCAGCTAGCAATAAGGTCTGTGTTTGAGAAGGAATATGGAATATACTGAGAACTTTTATTCTCTGGGCTTGCAATGGCTCTCTCATCTGGCTTACCTTCCCAAGATAATTCAGTGCTTGTTTAGGAGAAAAATAAAAAGTGAAGAACAACTATGTTGAATTCTAGGGAAGCACTCAATTCTGGATCATCTACCAGAACATGATTTGTTTAAGGATTATACATATTGGAAGGGGAAAGCTACTAACTTCAACTAAATCCTGTGTTCTTATTCCTGAGAGTAATTCACAGGGGTTCTTGGCAGAAAATAGAGGAGTTCTATTACTTCTCAACCAGGTTATTTGAAAGCTGTGTTCTATAATTCACAGGCAGAGAAATGCCTTTAATTCAATGCCATGATAATATAAGACTTTAAGGAATTTTGAGGAATTGTGAGGAAATCACCAGAAAAGCCAAATACATGAACACCAGTTATATTAGCAGAGTCTCTGGGACAAAGCCTCTTACACAAAGCACATGAGGCTCCACATCCAAATGGAAGTGGGAAAGGGGAAAGGGAGACCCTCCCCTTTTATAAAATCAAATCCCCTTTTATGGATTTGATTCTCCACTTGGTTGCTGTTGGTGTATAGAAGAGCTACTGATTTTTGTACATTAATCTTGTATCTGAAAACTTTGCTGAATTCTTTGATCAGTTCTAAGAGCTTTCTGGAGGAGTTCTTAGGGTTTTCAAGGTAAACGATCAGATTGTCAGCAGTGACAGTTTGACTGCCTCTTTACCGATTTGGATGTCCTTTATTTCTTTCTCTTGTCTGTTTCCTCTGGCTAGGACTTCCACTACTATATTGAAGAGGAGTAGTGAGAATGGACATCCTTATCTTGTTCCAGTTCTCAGAGGGAATGCGTTTAACTTTTCCCCATTCAGTATTATGTTGGCTGTGGTTTTGTCATAGATGGCTTTTAATACATTGAGGTATGTCTCTTGTATGCTGATTTTGCTGAGAGTTTTAATCAAAAAGTGATGCTGGATTTTGTCAAATGCTTTTTCTGCATCTATTGAGATGATCATGTGATTTTTGTTTTTAATTCTGTTTATGTGGCGTATCACATTTATTGACTTGCATATGTTAAACCATCTCTGCATCCCTGGTATGAAATCCACATGATCATGGTGGAATATCTTTTTGATATGTTTTTGGATTCAGTTGGCCAGTATTTTGTTAAGGATTTTAGCATCTATGTTCATCAAAGATATCAGTCTGTAGTTTTCTTTTTTGGTTATATCCTTTCCTGGTTTTGGTATTAGGGTGACGCTGGCTTCATAAAAGGAATTAGGGAGCATTCCTTCTTTATCCTGTGGAATAGTGTCAAAAGGATTGCTACCAATTCTTCTTTGAATATCTGGTAGAATTCTGCCGTGAATCCACCTGGTCCTGGACTTTTTCCTATTGGTAATTTTTAAATTACCATTTCAATCTTACTGCTTATAATTGGTCTGTTCAGGGTATCTAATTCTTCCTGAATTAAGCTAGAGGGTTGTATTTTTCAGAAATTTATAGATCTCTTCTAGGTTTTCTAGTTTATGTGCATAAAGGTGTTCATAATAGCCTTGAAAGATCTTTTGTATTTCAGTGGTGTCAGTTGTAGTATCTCCTGTTTTGTTTCTTAGTGAGGTTATTTGGATTTTCTCTCTTCTCTGTTAATCTTGCTAATGAACTATCAATTTTATTTATCTTTTCAAAGAACCAACTTTTTGTTTCATTTATCTTTTGCAATTTTTTGTTTGTTCATTTCAATTTCATTTATTTCTGCTCAGATATTGGTAATTTTCTTTCTTCTGCTGGGTTTGAGTTTGGTTTGTTCTTGTTTCTCTAGTTCCTTGAGGTGCGACCTTAGAATGTCAGTGTGTGCTCTTTCAGTCTTTTTGAAGTAGGTGTTTAGGGCTATGAACTTCCCTCTTAGCACCGCCTTTGCTGTATCCCAGAGGTTTTGGCCAGTTGTGTCATTATTGTCATTCAGTTTGAAGAATTGTTTAATTTTCATCTTGATTTTGTTTTTGACTCAATGCTCATTCAGGAGCAGGTTATTTAATTTCTATGTATTTGCATGATTCTGAAGGTTCCTTTTGGAGTTGATTTCCAGTTTTATTCCACTGTGGTCTGAAACAGTGCTTGATATAATTTCAATTTTCTTAAATTTATTGAGGCTCCTTTTATGGCCTATCATGTGGTCTATCTTGGAGAAAGTTCCATGTGCTGTTGAATAGAATGTGTATTTTGTGGTTGTTGGATGAAATGTTTTGTATATATCTGTTAAGTCCATTTGTTCCAAGGTATAGTTTAAATCCATTGTTTCTTTGTTGACTTTCTGTCTTGATCACCTGTCTAGTGGTGTCAGTGGAGTATTGAAGTCCCCCCACTACAATTGTGCTGCTGTCTATATCATTTCTTAGGTCTATTAGTAATTGATTTATAAATTTGGAAGCTCCAGTGTTAGGTGCATATATGTTTAGGACTGTGATATTTTCCTGTTGGACAAGGCCTTTTACCATTATATAATGTCCCTCTTTATCTCTTTTAACTGCTGTTGTTTTAAAATTTGTATTGTCTGACGTAAGAATAGCTACCCCTGCTTGCTTTTGGTGTCCATTTGCATGAAATTCCCTTTTCCACCCCTTTACTTTAATTTTATATGAGTCCTTATGTGTTAGGTGAGTCTCCTGAAGGCAGCAGATAGTTGGTTGGTGAGTTCTTATGCATTTTGTGGTACTTTATCTTTCAGTGGAGCATTTAGGCCATTTACATTCAATGTTAATATTGAAATCTTAGGTGCCATTGTATTCATTGTGCTCTTTGTTGCCTGTGTACTTTGTTTTTTTTGTTTTTCATTTTTACTTTTTAACATGTATTTTTGTTTTATAGGTCCTGTGTGATTTATGCTTTAAAGAGGTTCTGTTTTGATGTGTTTCTAGGATTTATTTCAAGATTTAGAGCTCCTTTAGCAGTTCTTGTAGTGGTAGCTTGGTAATGGCAAATTCTCTCAGCATTTGTTTGTCTGAAAATGACTGTATCTTTCCTTCATATATGATGCTTAGTTTTGCTCAATACAAAATTCTTGGTGATAATTGTTTTGTTTGAGGAGGCTGAAAATAGGGCCCCAATCCCTTCTAGCTTGTAGGGTTTCTGCTGAGAAATCTGCTGTTAATCTGATAGGTTTCCCTTTATAGGTTACCTGGTGCTTCTGTTTCACAGCTCTTAAGATTCTTTCCTTTGTCTTAACTTTGGATAGCCTGATGACAATGTGCCTAGGCAAAGACTTTTTTTGCGATGAATTTTCCAGGTGTTCTTTGTGCTTCTTGTATTTGGATATCTAGGTCTCTAGAAAGACCGGGAAGTTTTCCTCAATTATTCCCCCAAATATGTTTTCCCAACTTTTAGAATTATCTTCTTCCTCAGGAACACCAATTTTTCTTAGGTTTGGCCATTTTACATAATCCCAGAGTTCTTGGAGCCTTGTTCATATTTTCTTATTCTTCTTTGTCTTTTTGGATTGGGTTAATTCAGAGACCTTGTCTTTGGGCTCTGAATTTCTTTCTTCTACTTGTTCAATTCTATTGCTGAGACTTTCCAGAACATTTCACATTTCTAAAAGTGTGTCCAAAGTTTCCAGAATTTTTTATTTTTTTTCTTTAAGCTATTTATTTCCTTGAATATTTCTCCCTTTACTTCTTGTATAATTTTTTGGATTTCCTTTCATTGGGCTTCATCTTTCTCTGGCCCCTCCCTAATTAGCTTAATACCTAACCTCCGGAATTCTTTTTCAGGTAAATCAGGATTTCTTCTTGGTTTGGATCCATTGCTGGTGAACTAGTATGATTTGTTGGGGGTGTTGAGGAGCCTTGTTTTTTTATATTACCACAGTTGGTTTTCTGCTTTCCTCTCATTTGGGTAGGCTCTGTCAGAGGAAAGGTCTAGGGCTGAAGGCTGTTGTTCAGTTTCTTTTGTCCCATGGGGTGTTCTCTTGATGTAGTACTCTCCTTTTTTCCCCATAGATGTGGTTTCCTGTGAACTGAACTGCAGTGATTATTGCCTCTCTTCTGAGTCTAGCCACCCAGCAAGTCTACCCAGCTCTGGGCTGGTACTGGGGTTGTCTGCACAGAGTCTTGTGATATGAATCGTCTATGGGTCTCTCAGCCATGGATACCTGCTCCTGTTCCATTGGAGGTGGTGGAGGGTGCAATGGACTCCATGAGGGTCCTTAGCTTTGGTGGTTTAATGCTCTATTTTTGTACTGGTTGGCCTCCTGCCAGGAGGTGGCACTTTCCAGAAAGCATTAGCTGTAGTAGTATGAAGAGGGACCGGTAGTTAGTGGGACCCTAGAACTCCCAAGATTATATGCCTTTTGTCTTCTGCTACCAGGATGCATAGGAAAGGACCATCAGGTGGGGGTAGGGCTAGGCGTGTCTGAGCTCAGACCCTCCTTGGGCTGGTCTTGCTGTGGCTGCTGTGGGGGATGGGGGTGAGATTCCCAGGTTACTGGAGTTTTGTACCTGGGAGGATTATGACTGTCTCTGCTGAGTTGTGCAGGTTGTCAGGGAAGTAGGGAAAGCCAGCAGTCACAGGTCTTACCTAGCTCCCATGCAAACTGAAGGGCCAGCAGATTGGACACAGCAGGATAGAGAGACACTGTAGCCCCCACCACAACAGCCCTGAGGTCTGTTTCCAGGCAGAGGATGTGATGGGCTTGAAAACTTGCTCTGGGCTACCCGCCTTCCAGATGCAAAAGTAAAGGGCTTGGTTCTTCCCCTGCCTGTGGAGTCTGCACACTGGATTTACACCTTCCCCTGAGTTCTGGCCAGGAGGCTTCTCGTCCTGTAAAAATTGTCACAAAGTTCAGCTAGAGATTTCCTTCTCCCTGTGGAGTTTTACCCCTTGCTCCTCTGGTCACCCTCCTGATGGATCCCTGTGGTGCCAGGCAGGAATGGCCTGCTAGGGGATACAGTGAGCTCCCAGTGCCTTTCTGCTGCTTCTTCTATCCATGTATTCCACTAGGCTTTCTAAATTGATTCAGCTCCAGGTAAAGTCAGAAACTTCTCCCACAAACCGACCTTCAGCTTTTCCAGTGGGGCTGTGTGTTTGGGAGAGGAGGGTCTCCCTTTTATAATAGGGGATTTGATTCCCACTGTGTCATTTCATATCTCCTTTGCATATACTATTATACTTAGAGTGCTGTATCATGCAGGGTCCCAACAGGGAACAGGCGGTGTACCCAGAAAGGTAATGGAAGGTGGTAAAGGGATTCTCTGTAGAGACGTGGGCAGGATTAATGAAGCCAGTAAGGGAAGGTGACTAACCTGGGGCCAGCAACAGCAGGCAGCTGCCAACCTTGGCCCCTTCTAGTAACTGTTTCCTTCTCTTGCTAGAACTTGGGAGGGAGTCCTTGTCAGATGGAAGAACAAAGCTACTATCAAACTGGACAGAGAGGGAGGTGGAGGAAAAAATATCTCTCTTTTCTCTTGCTGGCACCTCCCCTCAGAAATGCAAACCTGAAAGGCAGGGAACAAGAGGGAACGCAGTCCATAGAAGCCAAACTCGCAGGATACTGAGTAGGGAGAAGCCTGGAGATTATGCTGGGCATTCTCCATTTTCCCTTACAGATCCAAATGCCCTGCCTCCCGTCTGTTGTCCTAGCAAATTTATTGTCACCTATTATACCCTGTGTAGCTCATCCACTATGCCACCTTCTGTAACTTCTCACCAGCCCCTTTGCTTCTCCCTACACATGTCCATACCTCTCTGTGACATTGACCACCTCACATCCCATCATTGCTTAATAGATTAGTGCCCTGCTAACCTGTGAGATTGTTGAGATCAGAGACTACACCATATTTATTTTGGTGTATGTATTTCTATATTCTCAACCCCTGGCCTACTGTCAGACATATTATTATATGTTCGATAAATGTTTGATGAATTAAGAAACATGGAAGCATATGAACTAAAGAGGCCCCCAAAGATGTATCTACTGAAACATAACTCTGTCAGCACTCCTTTACAAACAACGAAGACTGCATTCATTGGGACTAAGATTGAAGTGTTATATATGGGCCAGGCAAGGTGGCTCATGCCTGTAGTCCCAGCACGTTGAGAGGCTGAGGTGGAGGTCAGGAGTTCGAGACTAGCCTAGCCAACATAGAGAAACCCTGTCTCTACTAAAAGTAGAAAAATCAGTCGGGCATGGTGCCAGGCGCCTGTAACCTCAGCTACTCAGTAGACTGAGGCAGGAAAATTGCTTGAACCTGGGAGGCGGAGGTTGCAGTGAGCCGAGATCTCACCACTGCATTCCAGCCTGGCTGACAGAACAAGACTGCCTCAAACAAAACAAAAACAAACAGAAAACCCCAAATGTTATATATGTAACTTGTTAAGTCCCACACTTCATAAAGTGAGAGGTGTCACATTTATAGAAATAGCTGGAATCTCAATGCTCCAAAGCCCCTGCCTGCCTAATTGAAAATGTCATCTCCTCTCCCCGAAGACAGTGGAGAATCCCTAAGTGTGCCTACAGGTGTATTCTGAATGATTCTAGCTTCCTCCTTACCCTTCCTCTAGGATTTAGGGGTTCAGCATGGAGTCAGTCCCCTCCAGGAGTCCCAGGTTGGGTATCATCTCCCAGTGGATGCAGTTTGCAGAACTTTCATCTTTCTGCTGCCACTTGGCCGCCCACTAGATACTGCCCTTGCTGCTACCCATATTACTGTCAGTTTTCCTCTAGACTGACTGTGTCTGCACCACCACAGGACACTGATCAAGCTTGAGCCTGCTGACTACACCGCTGATCATACCTGGCCTGCCCTAGAAACCACTGGCCTCCATGCTGTCAAGAGGTTCCTGTTCCACAGCTCCTGACTTCCTCTAATTCACCAATTGCCACTACTGCTCTTCCCCATCATTCACTAGGAAAGTACTTTCTCCTTGCCTGACCAGATTTTTCAGAAGGGCCTCCTATAGCAGAGCTGTAGGGCCTCTAAAGACAAAGTTCTCTATTCCCCATTCCTCTCTTTTGCAGAGCTCCCAGGCATTCTGGGGTTGGGGTTATATCTGGGTGGGTACGTGAGGGCCTTAATCCCCACTCAGAACTAAAGTGTCAATCCTTCTTGCTTAGTTAGCCTCCTTGAGAGGTTTCATCTTTCAAGATGACTTTTCTCCAGGGGTCCATGTTCCGTTTCTTATAGCTTGCTTCTCTTTGAAAATACTTAGTCCATCCAATGGGTCTATAATGTCTGAAGCCACATTATACAGAGGATGCAAGTTCTTTGACATATGTCTTCAAGTTTCCATAAAGTTCAAGTAAAATTAGTGGGGATCTCTTTTAAATATCTTCAAGTACTCTAGGTTAATTTAAAAATTCAGTTAATATCTACAGCAGGGGGCTTTCTGCTTAGAAAACCGAAGAGACTTTTAGGAAGTTGTATTGTTTAACCTCACACTCTACACAAAGAGTCTCACACCCAGTCCAGACAAGATACCCAGTGGTATCTGGGAGGAACAGCACTTTTTGATTCTACACATGAAACATTAGTGATTTTATTTGTCAGTAGGCCATGGCCAGGCCTGCTACAAACCCAGTGATGCAGTAAGTGATAGAACTTAGAAGCAGAGTGGTGCTGCAAGAAATTCCTAATCATTTTTTTAAAAAATTAACCGATCATGATGGCATACACTAGTAGCTATACTCCTAGCTACACGGGAGGCTGATGCAGGAGGATTGCTTGAGCCCAGGAGTTTGAGGCTGCAATGAGATACGATTGTGCCATAATAGGATGGCACTTGTATGGGTATTTGACCCAGGCCAGGGCACTCCTGAATAATAAATCTATAAACCCATAGGTCTTGTGTTCTAACACAGCAGAGTCCTCACTCCAGTGGAACACTGAATTTTACAGAAGGAACTGGAGAATGACAACTGGAGAATGACAAAATGGCATTCTTTATCTTGTTTTTTGTTTAATTTTTAGTTTGGAAACAGGGTCTTGCTCTGTCATCCAGGCTGGAGTGCAGTGAGCTATGATTATGTCACTTGAACTCCAGGGCTCAAGTGATCCTTCTGCCTCAGTGTCCCAAGTAGCTGGGACTACAGGCACATGCCATCATGGTGGCTAATTTTTAGAAATATTTACAGAGACGGGGTCTTGCTATGTTGTCCAGGCTGGTCTCAAACTCCTGGCCTCAAGCAATCCTCCCACATTGGCCCCTCTAAACACTAGGATTACAGGCATGAGCCACCACACCCAGCTAATCTTGTATATGTTATGTGCACTGCTTGTTTGCTGGTTCGGTGGGCAAGAGAAGTGAAAGTCAACTTAAACTGAGGCAGATTCATCATTCGTGCCTTGATTTATTCATCTATAAACTGGAAATGACAATCATGTCTTTCCTAGAGTGTCATTTAGATGATTGAATGATTTAACATACATAAGGAACTTGGAACAGTGTTTGGAAGTTAATTAATACTATCTACATATTTGCTATTATTTTTACCATTATGACTGTTACTACTACTACTATTATACTTATTTCTAACTTTCATCAAAATAGTGCCTTGGACCTAAACGAGGGATTCAATAAACATCTGTTGAAATGTTTTATGAAGGAAGGAAGATGAGGGCAGTTAGATGGTAGATGATAAGACTTCTGGTCTCTATCATAAAATGATACTAATTTTTAGCCCAAGAAACCAGAGTGAATGAGGAAACTGTACGTGAATACATTAGAGAGAAACAGAGGCTATCTTCTTGTTCCCTAATTTAGATGACAGCCATTTGTATTCAGAGAAATTAAGTCCTGGTGCTGTCACTTGATGGATCACCAAAAATCCTCTAGAGTGGTGACTTTCGCACCTCCAATCCTGCAATTACTTGAAGGCTCATATGGGCTACTCCGGTGGGGAAGGGAAGCCCTGCTAATGAGACCCCTAACTCAGCCAGTGTCACTCTGCTTTCAGCTGCTTTATATATAGTGGTTTCACTGCTTTAAAAATGTTCTCCAAAATCACTGTACTAGATGAATCAAGAAAAGAAAACATGCACCTACCTTTAAGGATTTCTAGTTCAGCCAACCCAGACCTGTCACATCATGATATTTTCTGGTAGGTCTGAGTGGGATGATGTGTGAATTGTCCCCTGAGTTGAAAGCCAAGAAAACAACATGCTTTTCTAAAGACCTTTCTTTCTGCCTTCTCCCCACTTTTTATTTCTTGTCATCCTTTCATGCACCAGTTATGCTATGTATTTTCTTTTTATGCTTTTATGGCTGCTGGGGTTACTTTTGGAGGGATACCATAAGACAGTGAAGAAATTAATGCAACAGGGGACTTCAAGCAGAAAAATCCATCTGACCTGGTGACAGTTGGTAAGCATTAGAGAAAATCTCATTTACTTGAGAACCATAACTTTGGCAATTTCATTTCGGCTTACTTCACTGCCCTTCCCAAAGTTCTGGTTCAATCAAAGAGAGGAGGAAAAAGTAACTTTGCTGAACTTGGTCACAGAGAGACTTTGAAGCCGACTGCAAGACTGTCCAGGAGAAAGGAACTGTAAGAAAAATATCTCATGGTTGTTGGTCTAAATCTGACTTCCTGATGCTCTGTTCCATTTTAATGAAAATTTTAAGCCGTGTCCCAGATTTTCCTTTTTAGCTGATGGATGGGGAGTATTGCTCCATAAGAAGGCACAAATTCTTTCTGCCTTTTTCTACTTTCAGTTGCTTTATTGGGTGCTTTATCTCAACCACTTACAATTGTTTTATGTTGAAGGCTATATTCCAGTTCATCTTGAAATGGAATGTGCTATTATAATGGGCTAGGCCAAGGAAGAATGTCTTTCTCAAGAGAGGAAAAGTGGAATTTGTCAGTGATGCAAACCAGACAGGAAGGGAAGGAAGGAAACTCTAGTTATTCACAAAAGGGTACGAGGATGATGAAAACTGAGCCCGACAGATTCCATCAGCGACTGGGGTCATCAGCCCGCAATTCAGTGATCTTGTCAACTAATCACAGGGCAGATACAACCCGGGGTCTGCTCTGGGCTGTGTACTGTTCTGTGCTTTGAAGATAGTGACAGGCAGTAAGGGTTTCATCAGGCAGAGTCATGAAGCCTCTCCCTGGGGAAGACCTTTGACCTGGTTCCTGTTTTCTGTATCCTTAGTTTTCCACCTACTCCAAATTTGACTCTTCCGAACATGCCTGAGGAATGGTTCCATCCTTCTTAATCTGATTAGTCTAATCAAAGACTCAAATTGGAAACTAAAAGAATTCCCTAAGAGAAAGTTCATTTTATCCTCACTCTCCTATGATGTCCCTATCTTTCTGGGGCATTGCATTTTTCTGACTAGTTTACTAGGAGCGACTTAAAAAAAAATGGATTTTATAACCAAAAAATCTAATATTTTGTAGTGCCTCTGAGGTAACATCTAATTTAGGAGGAAAGAAACTAAGAAATAATCCAATTTTGTTTCATTTTTGATGTGTGATTTAAACCTGAGAGTCAACCAATTATTGATC